>NC_000018.10:29661206-30286206 GCF_000001405.40 Homo sapiens | reverse complement strand
CTGTCTAAAGTTTAGTCAGCCTGAGGGTAATGTTAAGGTCTTATTGGCTAGTATATATAATGCACAGTTTGAAGTACATAAATTATCATTATAATATTAAAAAAATTGCAGTCTGATGGGGAGGCAAAAAATGGAATTAAGTTAAAATTAAGTGGCACACACCTGTAGTCCCAGCTGCTCCGGAGGATGAGGCAGGAAAATCGCTTGAACCTGGGAGAAAGAGGATGCAGTGAGAGACCATGCCGTTGGACTCCAGCCTGCGTGACAAAGCAAGACTCTGTTAAAATAAATAAATAAATAAATAAATAAATAAATAAATAAATAAATAAATAAAATAAAACACTGAGGTTGTCTTGAACGCATTTTAATGTTTTCTTTAGGATTCAAAATTTACAATACAAAATACTTTAGGGCTTTCCGTTTTTAAAATCATACAAGTGTAAAATGCCAATGAGTAAATAATTCTCTTATGAAAATGTTGAGTCTAATTGGAGAAAAATTATGCAGAAGAATGTTCTTTTATTTTTTAATATAATAATTTTTTATTTTAATTAATATCATCAGTATTGAATTCTAAACAGTTTGAAAATCTAATTTATATTATATAAGGTAGCACAACTATGAAAACTGGGTAATTGAAACAATGATTTACATTTTCAGTTTTTTAAAAAAGAGGCATTAACACAATATTTAGTACCATCAAAAATATAGTTTTATAAAAGTGATTTTTTCTGTATTCCCTTGAGATCAGCAACATGTTGATATGAGTAGTTAAAAGAACTCAACTTTCTATTGAAGTTTACTATTGTAATTTCTGCCAGTGAAATCACTCTACTGTATTCTTCAAATTATATTGAAGGTATTTAAAGTATTTGGCTTGTCTTTAATAATTTATTGTAAAATTATTAAAACTTAAAAAGACTAAGAATAGAAATAAATAAGGTTGTATAGAAACTTACACTAAAAGTACACAGCTGAGTAATTTGGAGTAAACCTTCAGGACACTCTTGACCTTTAATCTCCATTAGGTTCAATGCAAAAACAAAAGCAAAACCAAAAGAAACAAAAACACTGATCAAATAAACAAACAAATATAAAATTTAAACAAATTCTTCTATCTCTAAGGAGAAAACAAGAGGAAGAGGAAAAAAAAAAACTTTCCTGGTTGATTGCTATTTTTCCTGGAGGGCCCTGAGATTTACTGTCTATCGGAATAAAATTAGTCTGTGCTTTGAAAATGATCCAAGTCATCTGGCTTTAGCACTTCCAGGCTTCTTCAGAATAAGATTGAATTGAAGGCATCAAAAGTCATTGGAGTAAATTACAATAATAGCTCTATGGTAATATTGATAATGAGGCATATAATGAACTGGACTTCATTTTGGAGATTCTTGGTGACCAAAAAGAGAATTGCAAATGAAATGGAAATTTAGAGAAGATTAATATGGGATAAAGAGAAAAGTCTATTTTAAAAGGTAAAAATTCAGGTTAGTTGCAATTAAGTGTAATGAGATTCTACTGCTAAGTGAAAAAATCCATTAAATGACAGAAATAATTTAAATACTGAGAAATTCTGAGATGAAACAGCAAAGCCCATATATCCAGAAGAGTTGGCCTATCCTGATTTCAGTTCCTGAAAACCCACAATGAATCTATTTCAACCACAGTCCATTTTGATCAATTTCACCAATGATCCAATAACCCAACGATATGTCAAATAACCCAAGAACATTTTATTTAACTTCACTGAATTTATTGTTAATGTTTTGTTGAATTATTATTGTCACAGGTGTATATTTTATCATTTTAATGTTTGTCAGTGATGAATTTCCTGAACTTACACAGTGTGTTTGTTCAAGCTTATCTTGTACATTTTTATTTGTGTATATAATGCTATAAGTTGATCTGTCTATCTATCTATCTATCTATCTATCTATCTATCTATCTATCTATCTACCTATCTGATAGTTAATATTATGTGTCAATGACTGGACTAAGGGATGCCCAGATAGGTGGTAAACATTATCTCTGGTATGTCTGTGAGGGTGTTTCTGGAAGAAATTAACATTAAAATTGGTAAACTGAATAAAGAATATTGACCTCATCAATGTGGGTGAACATCATCCAATCCACTGAGGGATCAATATAACAATTAGGTAGAGGAAAGGCAAATTTGCTCTATTTTCTTAAACTGGGACTTCCATTTTCTCCTGTCCTCAGATATTGGACTTCCTAGTTTTAGGGCATTCCAGCTCTGAGACTTACACAAGCACTGCCCACCCCTAACCACCCTGGTCTTCTACTCTGGTTGTCAGACCCTCAGAATCAGATACAAACATAATTATATTACCACCTCCTTTCCGGGTTCTTCAGATTACAGACAGCAGATGGAAGAACTTCTCAGCCACCATAATTGAATTAGCTAATTATATATATATATTCTATTGGTTCTGTTTCCCTGGAGAGGCCTGGCTAATCATCTATCTATTATCTATCATCTATCTATCTATCTATCTATCTATCTATCTATCTATCATCTATCATCTATCTATATATATATATCTATCATCTATCTATCATCTATCTATCTATCTATCTATCTACCTATCTATCTATGGAATTTACATAGAAAATAACCACTAAACAATATTAAAATGGTAATAGTAATGATTCACCCGTGCATTTTTGTGTTCTTAAAAACCCACTTTCCCACTGACAGTCTTGTTTTTCATTGTTATGAATAGTTCCACCATTTACCATCTGTTTGAATTTCAACAAGCCTATTATCCTTTCTGAACTTCAGTTTTCTCACTGGTGAAATGAGGATAGCAATGCCATTCTCAGAGAATTATTCTGAGGAGTAAATGAGTTTATTCAGATTATGCCAAATTAGGGGAATGGAGGACGTTGGGAAGTGGACCATGTAGGGAAGTTTGTTGATGTTCATCAATGAAATATATCACTAGAAGTGACTTGCAAAATAATCTAGTCCTTTTCAACATTTACAGATAAGGAAACTAAAGATCATAAGGTATGATGATTTACCAAGCTGTTATATACACAGCTTGTTAGAAACCATGGCCATATTAGAATCTGGTATTCCTAATTTTTAAGTCAGTGCTTAGAATGCATTTCTTTAGATATGCTAGGTAATTAAACTTAGGAAAATAGCATTAACTGTGATGAAAATAAATTACCCTACTGTGTGTTTTAGCAAGACACTTTAGTTTCCACTCCTGAATTCTCATCACTTTTATTGAGAGATACATGGAAACTTCCAGGTCTATGAGTATTTTATGTTCCATTTTTATACTATGAAAACTCAGTAAAAGGTTAAAACTAATTCCAAGAAAGTATACAATTACTTGCAGTATATAGTTTTAACACAAGTGTTTTCTTCAGGAAGAAAAGGTCAGTTGAGTAAACATACATGTTTTTTCTGCATTCAAGGAAATACTACAATAATTTGTAACACTTAAAATCTAGAAAGAAAATGCATAGACTAGTCCATTTAATTATCCTGGAAACGTTCAGTACATACACACATGTGTGCACACAATGCAATCATTTAATCAATATTTGGGGAGAATAAACTTAATAGATGGCACTAGAGAAAAAGCACATTGTAGAGTGAATGCTGGAGTAAGTGCTGTAGCTTTGTAGATTTTTTCTTTCTACAGTCTTCCCTGTTCTTTTCTGATTGGATATTACAAGAATAATTTATAAATTTGGGCAGAATTCTTGAGTCATGAGTATGAAATATTTTGTGCTATAACTCCTTTTAATTTCATGAGTAAAAATGGAATTATTTTTTCCATCATAAAGGGTACTTTATCATCTGGAAGTTTTCAAATACATGCCTCTGATAGGCAGTTATCTTCTGGTAGACTGATATCTTCTGTTTATTGACATAATTGTCTTACTCAAACAAAAATAAACTAGTACTTGTATATAATAATAATATGTTTAAAAATAAGAATTGATCGAATTCTTTGTTATATATTTACCTAAAATCCCTGATAATCCTTTACTTGTATATATAATAATTAAATACCAATTACCTCTCTTAAAAAATTAAGTTTATGTACTGTATTTTGCAGCATTTACTTATTAATTAATATTTAAATTACTTCTCAGTAATCAACATTTATAATTTATAATGTATGTATTCTTTTAAAACAACTGATTAATACAAGAAATTGAAAGTAATTACTTCATTTGCAAGCTAATAACAATTGATACATTATTTTCCTTTTTCTAGCTGAGATTTTGTTTTCTTTTAATGTTTTTAACAACATAGTCTCCTAAGTTTTCCAGCTGAAATAGCTTAGAGACATTACAAGTATAGATAATCTCAAAGATCGTCATCAATTAATGAGACACAGTTCTTGCGGTTAGCAATTCAGAATAAAGAGAGAACAAGCGATTATGTTCTTGACTGAAAACTGGTGATTGACTCCCTGGAAGCCTTACTAAAATATCATTTTCTGTATGGCTTTCTCCTGGGCTCTAGTTATTCAAAGTGTCAGCAGTAATTTGTTGAAACACATTCCATCCTGTAATATAGTCTTGTGGCCTGAATTTGGATAATATATTCTTTTTAATAGCAACTCTGCAGTGTATTTGAAGTAAGTTCCATTTCACAGATTAATCAGTGTTGAGGAAACAAAATATCCATCAATCCTCATATAAATTACAAAACCCAGCTTAAATTTTTCTCAATCTTGTTCCACAACGGACTGTCAAAAGCGAAACACCATAAAACACTCACTTGCAGTGAAAACACATTTCTGATTTACTGAATAAATCTTGCTCAATTGCCCTAAAACATTAAGCTCTTCACACTTCACATGGTCTTCTCTAATTGTGTTTTCACTAGCTTTGGATTTATAACGTAAGCTGGCCTGTGGGTGAAAGGGAGGATATTAGAAAATCAGTTGAGAACACACAAAATGCAAGTTGAATAGGGACATTTCAGAACTTAGATATGGAAATAATATTTTCTATACGTCATAATGGGAGGAGTAAGATGTATGCAATTTCAAACCTTAACAAATATATCTTCCATTACCGGCTTAATGACTCAAAGGCCTTTGTTTAAATTTCCAGAGGAATGTAATGGTTTATTCCGTAATGAGTCAGCAGGGGGCAGTAGGTATCATTGAGAAAAATGACTGAAGCAGCTGGAGCAAACTGTTTTTTCCCAGTGGGTTTCCTCACAAACTCTTTTTAAGAACAAAACTGATACTAACAAATAGCTGCCTCTCTCTTTGTGGGTGTTTTCATACACCTGATTTGGAAATAAGCTCATGTAAAAAGCAAACTATTATTCTCAATCTCCCCAGAGAATACTTGTTGAATGTATTTATTTTCAACGGGAGAAATTTAATCCACGTAATTAAAAACCCTTTATTGGGACATCAATAATAACATATTTGGATTTAAGTGAGCCTTTTATCTTGATTTAAACATCTTATATGTTGATATGAGTGACATTCTCACCCAGTTCCATATCAAGGAAAGATATTTAGCCATGAATTTTAATTTTGCTATGAATTTGAGTTTAAATCATTTAGAACGTAGACTACTTAGAAAGCCAGTGTTTTCTAAAGCAAGTTAATAAAACATTAAAATTAGTGTGATGTCTTTACTTTAAAAAAATGCTTCAATGAGGGTGTTTGCTTTTGTTCTGTTTTTGGTTCTGAAGTCCATTAAAAATACAGCCCTATGAAAATCTCCTTACTACAGTGGTTACTATGTAATAATGGTAGCTCATTATATCACAGAGCCACACAATAATAATTTGCAATCTGTCATGTGTGAAATCTTGCACTGAGGCAGATAAACTCTGGCTGCTGAAGTGTGCTCTGTATCATTGCATTGGATATAATAGCACAGATTGTCTAACAATATATGATGAAAACACTGTTTTTTTCTATGAGTAGAAATTTGATTACTCTAAATTATCATGCTGCAAAATGTTTTAAATATCTTTAAAAATAAGTTTAACTGGAACTTTAGACATTAATTAAAATGATTCACCACAATTGCAGAAAATCCATTAGGAAGGAAAAAAAAAAAAACCGAGCTGTTGTTGTGATTTTTTTACAAGCTCAGAATGATTTGAATAAATACCATGTTCAATGCTATCCATGATCCTATCCTATTGCCTTTTATTCTTTAATGAATATGAAAGGGATGATGAAGAGGAGTTTACAAATGAGACAAGCCATGACACTCACATGCTGAATAACATCATGGATCTTACCTGCCAATGAAACTAGAAAATCGAAATTGTTCTGCAGACTGACCCTCAGGTAAAAATGAAGTCTCTTTCTCTCTCTGTCTCTTTCTTTTTTTTTTTTCCAGTTGTGATTTTTAAAAAGCTTCCAGCTGTATTCATGCTATGTATACATATCACAACTTATATACATACGATTCAGTACACTGTAATCAAAATTTAACTGCTGCTGTTGGTAAAAATTTCCCTAGATGTGTTCAGTAATCATAAAATTATCTTTATGTCTATAATGTTTTAAAAAAGAATGTTTGTGTATAAATTTTATCCCTCTGAAGTAGGTTTGAAACAACTGCAGCTTACTAGGAAATACAAAATATAGGAAACTAGTTTGGTGAGAAGTTTAAATGAGTTGCAAGGCTTGCTATCAGTATGTAGAATGCTTATAGAATGGCAAAGAGGTCTTGGAACGAGTTCAATTAGTTTAGGATGAAGTACATGAACAGGGTCTGCCTCATTGTCTCTTTAAAAAGGATGAGATAACTAGCTAGATACCATGATAAAACAGATACCCTAGTTAAGATGAGGTATGCATTGAGATTCGTAGGCAGCAGCATATTTTCTAAAATTGGGTACTTTCAATAAAAAAAGGGGCAAGTTATGAAAGAATAAAATATTAACAGCTCAGTTTTCTGAGTGAAATATCTCTACTAATATGGAATTTCTGTGACAGTGTCATATTTCTTAGTTGAAAGGCCAATTACAAGAGCAAATACAGATATTTAATCCATAATATTAATAATAATAACTAAAATTTCTTGAGCTAAAATCCTGCCAGAACATTCCAGAATACTTTCATATATTGTCTTATTTTAATGTCATGACAAATCTAAGGACTGATAATAATTTTATGACCATTTTCTAGATGTGAATATTGAGGCAAAGAGTGATTCAAATGCCCCATGTTCTGACAGATAGTAAGTTGTGGACCTGAAATTTGTATCTAAGAAATCTGACTCTTTAAGATTCTGAGTTTAGTAATTTAGAGTCCCTAGTAATATTTATAATGCTGTTTATTGGGAACTTTGAAATAGTTGGCAAACTTACATTCTGATTTCCTGTTGTTAATTAATATTTGGGCCATTGACATGTCATTAAAAAGCTTTGGGTTTTATGTTACTAATGGTCAAAAATTGAAGTCAACTAACATTGAAATTGTCTACTCTCTTTCAATTAATTAACATGCACAATCTATAGGGCCTTTTGAACCATGCTTGGAAGTTTTCAATATGTCTATTCTGATAAAGTTGAGTAAACCGATTGATGAGATTATATTTCATTAAACAACAAAGTGTAGGTGACCACATAAGATCAGAAAAGTTCTGAGTCATGTTTAGCTGTGCCTTTGAGGAAGAGGGTAAATATAGTTTAGGCGAAAAAATTTATACATTAGAAGTCAAAAATATTATATACCACAAGTATTCTATTGTTTCTAAATTGTAAAGTTAGAACATGCTTCTATATTTCTCTTATGCCCTTCTTTTCCACTTTCTACATTGCATGACCATTATTTATGCATTTTCCTTTTATACCATAATAGTCTTCTCAGCTTGTGATCAGGGTCCCAATTCACATCATATATGGATCAACAACATGCATGAAATATTAATAAAATTGAACAACATACAATAAACATTTGCTACGTATCAGAGATTGTGCTAATTATTTTATATTCATGACTTGATGTAATCTTAACAACAGCATGAAGTCCTGATACCACAAATAATTAGTTTAAGTTTATATAATACTAAGTGGTGAGGTTGGAATCACTTCTGCTAACTCCAGATCTTAAAGTGGAAGAATGTGGTGTGGGGAGTGTGGTGAATAAACAAATGAATAAATGTATGTCTCTATGAATGAATTGCGTGGTTCTCAATTACATTTTATGTTACATGTGGACTAGATTTTCTGTATGTGCTTTGAAAAAATACATATACAACAAAAATTGCTAACTTTCATAACATGTTTCCTTATATTTTGGAACTCTTTCTCACTAGCTGTTTTTTTTTGTTTTCATTCCAGGATATAAACAATTCAATGTTCTATTCCTCTGTGGCTCTTTGGAAGTTTGTATGTCATTGCTTACAGTCCAAGAATTTACTGAGTTTTTGATAAATTGCCAAAAGATTTTACTGTCATAAGCAGTAGAATATGAGAAAAGTTTACCCCCACATATATAAGAAGATTTTATATCTTCTTCTTCTAATCTGGGGTGTGTGTGTGTGTGTGTTTCCTTATATGAATCATGGTTAAAAAGCCAATGCAGTGAGTTGGGGAGAAATTTTTTATTATTGCTTTAATTTTTAGGGCAGTACTGCTTGAGGAAGTTTATTGTCATTTCTATTGTGAACACTTATTCTTTTATGTGCTTTGAATCACAGAGGTGGAATGGAAAGTATAACCACAAAATGAACAAAATGTCTGTGTTTTAAAATTTGCAATTTAAGCATGATCTTAAATAGGACATCTGACATGGTGAGATTTCCAGTGTTATAATCATCATGCTTCCAAGCAAAGAAAAGTTAGCACAACTTACGTTAAAAAAAAAGATTGATTACATTAATTAAAAATATGTTTTCAATGCTTGTCTGTCAAATAAACTAAAATCAGATTTAAAAACATTATCAAGATTTTAGCATAATGGTGATGCTATGTCAGAAGATTTATTAAAAAATTAAAATTATTTCTGCAAATTGTATGGTCTAGATATATTAGTGATAGGCAATTAAAAAGTTATGTTTGTAACTTCATGTGTATAAAATGAGATAGAATGTGGGTATTTCAGTCTGGATTAATCATAAGTATTCTGTTGTTATTTTGTTTGTGTGTTTTTATTTTCTGTTTTTAGGTTTTTTTATTATGCAAGAGCTACTATAAGCATTTAAACAAAATAAAATTTAGAAGTATCATTTTGATTCAGGAGGCATGTAGATTACTAAAACAGATCAATGCAAGTTTCTTTTAAATTTATTAAATTATTAGTTTGGGAAGTCATTTTAAAATGGCCCCACTGAACAATTTACTACTAAAAATTAAGAAAATATATTTCAAGATAGCTGAAATAAAAGCCACTGGTAAAATACTATATCATATAATCAAATAAAAACTTTAAAAATACAAATAACTGATGGCAAATGCTAATACTGTCCTTACTATAGGTCAGAGGCGAATATAAACAATATTTTTGTGTAGTCTAATTCATAAAAGTATCATAATTATCCTCATTTTACAGGTGTAAAAATGAAGGTAAAGAGAGGTGTAGGAAGGTTACCAAAGGTCGTGTCCTTATCAACGGAACAACTGGGATTTGAATTAGGTACTTTCGTTCAGTGTTTGAGCATTTCTTCACTGTTTTTAACTGCCTCCTCCATTTTGCTGTCATCTTCAGGAACCTAAAAACATTACATCATTTTAGTACTCACCAATCCTTTTTATCTACAAGCTCAAGTTAATGTGTATTATCATCTGAGACAGAGTACTTGCAGCTAACCTTTGACCTCAGGAAGAAGACTTGCGTTTCTCTTTTCGTCTTTAAGTTCTTTCCTTTCTTCCTCCCTCCTTCCTCCCTCCTTCCCTCCCTCCCTTTCCCCTTCCTCCCTCTCTTTCTCCCTCCCTTCCTTCTTTTTTTTCCTTCCTTCTTTTCATCTTAGACAATTAAAAATACAAATAAAATCTAGTAAAATAAAATCACTTCAAGTTGACCAGGCAAATCAGTAACCCAGTACAACATAAAATCCATGGTTTATTCAGGATCACACTCTTGTAAGTAACTTACCATGGGGCATCACAAAAACAGTTTATTGAAGTAACAATTGACAGGCTTTGGATCAAAAACAGTCACTGAAAATGATGCTTAGATGAAATTTCCAGAGTCCTTAAAATAGAAATGCTGGATATTTTTATTGCGCAAATAGGAAATATTATAATATCTTGCATCCCAATGATAGAAAATCACATCTTTTCAGGACAATATTATGTCGTGATTCAGTCAACTGATCTTCATTGTCCTCAGTATTTACTATTAAATTTGAATGATTCTTAAAATGTAGAAGAATTAATTAACATATTGAAATAAGAAGATTGATCAGTAAGAAACTGTATAGTAAAACAATATAAATATAAATGTATGAACATAGCAATGCTAACTCATTTGACTTTTTTTGTATTTTTTCTATATGAGATATTATTGTAGTGGTTAACAGAATGGACTTCAGGAAGATAGTCTTGGTTCTAATCTTAATTTCCCACACTTCATCTGTGCAAACTTAGGAAATTTACTAATCTCTGTGTTTCCACATCTTCATCTGTAGATTAGGGTTACACTAATCTTGAAATATATTTCTAGATAATCTAGAAAATATATCTTGAAATATATTTTCTAAGATCGATCCCAAAGCATTGCTGTGAATTTATATGTGAACATATACACATACATATATACTCATAACAGAGCCTGGCAACTTGTGAGACTGTAAATGTTAACATTGACAATGTATAGGAGACAATATCAGACAGTAGTTACAAACCATTTGTAGCATCATGCTGTTTGGTTTAAAGACCTCGGTCTGTCATTTACTAGCCATGTAACCTTGACCAAGTTACTAAAACTTTCTGGACCTCAGATTTTTCATCTGTAAAACCAATATAATTGTAAAACCTAATTAATGCAGTTGTAAGAATGTGGCAAATACAAATGATCTGGACCTACGTAGAAAGGTTAATTAAAATGTATAGTAGTTTGTTCCACCTTAGATAATATATTCTTGTATATTAATATTTGTAACACTCATATTTGCTTTGGATTCTCTTTAAAACACGTATATTTAAATCCTTAAAACTTTTGCTATTAATACCTAAACAAATTGAAATTCAGTTCTGGAGCTTGCTTTTAAAACATTTCCTTTCCTATCATTTACCAATAGTTGCCTGTTTTAATGAAAAATAAATTACAATGTCATGTAACATTGCATAAAATTAAACCTGATCATAGCATTCTGAAGAGTATGCTATGTATGCAAATTTGTGTGTGATGGGATAAGGATCAGGACTGGGTTTGGTGATCAAAGGTGACTTTAAATCTCTATAAGGAGAATAATAAATAATTTAGCACATAAAATTTAAGTAGTAGTTTATAGATAATTTAGTATGTTATATCTTCTTTAAATAGGTATTTTATAGCCAATTTGATTGCCCTCCATTGCTCTAGCCTTGTTTAACTATTGAAAATTCAATATTCTTATCAGACAGCATTTTACTCCTATATAAACCAGCCAGAAAGAGCTCATTTCTTTATGATGTAGCTGATACTGTAGGCATTAAAACATAATTTTCAGTAACTTTGCATCTATACTGTATCAAATATGTATCTATAAAGTACTTCATTTATTTAAGTAACTTTAAGTAGCTTTAAGTAGCTTTAAGTAACTGTTACGCATATATGTAGAATTATAAGTTAGGCAATCAACAACCACCTAGTATTTTTGAAAACTAAACTTTATATCCAAAAATATATTAAGGCACAATACGAGTGATCAAAATAAAAGATTGTCTCTTCATCCACAAAGACCTGAAGAAAATAAGTGAAGACCAATTAAGATACAAAGAGTGAGATGCTATTTTTAAGGGTAATAGAATACAGAGAATGAAGAACTCAGTGTGGCCTAAAACTCAATGGAAGGGGTCAGGAGTGAATACTCAGGGAGAAGAAAGAAACTGACAAGCATAAGACCCCCTTTCATTGAAAGGAATCCAGACAAAAGGAATCGCACAAATTTGTAGTTCTTGAGGTGACTTATAAGATTAAACATTGGGAGATGACCTGAGCAAGCCCCGAAGAAATTGCCATGGATCAGAAAAGGAAAAGAGAGACAAATTCGGAAGGAAAAAAAATGCCTAAGAAGTCAAGATGAATTCTCTGTGTAGATACAGAAGGTGAGAGTTAAGAAAAAGAAGCCATGGGTTTCTAGAAAAGTTTTAAAGTTTTACTGTGCAGAAATAGAAACTAATTTGACATGTATTTCTATGTCAAAATTACATTAAAAATTGATTTTTGTAACAATTTGAATTTGGAACACAATGAAAATACAAGTACATTTTTATAATATGGTAAAAAATACAGAGTGGAAAACACACATACTTATTTTTCAAGAAGAGTTGCAATCATAATTAGTGGTTAAATAAATGCTACTTATGTGCTACTTGTTTACTACTGCACTTAAAATGATACTATTATCTTTCATTTTATAGGGTTACATACATTTTTATTGAAAACTTTATGATGTGTTTTCACATTCACCATAATTTTGTAACAACTTAGAGAAATTAGGATAATACTAGTTATTTTTTCTCTTACTACATTTTTGAGAGACAAGAAATATTAACATTGAGATATTAAAAGTTATGACCACCATAAGAAGATTTGTGTCAGATAAAACTCAGAAAATGTGAATTCTAATGATATGATTTTTTATCTGTATAATATGTTTGTTTTTTATTTAGGATGAATGTGTTTGTATATGTTAAATATATTATAAATAACATACATGCATATATAGTATTCTGCATCTATTATTGTTTCTTAAAGATACAGCAGCTTTAAATCATCTTCAGGATTGTGACAATTAGTTTTTCTCAACCTAAATTTATCACCCAAGCTCACCAAAAGATATTCTGATTGGTAGAGGTCAGCAGGGTTTAGAGCATCTGAGTCCATGATAAGTCTAAACTCTTCAATAACACTATATTTTAAGTCCTGATTCTTTAACAATGACCCAAGGATCTAAGGCTACAGAACAGCCAATATCTTCTCCATGTGCAAGCTGCATTCTTAAGGGGCATTGAAGTAGTACCTCTGGCTCAAAAAGAGCAAGAGGAGAAAAAAAGGAGGGGGGGAGATAACATAAGAGAAGGACAACATGATTTGGATGTATTGACAACATGAAGTAGTTTTACGTTTTCACAATTTTCATTGGTGTTAACTAAAGAATGCTTTGGTGAAGCAATGTTTGAGTTCAACTTGAAATTTTAGGCTTCTTCATTCCAATTAAAGAATGCAGATAATTGAACAGTCTGACTTTTTTTTCTCATTTTGGTCTAGAGCACCTCTCAAATAAAACAATCTTGCTTATATTCAAAATTATCCAAAGCGACTACTGCAAATCCAAACTGTACCTGGTGAAATTATGCCAGTCAGGAAGAATCACATGATTTAAGAATAAGGAGAAAACATGAAGAACGCAGGTGTTTGTCCAAGGACAGGTGCAGTTTTAGAATTAACCCAGTGAGAACTTGCACAGTAGAATGACACTGATTACGCAGAATTGGATCTCTAGAACTTGGAAAAAAGATCAGTATTTCCCAATTAGAGGCGAGACCAAACCTTCCAGCTCTATGCAACAATATTTACAGTGAGCCTCATGGGTTGGCAGTGGCCATCATAAGATTTTTTAACAGTTTTATTGTAGCATAACTATGCATGAACAAATAAAGTCTGTCATGGAAATGATGAATATATCCACCATCACAAAATCTTCCTCATGCTCCTCTATAATTCTTGCCTTCCACACTTCAAACAACCATCTTCCCCATTTCTAGGCAGCAACTAATCTACTTATTTTATCATAAATTAGTTGCACTTTCCAGACTTTTATATAAATGTAATAATATAATACATATGTTTTGCCTGACTTCTTTCAGCAGCATAATTATTTTGAGAGTCATCCATGTTATAGCCTGTATTAACAGCTTCTTTTGAGTTCCAAAGAATATTTTGCAGTATGACTATGCCACAGTCCTTTTTCCATTTATCTTTCAATGCATGTTATGGACTAAATACTTGTGTCCCTCCGCAAATTTATAGGTTGAAACCTTAACCCTCAGCATTGCTGTATTTAGAGATAGGAACTCTAAGGAAGAAATTAAGGCCATAAGGAAGAGGCCCTGATACAATAGGATTAGTGTCCCTAAAAGAGGACACCAGAGAGCACTCTCTTCCCTTGAGAGAGCAAAGGAAAGACCATTTGCATATTCATGGAGAAAGTGGATGTCTGCAAGCAAAGAAGAGAGCCCTTACCAGGAAATAAATTGTCTGGCACCTTGATCTTACACCTCCCAGCCTTCAGAAGTGTGAGAAAAAATTTCTGTTGTTTAAGCCACCCGGTCCTTGATATGTTGTTAAGGCAGCCCGAATGGACTAAACAAATGGACTTCTGCAATATTGACAGGTTCTACTATTAAAAATAAAGCTGTCACAAACATCCATATACCAATAATGTTGCTATCTTTAGAAAATAAAAATAAACAGTAAGGTCCTTAAGCAAGTACTTTATTAAATTTGAATTATTTCTAAATGCTTATACAAAACAATAATACCATGCTTATTCTAAAAATTATTCCTTGTTTATCTATAACAAATTATATTTGTCTAAATTACATAGTGATTTATTTAATTTTTCTTTCCCTAAAGATTTTGCTCTCCTTAAATGTTCTTTTTTTGGCTTAATTTGTATATAAAATGTTTTGCAGTTGTGGTGTATGTTCCATTTACATTGCCATTGGTTGCATCCATCTTTTTTGTTCTTTTGTTCATTGAACATTCACTAATGAGTAAACACAAACGTTAGCATTATAAGTTGGTATACTAACCTTTCTAGCATAAAATTAATAAATCTGACAATTGTTCTTCAAATTTGATTTGTTGACTCACGAAATATATTATTCATGGAATAACTTGTGTTTCTTTTCTCAGGATTATATTGCACCTGTTGATCAGTGACTTTTTTAAATGTCAAAAAAGGAACATGCTATTAATTTTTATTCCCTTCATCAACACTATGTGTGATAATTTCCTTTGTTTCCCTTCTGTTTTTATTCCCTTCATCAACACTATGTGTGATAATTTCCTTTGTTTCCCTTCTGTAACATCCAGCTAAAATAATCAACTTTTCAAGGGCTAAAATTTGTTTTTAAAATAGTTATGGCAAATGCTGTAATAATTTTTAAACTAAAGTTGAAATTTCTTTTCCTATATATAAATAACATTTTTCCTTTTAAAGAAAGTCCTAACATTTAAAGAGTTTTTTAAAATAAATTATTTATTTAGCACATTCAACAAGTTATTTTAAGTAATGCAGCACTTGAATTATCTAATTTGCTTTTCTATCAATTTGTATAATCTTATTTCTAAAGAGGTATTGAAAACTGTGCATAAGAAGTAATAGGTTTTAATTACTAGATTATTTTAAATGTCAACCCACTGGGTTCAGTGGCTTATAACTGTCATCCTAGCACTTCAAGAGGCTGAGGCTAAAGGATGGCTTGAGGCCAGGAGTTCAAGATCAGCCTGGGCAACACAGAGAGACCCTGTCTCAACAAAAAATATAAATAAAAAATTAGTGTGTGCCTGTAGTCCCAGCTACTTCGAGCAAGACCTCGTCTCCAAGAAACAAAAACAAAAACAAAACAGTTAATAAATATTTGGAAGACATTGGAATTAAAGCAAGATTTAATACTTCAAATAAACAGCTCTCTGAATTTGATAAAGAGGACCAACTTTTTTTAAAATACAACAGAATGCAAGACTACAAAATGCTAAAAAATGTACAAATACTCATAAATTGCTCAGTTCAAACAGCATAAATGAAGTAAAAATATTTCTTGACAATTATTTCAATGTCAATAGAAAGGACATCAGATGCTGTGTGAGTGGCGTTATGCAGAACATGGGCAGAATGTACAACACCTTCAAGAGAATTATTCATGCCTTGCTTCAATTTTGAATAAACATTGTACTTTCACACAAATACCCGTCAATATTTTTATTTATCTCAACCATTAACAGTGTAGTTTTTCTCATTAACCCTAAAGTTATTAGGAGAGTCTCTGCAAAAATTTGCTACCGTTACTGGCCTTATCTACAAGTGATTTATAACGTTTTTCTGCATTGAAATTATTTGTACCTATGATTATGCCATGAATACAGAGAATGATAGTTATTCATTATTAAAGTTCATTTTGTCCTGGTACATGAAAATATGCTTGCCTTTTTGTATTCAGAATATACTTCTGATAAAAATATGCTTAAATAATTATTTGAGCTAAAAGACTGAGGGTGGTACACAGTTTAGAAAGCCATGACATCTTTTGCCACAGATGGTTTATCTTCTTCATCTAGATTTCTCTTAATCAAAAATGTCGTTTAAATCACTTTTCTGGTCCTGGTTGAGAAAATCGTACTTCTCTTATGCTTATCTGTTAGTATATGCTGGTCTATGTATGACTTTCCATGGTTTCTGAGATTAGGTGAATATCTAATGAATGAATTAGATTAGATTAGGTGAATGAATATGTTTCACTAAGAGCTTCAAAAGAGCTTTTGTTTTTCCTTTTTTTTTTTTTTTATAAATATCCACTGTTCAGAAAACTCACCACAGAATTTATACTTGTGCTTTGGCACTTTGACATTGAAATGTACAGAAATAAAAATATAGATAGTAGCAAGCATTGCAAGAATTTTAAAAAATTGAGTGTGATGATCACATGAGTACATATGTTACTGATAATTCCTGAGCATAATCCAGGTTGACCCACTGAAAAGTTTACAAAATTACAAAAAAAAAAAAAGTAGTTTTGGAATTTAAGTGATTTAAGCACTGACTACTGTGGTGAAAAAAAAAAAACTTTGCTGAATTTATGTAACTTGTCAAAAAAACATAACCCTGAGATTTAGGATATCCTGGATATCTAGGGTATACTGAAAATGTCAATGCCTAAGACAAGCCAAAATCATTCAATACAAGACATGCTTGTATAAACAGGATCCCTGAAAATCTTATGTACAAGTCTTTTTATGAATATATGCATTCGATTCTATTGGGTAAAGCCTTACAGTGCAGAGGATAGATCATATTTAAGTATGATAGTATGTAAGTATTTGTATCTAATGTTTTTGAAACTGTCAGATTGGTTTCCAAATTGGTTTTTACCATTTTGCATTCCTGCCAGCACTGTATGAGATTTCCTGTTTCTCTATATCTTCCCAAAACTCAGTATAGTCAGTTTTTTAATTTTTAGCCATTCTAAATGTATTAGTCTTTCATTGTCATATTAATTTAAAATCTCCTAATAATTAATTGTTGGCATATGTTTATGTACTTAGCTTGTTTGCCATTCCTTATCGATCTACCTACCTACCTACTTACCTATCTACCTAGATCTATCCATCTATAGTCTCTGTCTGGTTAAGTGTCTGTGTCTGTACAAATAATTTCCCATTTTTTATTGTAATATTTGTTTTCTTAAAATTAGTATTTTATATTTTTTACATATTCTGGATAGAAGTTCTTTATCCAATATATGATTTGCAAATGTATTTTCCCGGTCGCTGTCTTGTTTTTTCATTCTCTTAACAATGTATTTTAAAGACCAGATTTTAATTTTTCTACTCTGTTTCATGCCTGGTAATCTTTTATTGATGGCAGATATTGTAAAATTTTTATTATTGTGCATTGAATATTTTTGCATTCCTGTAATATTCTTAAGCCTTACTGCGGAAAGCAAATTACTTAAAACAGTTTAAATCATTCCAATTTTTCTTTTAAGATTTGTTAGCTGAGATTAAAATGATAAATGTAAGAACAGTGTTTCTTAAAATTTTTTAAATTAGCTTTTTAAAAGTCTTTTTAGATTTTTCCCCCAATCACTTTTCTCCCATGAAATTTTAATGCCACAGATTTGGGTATATTCAATTTATAATTGTCGTTCTTTAAAGGTATATAAAATATTGTGATTACTGAGATTTTCTTGATTCCCAAAAACCAATTTTCACTCCCTGTTGAGAATACATAATATAAACCTGATTATTTTGCACTCCTGACATATACTCTCTATTATTCTACTCAAGGCATTATGTATTCTAAGGTTTTCTGTCTACCTGATGGGAACAGGCATTCTTCTTAGCCCTGTGTCAGTGCCAGCTGCTGCTACCTCTAGTCCTTTTCAGTTGTTCCATCTTTGGCTTTGGGTAATTACCTCTCACCCATGCACTGAACTGAGTATTTATGGTGAAGGCGTTCTCTCTCTATTTTACACTCCCCATCCGTATACTCTGCCCTGTGAACTCGAGCTGCTTTGTTTTCCTCTGACTTTTAGATTTATCTCCATAGGTAACCTGTTGCATTTAGTCTAGATTTTCCCTCCCTATTCCTCTTCCTGGAACTTCTATCAAGGCCATAAGCTGGCAGTCATCAGATTCACTTCATTTGTGTCTTCTTTCTCAGGGAACGGAGTCCTTCATTGCCTGATACCAGTGTCTTAAAACCATTGCTTCATATATTTTATATGTTTTTTGTTTGCTCTGGATGAGATCACGAATCTTGTCTCTTATACTACATCTTAAGTTGAAGCAGAAATTTCCCCCTATGTGGTTTTAAATGTTAATCCAAGACAAAAATTGTCAAAAAGACGAAGACTTGTGTAACTTAATAATTTGAATTAGAAGATGGGAGGGAAAGAGCATGGCTAAAGCTGTCATTAGTAAAGAAGAAGCAGTCACTCATTGGTAATTTTTGTTGGTTTCACAGTTTTCTTATTTTTCTCTATACTCTGATATGGTTTTATAATGAACTTGTTTCTATCCACTATATTTATAGAGTACCTCTGGTTCTATAATGATGTTCTGTGAAATAATTTATGTTCAACAGAAGAACATCACAGCTTAGGTATTTGTTATGTGTTAATGAGGTCATCTTCTATGAGCTTTTCCAGACTACTTTATAATCTTTCTAATTATCAAAGGTATCTACAATGTTTTAAATTATTTTTATTAAAAAATCTATATGCACATAATTTAAGGAGTCACACATAATTTAAGGAGTCAAAACATCTATAAGATTTAATGAAAATCAAAATCCTCTATCCCAATCCCTTCACTTCCTGAATTTCACACTACAAAAGACATAGTATCAAGGATATTAGCTATTTAATTTGGCATTAATGACTATATTTATTTGATTTATATTCCCTTGACCTTGCATCTCTACAGACATCCTCCTTTTTTTCTCCAAATGGAGATAGGTTATAACTTCATGTCATATCAACAGTGAATGTTATAGTGTTGGATTCTATGATTCGTCCTTTGTCCATCTTGTTGCTTTATAGGTTTGATCTTCATTTATCATCCAGGGCTCTTTTAAACTATCATTCGTATTCTAAATAATCTTTTTTATTTATCACATATTTCTGTATAATCTTGAATAAATTCATGACAGACAATTATGTTTGAGATCCTGTATATAAAAAATTTCATGCTCATATTTGATATAAAATTCTGTTTGAAATAATTTTCCAATGAATTTGGAAATTACATTTTAATTATATTCTATTACTATTTTTGATTTTAGATCCTTTACATCAGCTTATAATAATATTTCTGTATACCTTTTATTATGAACTTTTGTAATAATGTGCTTGATGTGGGTCATTTTAGCAGAAGAAAGGGTGGCATGGCACATGGAAAGTTCTTTCAATCTGAAAATGAATGTATTTCAGCACTGTGACAGTTTGTTGCATTATTTCTTTGATAGATTTAGTGTGTCTTTGCATATCATCTGTTATTTCAATGTCTACTTTTAGATTTTTGCATTCATAGATTGCTCTTTTATTATCTCTACTCTTATAGTTTTCATCTCTTATTATCATGTTTATATTTTAAGCTGTTTAAGGATTTTTAAAAAATCTTCCATGATATTTATATTTTCAGAAACATTTTTTGGTCTCTACCAGTTAATTATTTTTAAAAATCTTTTTTTTATTTCATATATTTGTTGATCATTTTTATGTCTTCTTTTGAGAAATGTCTCTTCAAGTCATTTGCTCATTTTAAAATCAGGTATGTGTTTTGTTTTTGCTGTTGAGATGTTTGTGTTTCTTGTATAGTCTGGATAGTAAAACACTGTCAGCTGGGTAGTTTGCAAATATTTTCTTAGAAAAAAACCCACACCCACACGAATTTTAACTTCACATGTGAATAAATATAACTAATATGGACCCTTAAAAATTTTAGCTATTTTTTAGATCAAAAATTGTTTATCATACATAACATCTTTGCTTGATTAGTGATTCTGCTTAATTATTTAAGAAGTATTTCATCTCAATTTATGAAAAATAAGTCTGTTCACCTTTATTTCTCAGAATTTATTATCAGATTCAAAAGTATCTTCAAGTTTTTACCATTCTTCAGACTGTAAAATATAAACAACAGACCTGTGAAGTTTTGCCTCTGTAAAGTTAGTTTCATTTTTTACAAGAAGTGTGATTTCTAGAGATATCTGTCCATATTTTAAAGTTGTTGTTATTGTTACTAAAAATAAATACAACATACCTCAATTATTAATTCAATGTATTGTAGTTCCATGGAAAACTAGTATAAGTTTTCTGAGAGGAGGAAACAAAGGAAACCATCCATTTGTATTTGTTTTTACGGCATATTTGATAACCACTATGACAGTTTTATTTGAATGTGTTTCTGTTTGTTTACTTAGCTGGGATACTTTGGTTTGGTTTGGTTTCGTTTGGTTGTTTATACAAAATAATTAAGTGTGTTTTGGTTATCAACATGAATCCTGGCAAAGGATAATGTCTAGCTGATCAATATTTCATGAGAAAATTACCTGTAAAATTGCTTAGTTTTTGCACGAATATTGATGTGATGAAATCAGATAGAATATATTTGCTGAAACATATTATCAGATTTTTTGCTTAAATTTTATTTTCACTTCATTGTGTCTTGAATTAAGTCATGAGATCATATTAATAATCAATAAAATCATCATCCTGGCTATGATTTGATCACACACTAAACTGAAATTTTATTGTAGTCTCATATAAATCTTATACGTCTTACCAAAATAGCTCTTGTAACACATGACCAATATTTAGATAGTCTAGTTTACAAAATAATATTTATTACCCATTTTCCTAAATTTCTATAGGAGTATAGATTGGGGTTACTTTTATATCACATATGAAGTCATGGGAGAAGACTAGATGATTTCTGTAGGATATATGAAACGTCAGAAGTTACAATATACTTTAAGGAATTTTTCTGAGTATAGTCTAGCTAAGTTTTTGAATGAAGCAGTGTTTACAAAACTCCATCTAACTTATTTATGTAAGTTTTTTTTTAACTTTGTTACCATCAATGGATTCTGTAGTATAATCAGATAGTAAAGTAAGCAACACTTAATTTGCACTGTTCCCTAGTGTACTAGATGATTTTTTTCAATTTCACAAATGGCCTATATTTTAAGACCATTATGAGCTAAAAAAATCTAGAAATATAATGTTCTAATTCAATAGATTTTAATTCCTCTTTTTCAAGCTATTAAACCAAGTACTTCCACAGATTTTTAATTATTCCTCACATCATTTGAAAGCCGTATTTATCTCTCTGACTTACATATATGTGCATATATACACATATGTCAGCATATGCTCATGATTTGACATATTTAAAACCACTTTTATGTTAATGTTCTATTTTCCAACAGGATTATGATATCCTTAGTGTTTATTCCTGTTTAAAAAATGCCTGATAGAGGTTTTTTTGTTATTTTCCCCCTCCCAATGGAAGCTTATGATGTTTGCCACATCCTTATACAGTATGGATTTAAACAGAGTTATGGTTCTAGAAATTTCTACTCATTAACTTGCTTTGAGAGATGCTGCCTGTAGTTGTCATTTGGGCTTCCAAACTAGACAATTTGAGTCTAGACATCACTTTTACAAAAAATACTTTTTGTAAATTAAACTGCAGGCTCTCAATTTTAGTTTTTTAAGTTACTAGCTCTGTGGCCTTGAGCAAGTTAACTAACCTCCCTCAGCTTCAATTTCTTCATTTGTAAAACTGGCATAATAAAATCGACTGCATGGGTATGATGTAAAAATAAAATTAAAATATGATTATACAGTGACTAGTAGATATTAAACATAAGTAGACAAATTGTTTTATCATTTTATTAAATTATTTATTGTTACAGATGAAGAAAATTTCATTTTCAAAACCATATTTGGAGATTTTTAATATTTAATTAATACTTATTTCAAGCAAAACATAAGATTAAAGGTAATTAAATATATTCTGGATTGGGGAGACCTTCCACTTAGTAATATGAGGTTTAAATATTATCATTTAGTTAATGATGAAAATAAGGTTGAATAATGCAAGGGGTAAATAATGCATTCTCAGATCATTCAAATAAGTATTATAATTAGGTATTGAATAAAAACATATTTTTAAATAATTGAGGTAATTTGTGGAAGGTCAAGTGTAAACAGGTAGTACATTTGTTTGGGTAAATATAATCAGCATAGACTCAAAGGAATTACTCTTCAAATTTAAAAGCTATCGTAAAAAATATAATATTAAATTAGAAATTTAGCATTCTTGTGATTGCTCTCCTAGTTCAAACCTCAACTTGCTCTTAATAGGATATGCAAGGGTACTTTTTAAAAATGAATTTTACTTCTTAGGCAAATCAATCAGTCAGTCTCTGATGATAATTTTCTAAATGCTTGGTGTCTTCATCTTCCTGAGCATTTCCAGTTTGAAGTGCAATTGTGCCTTATAACACTGAAGAAATAAATGAAAGGCTTTATAGTCTTTAGAAATCAGAATGTGAATTTGCCTCAAGCTTATCTATTTACTTATGTTCTGAGAAATTCAACATATTAACAGATGGATATTATCTAGCCAGCAATTTGTGGTGCTCTAACATGCAATATATATAACAAATTGCCAGCTAGGCTTTTATATGTTTATGAGTTTTAATTGCTGTGTACTTCAAATATTTCTTACATTGTGCCATCTGGCACATAGAAACTTTAATGAATTTTTAAACTTAATAGGATATGCTCTGCATTGGGCACGCCTCAAAATTTGTTGCTAACCACTGGTAAATGACAGATTTATCATCACAAACCTCACAAAATTACAATGTATTACTTTGTGTTATTAAGGCACTAATACATGGTTAAGTGGCAGTAAAAGTTGCCCTAACAATTGTCTGAATGGAAATAATTGATCAATACAGTAGTTATCCATGCTGTTTAAAGTAATAGCATCTGTAATATCATAACTTTTTTTTCTTTCAATGTGGTTTTATAGAATTATTTTTGATATTATGTAGAGCATTTACATGAATTTTAAACAAATTTTGTAGGTGTTGGAAAAAAAAGTCTGATAATGTTTTCAAATGTTATTTTATTAAAAGGTTTCTGTCCCTATAATCAAAGAAAATTTCTTTTTATTAGACTTCCATTTCTATTGTAACTGTTTTTTTAAGTACATTACATCTGATATTAACACAAAATGACCAGCTAATAGAACATGTATTTAAAAGTAGTATAATCCACAATGCTCTTCTCCCTTAATAATCTCAGTCTATGTTTTGAGGATTTTTCCTTCTATGAATGCAGTAAAGAATAGATTTCTTCAGTTATGTCAAAAGTTAAAATGCAAAGAATCAATAAAGAATGGAAGCAGTAAAGAAAAATCCATTCAATTGTATAAAAACCAGGAGAAAATAGTTGAACAATCTGTTGGGCAAACTGGGGAAAATTTCTTTTAAAAAGAACATATACATAAAAGTGACAGAACATATTATCATAGATAGGTTTTAAAATCATAAATGAGTGCTTATCAAGTATAAAAACACCACGATAAAATTAACTCTAAACACCTAGTTCGGAATTTGTTAAATCATCATCGGGATTATCATAATGATCATCTTTCTATTGCCTACGAAAATAGCTCATGTGAAAAATTACTAAAATGTCTATGATTATACAAACATAATGTACAACATTTTGTTGGTTAGGCAGGTTTATGAGATATAATATTTTAGCTTTCAGCTGTGTCATGTAAATCTATATATTAGAAGCATAGATATTTACTGCTTAAACTATTGCTTTGCTTTGTTAATTTTAAAACTTGGAGGATCTCAAATAGCTTAAGTAATTACTTTAAATATTTTATGAGAATCAAACAGATTAAAAAATAACTTACAAATCACTTTTCTATGAATTATTACTTCTCCCCCCAACAACATCCCACCTGGTATTAGAAATGGTTTTGGAAGCCAAGGGGATCACTCCTTACAGAAGGTGGTGGGAGAGAAACAGCCATGGCAGATGCTAACATTCATGCCATGTTTGTTGTTCTTAGAACTACCTGCAAATGCAACACATCTCCCAGCCAGGATAAAGAGTTTTGTGAGAGAGGGGAAAACTGTCTCATCAGAGAGAATTTAAGAAAGATCGGATGCACAGAAAAAAAAAAAAATACCTTTGGAATTAAGGGGGGTCACAGCACATGGAAGTGTGGAAAAATGGAGGCAAAGAAACAAAAGCACTTATTCTGCCACTCCTAAAGCCACATTTTATTTGAAAGAATGGTGCTGTACTGGTGTCTTGCTAACGCATTTATTGCCTCCTCTCAGCTCCTTATGGGCTATCTACAATTGTGTGCTTTCCGCTTTTTTTAACCTCAGCTGCTTCAAGTTACTTCTAAGATTGCCGGCAGCAGAGAAATTATACAGGTTACTTTCTCTCCCTCTTCTCCCAATGTGCTTATTATTTACTCAGTACAAAATACTTACATACTTAATTGTTTTCTAATTGTTTCATGTGATGTTAGACTGATTTTTCTCAATAAGATCTTAGGACCCATGAGGAAAGGAATCCTGTTACTTTTTATTGTTTACTACATTTGGCGCAAAGTACACTCTCAGCAAATATTGGGATATTGATAACACTTCCATTGACAACCCATGTTTCTTCTGATTTTTTGCATTTTTTTCTAAACATTTTGTATTTTCTAGTTAGAGAGCTATTTTAAGATGAGAAAAGATGATTTACCTTACCTTAAACTGAAAAGTGTACCAATCTATTAACATATACAGAAATTGTAGCTAAAGATTAAATTGAAAAAAACAACAACAAATTAATTTTCTTACTAATGTAACCGCCATGTGTGAAAGATAGAATTTTAAAGATAGAATTAGGGAAAATAATTCTTTTTGTTTTGCGACAGAGTCTCACTTTGTTACCCAGGTTTAATTGCAGTGGCACGATCTTGGCTCACTGCAACCTCTGCCTCCCGGGTTCAAGCAGTTCTCCTGCCTCAGCCTCCCGAGTAGCTGGGATTACAGGCTAATTTTTGTATTTTTAGTAGAGACGGGGTTTCGCCATGTTGGCCAGGCTAGTTTTGAACTCATGACCTCAGCTGATCCATCTACCTTGGCCTCCCAAAGTGCTAGGATTGCAGGCGTGAGCCACCGCCCAGGCCCGGGAAAAGATTTCTTAACAAAACAGCAAATCTCAGTTTAGCCCTTGCCATTTTCACCTGTAGGGTTGTGGCCAAGTGGAAAGGGATGAGGGAAAGCCCTCCCCAGGAAGTCTCTCTACTACCTGGTATGTGTGGCTGGATGTGATCTTGCTGTGGTGTCTCCCACTGGTGTTTAGGAAATTCATCTCCATCCTTTTTGTATTGTATTGCATTTCTCTGCCACACATCTGTATGACTGAACTTCCAAGATGCCTGCAGTGATTTGTGACATAGAATCTTCCCTGCTCTTATCTCGTAGTCCGTTATCTCTAGAAAGCTGGCACAGGGGAGACAGGGTCAAAGGATAATCTGAGTGGTTACCTATCCGTCCTTTTGCTCTAATCATTATTTCAGTGATAATTTTAAATTTCTTGAGTCCCTCACCTCTTTTTCTTTAGATGACTTTATTCTCTAGGTATTTCACAAACTGAGAGTTGAAAGGGCTCATGGATCATAGTCCATTTAGGGTGAAGCCAAAGACCCAAATACTTTTTATCCTTTCTCATTGTCCCCTTAAATCACCTTGCAAAGTTACCATTGGTGGATTGCTTTGTTAATCCTCCAAATATGATCAGACAAGTTTGAAAATGCGATACTGGCTTTGAAACCCATATGTAATAATAATAAAGATACATGCCTTCCTAAACTGCCTTTTGTATGACTGAATTCTCTCTTCCCTAAGTGCCTATTTAGATTCATTTGAGTTATTGTGTGATGAAACTGCCTGCTGGTGGGGAGTAAATTCTGTTAAGAGTTGTTGCTAAGGATGTGGAGATATCACTGTAGTAAGTGTGGGAATCTCAGTTTCTTTACAGTTCCATAATGCATATTTTAAAATTCCCCATTGCCCAAAGTTACTACAACTGTCATTCAAATATATATGTGTGTGCTTGTATGTCTGTATATATGTTGTTTTAATGAAACTTCTAACTGATTCAATCAGATGAACAAGACTGTTAAAACAGCACAAAGTCTATTTTCTTAGCTTTACCATCTTGACTACTGCCACATTTATCTCAGCAGAAGACTGCTGGTTCAGGTCGAAGGACTGAATAGAGCTTACCAAAATACTTGTATTTTCTTCCTTCTTTTTAGATTAAAGGCTTATTACTGAAGAAATATAGAGGCATTTTAGAAATCAATCCACCTGGGCATTTTGGATTTTGTAAGGGTCAACTTATCAGAATTTGTGTTAATGGAGCTTAAAAGAAGCCTTACAAGAGATAAATGTAGGTGGTAATTCTAGAACTTTGCAGCCAAGCATACCCAGTCTCTAACCTCCTCCCCAGTCCGCTTCCACCACTGGGAGAATGCTTTTGTCTGTAGGGCTCAGACACAGAAAGTGCTTTCATTAAAAATAATTAGAAATTGTAACATATGTTGAGCACTCTGTAATGTATAACATAGTGTATTAGTTCTCGCATTGCTATAAAGAATTACCTGAGACTGGGTAATTTATAAAGAAAAAAGGTTTAATTGGCTAACTGTTATGTGGGCTGTACAGGAGGCATGGCTGTGGAGGCCTCAGGAAACTTACAATCACAGTGGAAGGCGAAGGGGAAGCCAGCACATCCTACATGGCTGGAGCAGGAGGAAGAGAGAGCAAAGGGGAAGTGCTACACACTTTTAAACAACCACATCTTGTGAGAACGCTATCATGAGACAGGACTAGGTGGATGGTGCTAAACCATTAGAAACCATCCCTATGATCAAATCACCTTCCACCAGGCCTCTCCTCCAACACTGGGGATCACAATTTGACATGAGATTTGGGTAAAGACACAGAGCCAAACCATATTAGAGAGCTCGTTTTTTATTTTGACTTTGGCACATCTCAGAAGAACACATTTTATATAAAATGTGGTGTTCCCTGGAAAATTCTTTTTTTAAGGAAAGAATGCAGTAATAAAGTATACAATAACCCTATAGATTTCTTTGGCATTAGCTTAAATTTGCATTGTATTTTATGTGGTAATAACTAATATACATTTTATTTTATAATTCTGAAGACAATAGTCAATAAGCTCACAGTACATATGGTACATGAGTAAAATGGAATATTATTCAGTGTTAAAAAGAAATGAGCCATCCAGAAATGAAGTGACATGGAGACACATTTCATGTATATTACTAAGTGAAAGAAGCCAACTAAAGAGGCTCATATGATTCCAATTATATGACATTCTGGAAAAGGCAAACTATGGTGGTAGTGAAAAGATTAGTGATTGCCAGGAGTTAGGAGAGAGGGGGATGAATCAGTGGAGTACAGAGGATTTTTAGGGAAATGAAACTATTCTCTAGAATACTGTAATGGTGAATACACACCGTTATATCTTTGTCAAAACCCATAGAGAATATACAACACCAAGAGTGAACTCCAGTGTAAATTACGGACTTTGGGTGAGAAAGATGTGTCAGTGCTGGTTCATCATTTGTAATAAATGTACCACTCTGATGTGCAACGCTGGTAGTGGCTAAGGCTGTGCTTGTGTGAGCTCAGGGATTATAGGGGAACTTCCTGTAGTTTCCTCTTGATTCTGCTGAGAATCTAAAACTGCTCTAAAAAATAACATCTCTTTAAATACAGTAAAATATTTTCTGATTATTTGTGGCATACTAATAGTCTAAAATAACTGATAAGCATAGTATTTATTCCATTTTCCATACATATTTTTAAATCATTGATATCATGATGTGTATATACAGAATTTATACAATTTTATGTATAATTTGGAAGTCTGTTTTTGCTCTCTTGCCTAAGCAAGCACACATTATTAAGAATTGTAATTATTCTAATTATGTAATCTCTATAAGTAAACTTTCTAATACATAAAGATTCAGAAATATCAATATACTAGTAATTTATATAATTCTATCATTGGATATGAGATAATTCTATTATTGGTTGTTATAATAATGCTGAATTAGTATTTTCTATAAGTCCAATTGTTTCACTAGGATACATTACTATAAGTGAAATGAAAAACTGAAAGGCTTTTAACATTGCAAGGATTTCATTGAATACTGTGAAATACTTTCCAAAACATTTAAATAAAATGTTACTATTAGTAGGAACATATGTGAACACTTTTCACATTTTATCTTCTTTACTGAACCTTATTACTTTCAATTACTGATGGGTAATCTTCAACCATTCTCGTATTTTTTAAAGATATACCTCTATCTCCTCTTTTTAATCCAGAAAAATAAGGATTTAATTAAATAAAGAGGGTTAAAAGTTTCTTCACGGGCTTTTTTCACCATGCATCTTTAGTGTGATTTCATTAACAGGTTTTCACATAATTCCTACTAACATAATTAACCCAATGTGTATCATTGTTTTCAGAGCACAATGTGTAAATAGTCAGTCTTCCTTTGTTTTTTAAATTTTATGAGAATTTTCACAATAGATTGTTTGAATAATTATTGATCCCCTTTTTAAGTTTCAGTCTCTCAGATCATATCCTCAGTAAGCTAGGGATAACGTTGTCTCATGGGATCTTTAGTGACAAATTACTATTCATGACAAAAAAAATGCTCCTGAAGACTTTCAAAAACTTCTAGTGATGAGAAGCTTCTCCCTCTAAGAAAATCACACTGCATATTTATAACAAGCTATTGGAAACATCAATCATCTGAGCTTTGAAATCTTGACAAACTCTTAATTCTCCTGGAAAGTTTGTCAAAGGGCATCATGAGATGCTGTAGGCTCATGAATATTTATTCACACTTTCGTAAATTTGACACCATCCTCAGGCATCTTGCCCTTAACCTTCTGGATGTGATGTACTATGTGAACTAAATTATGATATGAATGACCAGGACAACTGATATCAGGTGATGTGATTGTTGTGACATTTCCGTGAGTTCAATATACTATACTTCATTGGATTACTCTTTCAAGATAATTCTTGCTTTGGAAAAATATGCACTTTACATGCTACTGTAGTTTAACTTTCTAAAGCCATGTTTGGGCTTAGTTTTCCTGTAATCTTCTTCAGTCATTTTGAAGAATGTTTATTGGAGTAGATAAGTTATATGTGCTTATGTACAATGGGCATTTGTATTAGGAGTTGCTACTTTAATATGTGGTTCATTTAATATAATCCGTATTCGTGAAACACTGACTTTATACCAGCCTCTGTTCTAGGTGTCAGAATTAGCAGTGTGCAAGCTTGACTCTGGCTAAACTCTTACGAAGGTTCTTGTTCTGGGAACAGAATTTGATGAAGTATGATGTCTATTAAAAGAAGGAAGTACAGAGTGGGATGAAGTTTGGTGGGTAGAACATTTTTTTTTGAAAAATTAGTATTAGCCTAACTTTGGAAGGAAGCATAGGAGTTAGCCAAAAGATTTGTAGAGGAAAGAGGAAACAATATAATGCATATAATTAAGCAAGAAAACATTATATTTTAAAGGAACAAGAAAAAACAAGACTATAGTTGAAGCATGGACAGTGAATGGTAAATCTGAAAATGTAGATTGAACCTCTGTTGTAGAGAACATATAAGCTTCTGAAACATTCTGAACTTTACCTCAAAAACCGTGATTGAGGAGTTTTAAGCAGCAAAGTTGAGTAACAATATGTGTGTTTTTAAATATACAGGCATGCATTGCTTAACAATGGTGATACATTCTGAGAAATGTGTCATTAGGCCATTACTTTCTCTCTTTATTTTCTCTCTTTTTAAAAAATTTTACTTTAAGTTCTGGGATACATGTGCAGAATGTGTAGGTTTGTTACGTAGGTATGTGCCATGACAGTTTGCTGCACCTATCAACTCATCATCTAGGTTTTAAGGCCCTGATGCATTAGGTATTTGTCCTAGTGCTCTCCCTCCCCTTGCCCCCCAAACTTTGGCAGGCCCCAGTATGGGATGTTCCTCTCCCTGTGTCCATGCTTTCTCATTGTTCAACTCCCACTTATGAGTGAGAACATGCAGTATTTTATTTTCTGTTCCTGTGTTAGTTAGCTGAGAATGATGGCTTCCAGCTTCATCCATGTCCCTGCAAAAGACATGAACTCTTTCTTTTTTTCTGGCTGCATAGCATTCCATGGTGTATATGTGCCACATTTTATTTATCCAGTCTATCATTGATGGGAATTTGGGTTGGTTCCAAATCTTTGCTATTGTAAATGATAATGCAGTAAACATACATGTGCATGTGTCTTTACAATAGAATGATTTATAATCTTTGGGTATATACCCAGCAATAGCATTGCTGGGTCAAATGGTATTTCTGGTTCTAGATCCTTGAGGAATTGCCACACTTTATTCCGCAATGGTTGAACTAATTTACACTCCCACCAACAGTGTAAAAACATTCCTATTTCTCCAAAACCTCACCAGCATCTGTTGTTTCCTGACTTTTTAATAATCACCATTCTAACTGGAGTGAGGTGATATCTCATTGTAGTTTTGATTTGCATTTCTCTAATGACCAGTGATGATGAGCTTTTTTCATGCGTCTTTTCGCCACATAAATGTCTTCTTTTGAGAAGTTTCTGATCATATCCTTTGCCCACGTTTTGATGGGGTTGTTTGTTTTTTTCTTGTAAATTTGTTTAAGTTCCTTGTAGATTCTGGATACTAGTTATTTGTCAGATGGGTATATTGTAAAAATGTTCTCTTATCGTGTAGGTTGCCTGTTCACTCTGATGATAGTTTCTTTTGCTGTGAAGAAGCTATTTAGTTCAGTTATTTCATCACATGAACATCATAGAGTAAACTTACACAAATCTAGATGGTATAGCCTGCTATACACCAAGGCCACATGGTATAGCCTATTGCTCCTAGGCTAAAAATCTCTATAGCATGTGACGATACTGATTACTGTAGGCAATTGGAACACAGTGGCAAGTATTTGTACATCTAAGTCTGTCTACACATAGAAAAAGTACAGGAAAAATAAGGTATAAAAGATAAAATATGGTAAACCCGTTTAGTGCACTTACCACAAATGGAGCTTGCAGGATTAGCAGCTGCTCTGGGTGAGTCAGTGAGTTCATGGTGAGTGAATGAGAAGCTCTAGGACATCACAGAGCATAACTGTAGACTTTGTAAACACTGTACACATAGGCTACACTAAATTTGTTTTTAAAATCTTCTTTCTTCAATAAAAAATTAACCATAACTTACTATAACATTTTAATTTTAAAATTTTTTTGACTTTTTGACTTTTTTGCAATAATTAGCTTAAAACAGAAACACATAGTATGGCTGTACAAAAATAGTTTATATCTTTATTCTATAAGCTTTTTCTATTTTGAAAATTTATTATTATTATTTTACTTTTTAAACTTCCTTGTTAAAAACTAAGACACACACACACATTAGCTTAGGCCTATATGGGGTCAGGATTACTAATATTACTGTCTTCCATCTCTACATTTTATCTCACTAGAAGGTCTTTAGGGGCAAGAAGACACATGAAAGATCTTCTATCATAACAATGTCTTCTTCTGAAATACCTCCCTGAGGCTGTTTTACAGTTAACTTTTTCTAAATAAAACATAAGTAGAAGAAGTTCCCTCTGAAATAGTCATAAAAAGTATAGTGTAGCAAATACATAAATCATTAACATAGTAATTTATGAACATTATCAAGTATTATGTAGTATACATAATTGTATGTGCTATACTTCTATACAACTGGTAGTACAGTAGGTTTGTTTACACAAGCATCAACATAAACACCTGAGGAAGGTATTGCCCTATGACATTATCATGGCTACAACATCACTAGGCCATAGATATTTTTCAGCTTCATTATAATCTTATGGGACCACTCTCAACTATGAATTCTATCATTGATCAAAGCATTGGTATATGTCACATGACTCTATATCATTGTGTGCAGCAAAGAAGGGGAAGTGGAGGGAAGAGGAAGGGGTGAGTATACGCAGACCTGGTAGAGGTAAGGGTGGCAAGCCAGAGTCACTGTCATAGTGGATTTATTGGCCTAGTAAGTAAACAATGGCAAAATGAATAGCAAACTATTTTTGTAGGAAATACAAACTTTTTTTTGAGAGATATTAGGATAGAAAATCAACAGTACTTAGTAATGAATTATACTTGGAGCTGAAGAAAATGTATTTTAATTTGAGTTAGCAGATATGAGGGCAAATGCTAAGATTAGGATTTGAATTTTGGCATGTTGAAGTGCCTGTGAAATGCTGAAGTGAAGACAGGATATAGGCAATTGAACAGATATGTCTGAAGTGCAGAAGATGGTGCTAGGTTGGAAATTAAGATTTGGGAGTCATTACAGTATGTATGATAAAACCATAGGAATAGATGAGAATGCCTGTAGAAAAGGTTTCCAAGTGGAAACCAAGAAAAAAATATTGTAAAACAAAAGTCTAAATTCAAATGTCTGGAAAGGACTGCTGACCTCAATGTTTCCCTCAGCCTGACTAGATTTGAGACAGGTGTCTTCCTGTCTCTAGTCCCTGAACCATCCTTTTCCTAGAGCATTTACTTTACAAAACTTTGTAAATTGTTTCACTAGGACTTTGAGATGTAAATCTTAAATTCATCTTGCAAGTTTTACAGTCCAGAATTGTCTTTAGCAAGGACCTTGGAGCCATGCTTTTGAAATGTAACCAAGGAAGACAGTGTCTCCATCTGTAAGTTTCTGTGTGAGGGTAGAAACCTAACTTTGGAGGGCACTTTGCTCCAAATTATAAAATACCTCCCATTATGAAGATATATGAAAGTTTACTTTTCCTTTGGGTTAAGCCACTTAGCAAACACAGATGGCCTGTGAGTTCCTCTTCACTGCAGCTCTTCAAAACCCTGGTGCTATTTCTTTCACAGGAGCTGCATTAAAAATGAGATCACATGGACACAGGAAGGGGAATATCACACTCTGGGGACTGTTGTGGGGTGGTGGGAGGGGGGAGGGATAGCATCGGGAGATATACCTAATGCTAGATGACGAGTTAGTGGGTGCAGCACACCAGCATGGCACATGTATACATATGTAACTAACCTGCACAATGTGCACATGTACCCTAAAACTTAAAAGTATAATAAAAAAAAAAAAACTGAGTTCTGGCCTGTCTCCCACATTGCAATAGCCTTGAATAAGTCTTCCTTGCTTCTTTAACTTTGTCCAGTACAATCTTTTCTTTGAGAAAAGAAAGCCACAAAAACAGTCTGAGAATGATCAATATTATACACAGGAAGAAAACGAGGGTATCTTGGAAGCCAGGGAAAGACAATGATTCAAGAAGGAAAGAATGTCCATCAGTGTCAAAAACTGCTTAAATGTCGGACAGGATAAGAACTTTAAAAACTGTATTAAATTAAGTATCATCTAAGCCATACATGAACAGATTGAAATTAAAGTATGCAGGGTATGTAAACAGAAACCAGTTTGGAGTGGGTTGAAGAATAAGTGGAAATTAAAAAGATAGAGACTCTTTCATTAGTCTCTTAATCTAACATCTTTATTGAGTCATTATTAATTTTTACAGTCAAGAGAAACCATTGAAGAGGTATCATACCATTTCTAGAGCTTACCACCTTTCAAATCCTGATAACAGATTCCACAACTATATTGTTGACTTCATTTGTGAAATTGAAGAATGTATAATGTTGTTACTGAGAAATGTTATTTTAATAGCTTTACAGGTTCATAAAATATATTAGGTCTTTATGAACCTGAAGGGTATGAGAAATTCTATTAGCACAAATATTTGAGTTAAAGCCAATCACAAGCATATCATGATTCTGTTCAGGTCACTTATGTTGTTTCCTTAAAGAGGAATTGAAAACTTCTCAGTACAACATAATTGGAAACTAGTTTACTGACATAACTTGCATCCATATGTCCTCACTCAGCCATTTCATGCCATGGTTATGTTCAAACCTCAGATAGAAATTGCATTTCACTGCCTATTAGTGGTATTTCAGAATGGATTTCTATTATTTAATTTTGACCAGAATTATTTTTAAGCAGGGATTATCCATTCTTATTAGGACAGAATGCTCTGCAGGAAGTTGTAAATACTCAATGGGTGATTAGGAATTAACACGGTCATTTCTGGAACTGTGAAAAATCTCTGCTGATATAGCATAAATCAGTACATTGTACAATTATGGGAATCCACCAGGAAAAGAGCTCACTTCTATGCACGTGGTCATCATAATCCTGGTGCATTCTCTTCTAGTAGAAGCACAGTGACGTTTTATTCTCTTGGACATGTTATTTCATCTAAAGGATAATCATTCTATGTGTTTGCAAAGATTAAGTTTTTGATAGTGAGAAGGTATAAACGAGACTGAAAAAGAAACTGTAGGGCATTCCAATGTAGTAAGAAAAATGTCTATTTTAATGTTGAGCTCAGCATCTATGCAGGTAGACCCAATGCACAGTGGTCTCCCTGGGACAATTTATAAATGCAATATGCAATGATTGCTCTGATTCCAGGACAAATGAAAGTGAACTTTTCTTTTTCCAATGCAAAGCCCAAGGGAAGTACTGGCAATGCAACTTGGTTATCAAACTGTATGATTTGCTGCACACACTGACCTGACCATGATCAGCTAGCGAAGTAATGACTAGAAGTCTCCAGAAGAAGTTCATTCAACTGCTCTTTTACATACAACTCCAAATTCTTCCCTCATTGGATCCATTCTTTGCCTGTAGCACAACACAAAGCAAATTTCTCCCTAGTTCTTCCTACAAGGTTGAGCTAAATAGCTCCTAATTGCTGTTTATTCATTTGCATGAGATCTTCCTCATGATAATGCTAAGAGCATGAAGGTCCTATTACCAGGACCACAGCGAATGGAGTTCCCAATTTCAGTCTTGTTAGAGACCTTGAACCTGTCTAATCAGATATCTGCTGCTTTTTCTCTTCTTTTTGCAGTGACCAACAAGAGTCCAAAAAAGCATTTCACAATTTGGCTTATTTTTATTCTTGTTTCCCTATATCATTAGCATTTGGTTGACCTGTACAATTTTTCTTGTATTTACTACCTCAACAAAAAGAATAATTGCTTCCTTCTATCCACATGGTCATCGTAACATCAGAACCCCAATGTCTTCAGGGCTCAGGCTCCTCTAAAACATTCACAGTGAAGTTTGCTTTTGTTAAACTTACTGCATAATTGCATTCATTTTAAAAAGTAAATGTTCCATTTCTCTTATGCTATTGAATAGAATTCTTTTCCAATCAAGACTGCCCACCAAATATTTGGCATGCCTCTTTCTTAATGTTTATATCTCCTTAAAGTAACTATATTTATTATTTTGTTGATTAGTGCTTTCTTTTTTCTTCTTTTATTTTATTTACCTTTTATGACGATTAACACTAACAAGGGATAATGATTCCTCATATGTTGGAACTCACCTCAGCACCCACCTCAGACCTTCACAGTCACTTCTGAGCCTTGGGCATTTTTCTTGCTTCTGAACTTTAATGGACCTGTGTTTCTCATAGTCATAAAGTCATAAGAACCGTCTCTTTTGCCTCAACAATTAGCACATGGACTGTCTTATTCTTCCCAGTTATTCAGCAAGTACTCAGTCATGTGTCCAAGGCAAGGTCTCAGCAATTTCAGCAGTATCTAATGGGACTGGAGTTCTCTGGAAGTTCTGGCTTCCCAGGCAATTGGTCGGGAGTCATGGGGAATGGGTGATACAATCCAAACATACTTGCAGTTGATACCTTGCGGGATTCAATTTGGCCACCCTGACCTTCCCTCCCATGATAACCTGAGGTATCGTGATTCCACATAGCCTCTACAGAAACCTCTATATGCCAGATTACTTGTCAACCATCTAAATTTTCTTGAGAAGCTATTATCAGCAAAGTATTGGAACACATTGTGTTCCTTAATTCACTCCTGTGGGACTGTACCTCTCAGTATTAGCCAGAAAGCTTGATATGGGCACAGTTTTCTAAGTTCTACCACCACTTTTATTATAATTCTCCTTATTAAGCGACTGTTACACAAACTTTTCACAGTCTCAATTTTTCTTCTAAAGGACGGCAACCTCTTCACTAGGCCTTACTGCTGCATCCAGGAGCACAGTAGTCTCCCTTTATCTTTGAGAGACAAGTTCCAAGACCAGCGAATGCCTGAAATTGTCGATTGTGCCAAAACTTATATAAATTATGCATTTTTTTCCATTTTCACAATTTTATGGATCGAAGATTCATTTTACCATAGATCTTAGCACCTTTGGGTAAAACTTTTATTCTTTCTCATTAGGTCAAGAATGTTCACCTTTTCACTTAAAGGAAGTACCTTAAGGCTCCACTTTGGCATATCTGAGTTGCCAGCACTCTTGCATTTTGGGGTTATTATTAAGTAAAATAAGGCTGACTTGAACACAAGCACTGTGTTACTGGGACAATGGATTTGATAACTGAGATGGCTCCTAAGTGAGTATAGGCGATAAGTGTTGATGGCATAAGAATGCTGGACAAAGGGATGATTCACATCCAGAGAGAGGGAGTGATACAACTAAAGAATTCATCACACTACTCAAAAAGGAACACAATTTGAAACTTAAGAATTGTTTATTTCTGGGATTTCCCATTTAATATTTTCAGAGCATGGTGGAACTCAGTGGTCCAGGCATTCACTGGGGTCTTGGCACTTGTCCCCCATAGACAAAGAGAGACTACTGTGCTCCTAGATCCAGCAGTAGGGCCTAGTGAAGGGGAAGCCATCCCATAGAAGAGAAATTGAGACTGTGAAAGGTTTGTGTAACAGTAGCTTAATAAGCAGAAACCAAGAAAGCAAAACCATGGATAAGGAGGACTACCGTAATAGCTTCTCAATAGCTCCAATAATTTTGATAAATGATTTCTTTGTCTTTTTATTCTAGTGACACATTTCCAAACCCTGTCATGTTTACCAAACCCTATAATTTCCAAAATTACTACCCATAATTTTTCACTGCTCTTGCAATAAACACCAAAATATCACATGATTTCCCCTTATGCCACAATCACAGTATTTCTTCCACAGTGTGCCACTCTACTTTGCCTTGTAGACCAAAGTCCTTCCACGGTGCATTTTACATGGTCCACAATTTCAAGTGAAACCAAAACAGATCTTGAGGGATCTTCTCTACTTCCCAATACAACTTTTAGGAAAAAAGATTCCCTCCAAATTAACCTGAAGCATAATCACACTCCTGATAATTGCACTCAGAACCAGATTGTACATTGTACACCCTCACCTCAGGCCCAGTCCTTTTACTTTGGAATTGGGGCCCATATTTACTGGCAGAAGTTCAAGTGGCAGACCCATCTGCTGTTCAAATTTGACACAGGTGGAGCATCCAAAATTTGGCAGACTGAGTAACCAAACAGCAAATTCCAATGTAGTTTGCTGCTAAGAAAACAGAGAAATGCCAGAAAAACAAATCACCCTTCTTTAACATTTTAAGCAAGTCTTTTTTCTTACTTTATCTCCTTCTTAAAAAATAAGAGCCCATGTATATATTTTAAATCACTTACATTTAAAACAATTTAGTTTAGGATTCATATCAGGAAATGCACATATGTATTTTAATTGTCTTTTATTACTCTTATAACTTAGAATCCTTGTTGGCATTATTATATTTTTCTGACTTTCAAAAGACTCTACCTGTTCCCAATGACTATAAATGTGGCTTCCCTTTTTGAGGTACAAAAAGCCCATATTTGTCCACTAACAAGGTTCTCTTTAGGCTGGAAAATTTGTTCTCTTTAGGCTGGACAATTTGTTCTCTTTAATAATCTCAATTAATATCTGAATGCATTCTTACTTTTTCCCAAAAACATATTTCAGGTTCAATAGGTTTATTATTTTATTTGCCAGCTTCAGAATGTAGAAAATTAGATACATTTTGAGTGCCAAACATATCCTCTGATATGTAGAAGAAAGAAGAAAAATAAGAGAAAGGATTTAGTCCTTTTTGATGATAAAATGAGTTTTTCTTTATTTAATGTATCATAGACTAAAATTGGTAATTAAATTTACATATTTCTTTCTAAATTTCATATTTTACCTTACTTGAATATATAGTTTCCCATTTTCTTTTTTATTTTGACCCTTTTGACCCGTCAATCCCGAATTTGGTACTAATTATGCAGTTCCAGGAAGTACCTATCACTGAGTATCACTAAAGCAACAGCCATCTGAAAAGCAAAATAATCTTCAAATAATGGAACATTGTATCAAAAACAAAGTCCCAATACTTTCATAAGATACAATGATTGAAAATAAAATAAAGGCAAATACTGTTTTTCAAAGTGTGGTTTACTATCTTCTCTGATCCTCTTTCATTGGCCTGCACTATTTTTTTTTTTTTACTTTGCATTACTTTAGTGACCCAATTTATTTTTCCTTTATAAATTATTTACACACTTTTAAGTCCTTAACTGCAAAATCACAGAGACTCCTGCATACTCTTGTTATTGTGGTATTGCTCTACTTTAATTTCCAAACTAATAGATTCAAATAACATCCATCATAACTAGTACCTTGAATTACCAAAGTCATATATGGAAAAACAAATATGAAAGTTACAACTCAGAAAATAATATATATTAGCTTTGGTAAATATGTGCAATCTCCCAATGTTGTTAATACTAAAGCTTCCTTAATTTTTAGATATATAGATGATAGATACTATGTAGGTGATTGATGATGATGATGAAGATAGATAGAAAGATAGATATCAGAAACAAAACAACAAAATTGGATTTACTGTATTTACAACACCTCCAATATTACCTGCTGTTCAGAATTGGAGACAGTCACAGTTCATAGAGAAGCAGCTTTTCTTTCTCTTGTTCCCAGCAGAAAATGTACAGTAAAGTGACCCTATTTTTTTTCTGAACAAGCAGCTATCTCTCATATTTCACTTCTTCCATGGTACAACCACAACAGATAATATATTAGGTTTTATCTTTTTAGTGTATCAACGTATGTACTTACAACTGTAATTCAGATTCTAATGGTATATCAACCAAAACCAATGTTGATCTTCAAATAAAATTATGCATTTTTCCCTTTCTTTATTTTAAAATTCATCATAAGAAATTGTATATAATATTAATATATACCTTCAGTTTAAATTATCTCTTTAAATCCACTTGAATGCAAATGTCAGGCTATAACTCCATACTCATAATACACAGTGTAAACAAATGTTGGCATCTCTTCCGGTTCCCTTGATACACATCCAAGTTTCATGGATGAGGTTTTGGATCCTGTTGTTTAAAATTTATCTGTAATGGCAAGAGAAGTGACTGCACTCATCCACAATGCATGTCACTAAAATTACACCGCATGGAGACATAGAAAGACACAGTTTAACCCTGTAAAACTGAAGGAACACCTGCAAATATAGATGGGAATGAAGGTCAAGAGCACCACAGAGCACCTGGTGCAGGGAGTATTTTTAATCATTCATCTCCTGGAAAAGAAACAATGCTAAATCCCCCTCTCAATTGAACTAACTTATTACTAGCAAAGTCTTGCCAAGTGTCTGTTGTGGGATTTTCTGTTCACTCCAAGATTGGCTGTTTATTTATCCTAGTGAAAAACATTCCTTTCCTGAACCATGTCTTTTCATGTGAACTACTAGCAGTAGTGCATTCCTGCGTCATGAATAAAAAACACCCAGTGGACAGTTGTGTTAAATTTCATTTAACTCAAGAGGAACAGTCTGTATATCTGTTTTTTCCTGTACTTCTATTGTACTCTAATATGCTTATTATGCTGTAAGCAAAGAAAATGCTTTAATCTTGGGAGAGGAGAAAATAAAAACATTATATAGAATTAAATTTTTTTATTATTATTATACTTTAAGTTCTGGGATACATGTGCAGAATGTGCAGGTTTGTTACATAGGTATATATGTGCCATGGTGGTTTGCTGCGCCCATCACACACAAATAAAGGCAAATACAGGTGAATAATCTATTAATAACACTCTAAGTTGCCAATTGTTATATGTAAATATTGTTGACTACATTAAAAAGATCAACACCTGAAAGAAACAAACAAAAATTGAATTAAAATTTATGGCAAATTATCATTAAGTGGATGTTTCAAAGGAAATGAACTGCCACACATTTTTTAGAGCTTTATGCTTCTGCTACTTACATAGCAGAACTGCAATCTTCTTTTATTTTTTTTCTAAAGGGACTAGAATTTGCACAACATTAAAGCATAAAATATTATTACAGTTTGCAGAGATTTAGGAGATATTCTGGAAACGTTAGACTAGGAAAAACACATCAACTGTAACCAGAAGAATTTCAAGATTATAGAGCTGTTGTGTTTGCAGGCATATAGTCATCTAGACATATAACTCATGGAAAAAACAGGCATTCATAAAAAAATGAGTTATTGCCCAGCTTGAGGCAAAATATCCAATTGATTGTTTTTTTCCCATGCTCCTTAAGATTGCAGAAAATTTAAAAACAATAAAACTTCCATGCTATAATTCAAGCTAACATTATATATATTATATATTGTTATATAATTATATATTATATATTATATATGTTATATAATTATATATTATATATTATATATATAATATATATTTTATATAATTATATATAAATTATATATATTATAATATATATAATTTATTTACATGTGATTTCATTGCACTCCATCTGTGCTAATGCTATTATGGTCCCAATTCTCTTTGGATGTTATTCCAGTGTCTACATTGTCCAAGAGCCTGAGGTTAACTTCATCCTGTATGTGTTGCAGCTGGATGATACTAGTCATCTCCCATTAATAATCTTATAGACAAGCAAAAGCCAGCTTGATGTTTTCCCTTAACTACAAAATCCTAAGAAAGAATTTTAAAGGTATCAGCTGGGCAGGGGAGAAAACCTCTTTACTTCTAAATACCCTAGATTGATGTGGTAATTCTTAAAGGTGGGTCTGAGGTGGGGAATGGCCAGGGGACAATTGTAGGACAGCATGACATTTTTTTTTTATTATTATTATACTTTAAGTTTTAGGGTACATGTGCACATTGTGCAGGTTAGTTACATATGTATACATGTGCCATGCTGGTGCACTGCACCCACTAACTCGTCATCTAGCATTAGGTATATCTCCCAATGCTATCCCTCCCCCCTCCCCCCTCCCCACAACAGTCCCCAGAGTGTGATATTCCTCTTCCTGTGTCCACGTGATCTCATTGTTCAATTCCCACCTATGAGTGAGAATATGCGGTGTTTGGTTTTGTGTTCTTGCGATAGTTTACTGAGAATGATGTTTTCCAATTTCATCCATGTCCCTACAAAGGACATGAACTCATCATTTTTTATGGCTGCATAGTATTCCATGGCGTATATGTGCCACATTTTCTTAATCCAGTCTATCATTGTTGGACATTTGGGTTGGTTCCAAGTCTTTGCTATTGTGAATAATGCCGCAATAAACATACGTGTGCTAAAAAAGTCATGCTGCAATATGTTTATTGCAGCATGACATTTTTTAGCATTTATTTATTCCAATCATCACAGAATTAGAAATCCTCTTTTCTTCCATGCTAAAGTAATCATATCTGCAAATGCAGAATTCTGCCCTATAGTGCTACTTTATGGTGTGATATTTATACAGAACTTTTCTCAGGACACAACAGAACTGAAAAATGTCCACTTGAGCAATTGTTCTCTTCTGTCTCCCCTTTCCCCTTTACATCATACTCTGCCTGCCCTCTGAGGAACACTGTAGCAATGGAAATGCAAAATCTTTCTTCAGCAACTTCTATGTTTATTAGCATTACAAGAGTAAACCAGTTTGGTTGAACAAATCTCCTGATTCCTCTTTGTATCTTTTCTTTCTGTTTCATTATGTCAAAACTATGGGAGAGAAATAATTTATATTTGTCACCTTGATATGAGTTTGGCCAATTTTAGCAGATGAAAATACAAAAGCGAAGCAAAAAATAAAAACCAACTTCCCTTGGCTCTTTCTTACCATCAGAGTGATATAAGCATATTTGCAGGGTAATATTCAGAAGTTAGTAAGGATAATAAAATAATATTTTGTGAACACTTAATGTTGGGCATCCATTGTTAGCAAAATCAGTGGTCTCTTTCTCAAGCTACTCGAAGAAATCCAGGTAAAAACACTTACCATTTTTTCCTCAGGACTTTATTTTCCTACTGAAGTAATGAAGACTGGAAAGTCAAGTAAAATTCTGAGAAGTCACTGTTGATGGGCTGATCTCTGCACATTCCCACATAGCCACAAATGCATTATAAACACAGTCATACAGAGAAAAATAAGAAAGGAGCATCTGACAGGAAAACATGAGCCACATGTGTGCACACCACTTCTTTATTCTATTAATTTCTATACCTGAACCCATGTTTTCTATGAATCATCTACGATTTGTCAGGACATTTTAACCATCATCTCTATCCACTCCCCTAATAGGCACGTGTTATCAAAATTACATGTTTACTAAGGATTTTCTTTCCAGATTTCTACAACAAAGTAAATATAAAGTTTCAGTAAATGTGGACATGAAATGTTTTAAATGATTTTTAGATTTATTTTTCACCTTTCTTTTTCTCCCCCTCCTCCCCCAAAATGTTGTAAATTTTCATGAGTTTATCTTACATTAAGAAAATGGCTCTTGCTTTCTAAACCAAGTCAGAATATATTTAATCTAATCTGAAGAAAACTACGTAGGACTTTGATCTCACAAGAATAATGTAAGACAGAATGCATTTTCTAGCGCTCAATGAATATCTAATAATGGAAATCATTTCCTTAGAAAACAATTTTATGCATAAACACATGAGTATCATTGAAAGGTTTGCATATTTTTTCACATGAAATTGAAATGGTGACATCTGCCCTTACGGTAAAGCAAAAGTAGTTTGTTAAAGCTTACAAGCAATCCAGAAGTCATCTGTCCATAATTATATTGCAATACTGGTACCATGTCAGTTAATGTAACTGACATGACTATTACATTTTTATATAATTTCTACTTTTGTTTTACATAAATGTACCAGTCCGTGATTGCAAAGTGTTACCTAATTTGAGTTCATGTATATTTCTATGATTTACCTTTCTATTATGAAACTAGACATTTTTGTACTCTCAGTGTTTTTATTTTGTGCATTTACATATATCACAGCCTTTGAATATGCCATTTTAAAAAATCAGTTAATTTACATTATGAAATAAATCTGAGCAAAATTTGTAGTGCATGCATCACAATTCTCTTTTAGTTAGAGGATGAGTACATACAGGCACATGAAACTGAGATACCCTTTTTATAACCATGAAGTACAAAAATAAGTTAAAAATGCCACCACTCTAAGAATAGAGGAACAGAAATAAAGACAGAGCATTGGTCCTTGATAGGATTCTGGTCTAGCTGAATCTAAACTAACCATCTGATATGCTTTGGCTCTCTGTCCCTACCCAAATCTCACCTCAAATTGGAATCCTCATAATCCCCACATGTCAAGGGTGGGACCAGGTGGAGGTAATTGGAACATGGAGGCCATTTCCCCCATGCCATTCTCATTATGGTGGGTGTGTTCTTACAAGATCTGATGGTTTTATGAGTCTGACATTTCCCTTGCTTGCACTCACTCAGTCCTGCCATCCTGTGAAGAAACTATCTGCTTCTCATTTGCCTCTGCCATGATTGTAAGTTTCCTGAGGCCTCCCCAGCAATGCAGAACTGTGAGTCAATTAAACCTCTGTCCTTTATAAATTACCCAGTCTTGGGTATTTCTTCATAGCAGTATGAGAATGGACTAACATACCATCTCCTACTAAGACTTCTTGTTATATGAAAAAACTCAACTCTGCGATTAACATACTGTTACTTGAGTTTTCTCTTAGTTGAAAATGTAAATATTCCTAATTAAATAACACTTAAAGTTTACTTCTCCTTTGTGCCAAATATGACTGATGTGCCATGTTATATTGTCATGGATCTATGTGTCTTTTATGTTGTCATGTGTGTGGCCTACATTTTAAGATCATTTGATGTTCCAGGGAGGACATTTCAGCCCCATATAGCATATTTTCCTTTTAACAAGAAAGGAGAAAAAGAGAAGAAGAAAAAGCAAAGGATAATATTACATTATATATAGATACCACATTTTCTTTATCCATTCATCTGTCTATGAACACTTGGGTTGTTTCCATGCTTGGCTATTGTGAACAATGCTGCAATGAACAGTGTAGTACAGATATCTCTTATTCGGTCTTTAAAAAGAAGGTAATCTAGCCATTTGTGACAACAGGGTTGAACCTGGAGGACATTATGTTATGTGAAATAAGCCAGTAATAGTAGGATAAATACTACATACTTCACTCATCTGAGATATCTAAAGTAGTCAAACTCATAGAAGCAGAGACTAGAATAGTAGTTGCCAGCAGCTGAAGAGGTGAGGAAAATAGGGAGTTGTTCAATGGGTATAAAGTTTTAACTATGCTCATGCTAGAGAAATGAATTCTAGAGATCTGCCGTATTACATAGTACCCATAGTGCCTACAGATAAAAATACAGTATTGTACACTTCAATTTTAATTGAGTATATATCTCACGTTAAGTGTTCTTATCACACATGTGCCAGAAACTGAGACAAAAGGAAACTTTGGGAGATGCTGCATGTATCTATGACCTTGATTATAATGATAGTATCATGAATGTTTGTATATGTCTAAATTCATCCAATTTTGCACATAAACTATGTGCAGCTCTTTATTAATTAAGAAAAGGGCACACTCTAGTTGAGTCTTAAGGGTGTGGAAATTCATCTACTTACATCTCAGTCACTAAAACTTAGTTACATGACTACATGTAACAAAAATCAAAGCTGAAAAATGTGCCTGGTTGTAGATTGTATTTCCAAAAGGAAGAGGAGGCTTAGTATTGAAGGCCAGCTAACACTCACTGCTCCTGTCTACCTCTTTGCCCTCCTAAATGTCTGAATGTATTCTTCTTCCCCCACACACAAAATTTCACATCCTTCTCATGAGTGAAAGCCCTAAAATATCCTCCAGCTTCAGAGCAAGTTCAAAGTCTAGTATCCATCATTGTGTGCTACAGTTTTCTCCATCAAGTACCATACACAAGGAAGCAATAGAGGCAGAAAACCACAGCGAAAGCATATGGCAATTGCAAGGCCATAGCAAAAATAAAATTCCATTAGTCATGGATAATGAACAACCCCTCCTCTGGCAGAAGTGTAAATTCCTTTATTACCTGCAATCCCTTGATTGTACTCTATGTGAAGAATCTCCATTTCCATTGTTATCTGAGTACCTTCCATGTCCTCTGAGAGGTCATTCATTATTCTTTATTATTCATAGCCAGATCCATGGTGGGCATCAGAAAATATATCTTTCCTGAAGACTGGGTAAATTTAGGAGCCCGCCTTCTATTAGAACAGATTTGTGAATCCTGAGATTGTTATTGCGTAGAAAATTTACTGACTTTTGCACTCCAGTCTGTCTCATGTTTTCTCTAGCAATATAATGTATGTAATAACTCTGTAAAGCTCTTATTTATTCATTTCTAGACAATTTCCCATTCATGCTCCCTTAGCCAAAGATCTTGTTCAAATCTCATTTTTAAGCCTGAAGTCTGTTATCTTTTATATAAAGAACTTCATCCACCCTTAAAGCTCTCAGTCAGTGCTGGTTACCTTGATGTTGTCTGAAAAACAATGTCATGGGATGGGAAAGATCACACATGACCCAGCTGTATCATTAGTCCTGCAGCCTCTGTGGGGCAGGATATCAGTATTTCTTTTGTTAAGTTTGTCATTTTGAAGCCACTTCCTAACTGGTCAAGTTTTTGATAGAAAGCAGTTAGTTTTTTCAGTTCTTCAAGGCTCCAAATTATAGGACTTTCTATCTGTTTAGATCCTTGGCCAAGGCAGAAAGTGCTTCAAATAACACACAAAAACTCCCTTTCTCTATTGCTTGCTGCCTGTGGACCTCTGGCATGAGTTCACTTGTTCATTCAGTTTGTTGAAGACAGTAACATTTTCTGAAATAATCCTCCCATTTCCCCTAGGTCAGCAATGGTCTGGTTTCCATGTTGCAACAGCTAACCCTTGGCTAAAAGTTTATTCCCACAACATAACAAGGGTAACTAGCAACCCAGCCTCCATAATCCAAGTCTTTGCTAACATTACTATAAGCACTTCTGTTCAGCCTACCTTATAGATTCTAAAATAGAAAGAGTTCTAATTCCAGTTAATAAAATCTTTATCAGTCTTAAATTCAAAAATTACAAAGAACAAAATTTACAATGGCTTAAGCAATTAAGAAATTTATTTCTACTTACCCAAGAGCTTAAAGGTCAGTATGGCAGGATTGGCATGGCAGCACTGTCCCACTGAGTTCTTCATTAACCATACTCCTCCACCTCTAAGGTGTGGCCATTGTCATCATGGTTCAAGATGGAGGCATTGTATTCTAGGGAACAAGATGAAGGAAATGATGTAGAAGAGGGTCAAAGCATGCACGCAAAATATTTTCCACAGAAGGTATCCCAGACATTGCCAAAACAAACTTTTGCTTATTTCTCACTGGTCAGAATTTTGCTATAGGGCCATATTAAGCGACAAGGTTATCTGGAAATATAATCCCTATTCTAGGTGGTATTAACCGACATAGAATTTCAGAAAAAAAAAGGGGGGGAAGAACAGCTATTGGGGGAAATAGTCATTTTCAACATACTGTTCTATGAAGGTTTTTCATTTTTAAAAACATCATTGTGGTTTTGCAAATTCAAGGATGATATTTTGGGGATGAGCAGATGGACGTAATAACCAACTACTCAATTCCTAGTCAGAGTAACAGTACCAGAAGAACAAGTGCTTTCTTAGAACTGGCAATTTCGTGATGTAAAGAGTCATTTCTACGTTTCTTAAAATTTTCTGGAAATACACAAAGAAACTGGGTTATCAGTCTCATTAAGCCAGTGTACTCTGCCCAGGTTGAAAATATACTTACCATTCACCAGTTAGCAGTAAAATTCTAGCACACATTAAAATGAAATCAAGAAGCTATATCTTAGGTGTTTTTTTCTCACTTTCCCCTTCCTATTTTTCTGATATTTGGAAATTCATAGTCACATTTTGTCACCTTTGTAAACTCTGTATTAATTATCTTTACCTTTGGAGGACCTAAGTAAAAATAAGTGATTTATTTTTCCCCACTGATAATTTTTAAATATTTTAACCAACAAACTATTTTTAATCTAGTGTTATACTAGTTCCTCAACGTAAAGGTAGGCAAAGTCTAAGAAGTTGGGTCCTCAGGATTGGGTATTTAAGTTTTTTACTCTTAAGAGTATAGCAAAGACAGGCAATTATAAAGGATATAGGAGAAATCTCAAATGTTTTTCAAAAGCATTTATATTTGCCTTAGTCAAAAGTGAAGCATCCCTGGATCAGAAAAAAATTAATTTCAGGAAAGTTAGCTTCCCTTTATAACAAAAGATTTGCTTGTGCTATAATCATTACATTGTAAAAGACATTTTAATAACATTTATCATGCATTCTCAGTTCTTTATTTTAAGAAAACTTAAGCTATTGATGTACATCTCAGTGGATATCCAAAGAGTCTTTCATTGAGAGGTTGCTAAGAAACTGGGAATTCAGGATCAGAAAAATTTATCCTCATTAATTATATTGTCTGATCAAACTGAATATTTAAATTAATGAAAAGAGAAAAAACATGTTTATTTTAAACACTAAAACATTGAAATATCTTAACATGTAATTATTTGAATATATATAGAGAATATATATATATGCACACCCATGTATACACACACATATATGTATTTCTCTATAGGTATATGAAATGTATAACTATCCACTCTCAAATGGAAATTTGGAGACATTAATAATTAACAAATACTATTGTATAGTAAAAAAAAATCCACCATGAAGACAGAAATGCTGATTTAAATTAAAAATATCTGTCATACATCCAGATAGAAATGAGTTCTTTTAAAACAAGAATCTTATAATAAATGTATTTTTTTCTATTTTACTCATTCTGTGTATCAGAAATTGATTATGATATTCAGGAAGACATTGAGTAAATAGTCATTTGAATAAACTTTTTAAAGGTGTATAACATATCGAATATTAATCCCTAGAAATACTCAGGGGAAAAATAAGTTCTTGGCCAAATTATTTTGGTATATTACCCTTTTTAGAGATCTACAGTGCAGATCAGCAACTTGGAGGACCCAGCAATTTCTAAAATTTCTTTACAGGCTGCCTGTTTCACACAGCACTAATTACATCTCTCTGAATAAGTTCTGCCAAATGAACTTCGGGAAATGCTGATCTAAAACAATATCTGAAATGGTCATTTTATGCAGAATGTTATCAAGACGAAATGCTTAGTTTATAAGAACTCAATTCATGTTCTCAAAAGATAACTGTATCATAAGTGATGTTCTGACTTAAAAGAACTTTAATTTTCCCCTCATAAAATAACTAGCCAGAAAATTTAGCCAACTAAAGCATAGAGAACAGTTTCCGATCGACCATTTTGATGTTTTGAATCTATTTCACAGATATTTCTCACTGTCGTGTATCTTTCATTGTTCTTGCTCCATGCTGAACTGATGGACATGAATGTACCTCTTTGAGGGAATCCATTGAGGGTGGAAACTTAGAGCAATCACTGACTGGAAAAATTGAAAGGAATTGGATAAGCTGCAGTTGAAGGATAAGGAATTGTGTAGATGGTTTTGTTGGGGTGTTGGTTGCTTGTTTGAATATACTTCTTCTGGAAATGGCTTCAGGTGCAGGTCATGCCATTTACAATAGCCATGCCTGACTAGGCAACCATTTCCCTTGCTCTATATTCAATGTGGGTTCTCTGGATTCTTTTTTGGTTTAATTCTTTAGTTTGCAAGGACCATATTCTCTACTAAGTCAAGTAATGGGCTGCTTATTGTTAGGATACATATTTGCATGAATCCCAGAATTTAGAACAAGCTCGAATCTAGAAGAATTAAAAAAAGAAAAACATGATTGAATAAGACAAGTAGGAATGGAAGTAGAGAAGAGCCTCAGGAAAAGCAGAAATTGCAGTAGGCAAGGGTACATGAGTTTCATTTAAGGTGTTTACCTTTTGTATGACTTAATTACACACTTCAGATTTATTTATTTCAGCTCATCATTTTTTTCTAGGGCTTAGGGCATAAATCATTGATCAGCCTATGATTTGCAGGTTTTACATCAGCTCTTCATTCCTCATCCAGTTGACCATGGCTAGAAAGGGTGCTACAAGATGTGGCTCTACCTGGGCTGGACTATTTCTATTCAAAAGTTATGTGAGTGGTCAACCACTCATGGTTGACAATACTTTCAAACTAAACTAAAGTGCAAAATACACGTTAGCTCTTATCTGAACCTGTCCAGAGTTAGCTTATTCCTTAAGATATTCCATCTATAGAAGTCATAGTGTTTCCTTTGTTAAGATGTTACTGTAAAACAGAAACCTAGACATGTTGAAAGTAGATTTTACCTGTAACTGATTTTCTAGGGAAAAGAGTTGTAATCACTTTGCAGTTGTGAGTGTCTTTCAGGAAAGAAAAGACAGTAGAAAGTGTTTCTGATTCTACAAAATAAGTTGGTTGTCAGTTCCCACAGTGCTAGTTATTCTGCATTGGACTACTTCCCTCTGTTCTTTTTTGCTCTGCCCTATGTCCTATAGGCTAAACTCCTGGGGGCTGCATCCCTAGGGGTCTCTTTCCCCTGGTTTCTGCTTGGGTTCAACCAATGGGAGACACAAGCAGGAGCTATGTGGGTAGAAGGAAAGAGTTTTTGGGCTATTTCTTTTCTGTGTCCTAGTCTCAGACACTTCTTTACCGGAAAGTGGTCTCATCCCAGACCCTAAGGGTGGGTTCTTTGATATCATGAGGGAAATAATTCAGGACAAGTCACAAAGCACAGTGAAAGAGGCAGGTTTATTAAAGACTCCTCTATTGCAGAGTAGTACACTATTACAGGGAGTCCTCAGGAAGCAAGAGGAAGAATGAGCCCACTTCAAATACAATGCTTGCTTATATAGGATAACAGAACTATGAATAATGGTCTTATATGCTTTATTAAAAAGGCTTGTGATCAGTCTGTGACAGGCTATTAGTATTATTCTCTTGAGTAACTACTGATTTCAGCAAGAATTTATGGATATACTATTATCTTTAAAGCAAAAACTATTCTTAAACTAAGAGTGTTTTTTTGTTCTTAAGACATCAGAACATTTTCTTAAGTTCTGGGTCTTATTTAGTAAGTGTCATTAACTCTTCCCCTCAACCATAAACATCTTGTGCCTAAAAGTGTTTAACTTCCTTGGGATTATAACCCAGCAGGCTTTGTTTATTTGGCTTTTATTCAAGATGAAGTCCCTCTGGTTTGGATACCTCTGACACTTAGATTCTTAGAGTTGTTGTTTCAATTGACAGCCTAGAGGATTGCTGGTAGGACCTTCTTATCTCCTGAGCCTTCAGCCCTTACATGGATTCTTCTCTTGCCACTTTATGCCTAGTCATGGTAATCACTTCCTGAAATTTCTAATCTCTGCTGTCCTCAGAAAACCCTGTGTTGAGTTGAATTATGTTCCTTGCCAGGACTCTGATTGATACAACTGCACAATCTAGTTTAGCATCAGATTATTCCCTTGGTTATATTAAATTAAGAGCAAAATTAATTTAAATATATATAATTTTCTAACAATATATAGTTAACTATATCATGCTGATTGAATTCTACTTTGTGCTATTAGTAAAGGGCATATAAAAACATAAGAGGAAAATTATGTCTTTCCTTTCAATCTGGAAATAAAGTAAGATGAACATTAAGCACAGTTAGAAATCAACCAGTACTAAATTGTGTGGTTCTCACTATGAGTGCAATTGAAGCTCAGAAAAATCATCGCAGGCTAGAGACCTAAAAAGCAGGAAGAGAGGAAAAATGACTATTATAACCGAAGTTGAAGAGTAACAACACCTGGCCAGGAGCAGAAAGCATTGTGATTGAGTGTATTAAAAAAAGAAAGAAAGATAGATAGAAAAGCAAAGTGGATGGGAATGCACAGGCAAGTCAACCATAACCTGTACTTATCTACATTTAACACTGAGTATTTTGAATCAAGTTTTTTTGCTTAATTCATAATGATGGGTAATTTCTGATGATACTCTAGTTCCTCTTTACCATCGCACTATACCCCTGTATTCTGCATTCTGTTTTTTATAGTCTCTATAATCTCTATCTCAGCTATTCACATTCCTTGGATGAATCATGACAATTTTCTATTTCTATGCTTGTGATCTTATAACTCCTAACCCCTAGGTTGGGAATAACATTTTGGTCCTCTCTGACCATAACAATTGGCTGGATTATTTGTCCCCGTCTTATTTATTCTCTTCCCTTCTTTACCCTGAATCTTGCCATGCAGGATTCACAAGAGTATAGTGTTGTACGAGCTTTTCTGTCCTCTGACTTCCAGGTGTGTTTAGTCAACAGGAAACACTGCTACAGTTAAGAAGGCAGTGGGAAAAGTAGGTAGAGGAGTGGGCTACTACTTCCTCTTGCTTCTTTCCTGTGGTTTTGTAGTTTGGCAATTGCTCGCTTTCTTCATCTTAGGCACAGCTCCTATAGGAGAAACCCTCACCCATGGCTACAGCTCTCCCTGGAATCCAGTGAGCATTCCCTTCCCTGGCCTCTTAAGGCCTAAAAATGATAATGACCCTTGACTGTTGTGAATCCAGAGCACTTCACCATTGCTTGTAGATTCTCCTATCTTTGTCCATGGCACTGAAAATCCCAACTTTATTGGGTTCTCTTTAAACCCAACTAAACATTTTGCTTCTTACTGTAACCCTGATTGATACAGAAACAATATGTGATTTTCAAAGTCAAATTTAGATTTGTCCCTGCTTTATAAGAACTATATATAGCTCTTTAATTTCTAGTGATTATACACTCTTTGAACAAATGTTTTGATTTTACATGATAAATTCAACATCTAATCAGGAATAACCTTATAAAATAATATTGTATTTTTAGGGTAATTTCCTGCATTGTTTTAATTTTTCATGTACTTATGTCTCTGTATGATAAGGTTTCTGATAGAAGTTAATATTTATTTTTAAAACATTTGTGGTTATATTTGAAACACTATATAATAGTAACCAACAAATACATTTTTATATAAGGAATTTTGACTTGATAGACTACGTTACTTCAGACACCTCTTTTCCATATACATTAACCATTTCTAAGAAAGTGTGCTCAGTGCATGGACACCGAATTTGATGATTAATCTAATTTAAAATCCAAATTGACATTTTTCTCTGCTGAATTTACCAAAATCATTAGGTTTTAGGTGATTGGCAATATATACCAGTCCAAGAAAACCTTTAAAGAAAAGGCGAAAAAATATATAGGAGATGAGATCCATTGAGTTCTACTTTATTTTTCACAAGTCATAGGATAATAAATTAAGTAAACAAACAAACAAACAGAAAATATAAAATTAAGGAATTTACCAGTAGGTATATATATGCAGTAAAATCTAATGGAATATGGTATGTGGTAATCCTAAAACCAGAGAGCCGGAATCCAGAATAGTGGCCAGTTGTGTAACTTATCAGCTCTGAGCTTCTGTTTTTTTTCCATGGAAAATCAGGGTTATTAGAACTCACTTCAGAGAATTGTGGTGAAAATAACTGAGGATATTCATTTAATGTATAAGTAGCTCAGTCACTGGCTCCTTACACAAGCACACAATAAGTAGCAACTATTTTTATCTTGTATATACTATTTTTGAAAATTTCAGCTTAAGTTACAAAACAAGAAACACTGAAACAATATACAAATATGAAAATGTGTGCTTATTATAAAATAACTTAAACATAATATGCTATATATCTACAGGGAGTGCATTTTCTTCAGAAAGCATTGCTTAGATAAATTTTTCATTTATAAAAATTATGAAAACAAATTGTTATTAAAGTAATTGCTAATCTACAATGTTTACATTTTTATTAACTATGTGACCCAGTCATATAGAAATGTAAATAGGCATGCAAAGTAGACAAGGGACTAGAGTGAATATAGTCTACATCACTTACAGTTATTTCCTAAATGCCATTCAGCTTAGTCCATTTTCTTATGTTGTCTAAATGTAGCACTGATTATTGAAAAAGTCTAATTTTTTTATTTATAGAAACATTAATATATTTTAATTTGTCAAAATGACACTTATCGGCTGTACACAAAATTTCTCCCTACCTTATTTTCAAATAATTTATACTTATCAATTTCTTTTCATATTAACTCAAAATTTTTGTCTACAAGGACATTAACTTCCAATGACCATTTGATTCTGCTTATAAGTCGCTTGAAAACACTGCTGGGTGGAGTGGCTCACGCCTGTAATTCAAACACTTTGGGAGTCCGAAGCTGGTGGATCGCCTGAGGTCTGGAGTTTGAGACCAGCCTGGCCAACATGGTGAATCCCCATCTCTACTAAAAATACAAAAATTAGCCGAGCATAGTGGCGCGCGCCTGTAGTCCCAGCTACTCGGGAGGCTGAGGCAGGAGAATCGCTTGAACCCGGGAGACGGAGGTTGCAGTGAGCCGAGATCTTGCCACTGCACTCCAGCCTGGTGACAGAGCGAGGCTCCGTCTCAATAAATAAATAAATAAATAAATAAATAAATAAATAAATAAACAAACAAACAGCCAGGAGTAGTGGCAGGCGGCTGTAATCCCAGCTACTCTGGAAGCTGAGGTAGGAGAATCTCTTGAACCCGGGTAGCGAGGTTGCAGTGAGCCGAGATCGCGCCATTGCACTCTAGCCTGGGCATCAAGAGCAAATCTCCGTTTCAAAAACAAACAAACAAACCTTCAGTACTTTTATATTTTGAGCTAAATCAAATTTATGGTCTAATATTTTGCCTTACCAAATAAATGAATAATTTTATGCTATTTATTTAGTATTGAACAAAAGCATGCTGATAGTTTCTGAATATGCAGTAACATGGTATGTAATATATTACAAATTAAATAAATGATGAGTTCATATAATCTTTACAATTTGAAATATGATTGCTTACTTTTGAAAATGAAAGACTAACTCATGACACAGTACAATTCTGGGCATCATTTCATAAGAGTATAGAAAAATTTGTCAACAAATGTCAAATAAATTTATATTAAAAATAGGTATACATAAATTTAAAAAGTTTATACCCAGTATTTTTCCTCCTAATAGCATTAATCATATATATGATTATATGTTATTTCATTATCTATGTATCTATATCTATATAGACATATCATATCTTGACCCCCAACCTATACTCTGAAAACTTTATCTGTCATGAAGTTTTTTGAGGGGATAAACCATATATGAGGGTGTGTGTATATATATATACACACACACACACTGTGTGAATATATATATTTGTATATATATACACACACACTGTGTATATATATATGTGTATATATACACACACACTGTGTATATATATAAGTGTATATATACACACACACTGTGTATATATATGTGTATATACACACACACTGTGTATATATATGTGTATATATACACACACACTGTGTATATATATATATGTGTATATATACACACACACTGTGTATATATATATGTGTATATATACACACACACAATGTGTATATATATATGTGTGTATATATTCACATACACAAACATATATTTAGTAATATACTTTTCTTGTGCAAAATTAGTCATTCCTCAATAGCGGTTTATTTCTTATTGTTACCTCTCTTAACTTTATCCATTTTTTCCTTTTTTAATCTCTGCTGCACCGGTTCCCTTCCAGACATGTTGTCTTACAGCAACCGTTTACATCCCTATCTTGAATATTTTTCCAAATGCTCCAATGCTTGGTCTACTAAGCTTTTAATCATAATATAGTTCCTAAACTCAACTGTCACCTCCTTGAAGTGACCCAAATTGAAGCAGTTCCCCACCATCATATCCACATCATAATCTAATACATAATTGAGTTCTATTTTCTTATTACTACTTATTATCTGAAGCTGTTTTATTCTTTATCTTATTGTATTTATATTGATCTTATGAAATTTTATGTGTATCAAGTGCTCAGAGAATCTTAACGCCCTTAATAATAAGTACTTGCTGAATGAATGTGCTGTAGATTACTGTTTAAGTGTTCAAAAGCGCTCAATACAAATATAAAAAGGGTCATGTCATTATTATATTGTCGATTTTCAACCTAATTTTGTCAGGTATAAACCATTATAATAAGCCATATAAAAATTGTAGAATTATTTAATGGAGAAATTTCTACATTACAGGAGTTTAAACAATGGTAAAATTTCATAAATTGATCTTCTAAACCACTAACTCAATCTTTAATCTCTAAAGTATTTTATAAGCTGAATTATTTTATTACACGATTAAACTTTATTTAAAGATGCAAAATATGTTAAAAGGATAGGAAGAGTAATTCTTAAAATTGAGATTCTTTTATATGTCAGACATCTTGATAATACATTTTTTAATTCTCTACTATTCCCAGCATGTAATCTAATAACCACAGTTCTACTCTGTACTTCCATGAGCTCAATTTTTTTTAAAAAATAAAACTAACAGTAACAATAATAATATAGATCTCACATATGACTGAGAACATAGGGTATTTATCTTCCTGTGCCTGACTTATTTCACTTAAGTTAGTGTCCTCCAGGCTCACCCATGCTGCTGTGAATGACAGGATTGCATTCTTTTTTATGGCTAAACAGTAATCCATTTTGTATATATCCCACATTTTCTTTATTTATTTATCAGTTGATGAATATTTAATCTACATTACCACCAACAATGTAAAATAATTCCCTTTTTCCCCACATCCCCACCAGCAGATGTTATGTTGTATTTTTGATAATAGTCATTAAACTAGGGTAAAATGATATCTCCTTGTAGTTTTGATTTACATTAATTTGATTATCAGTGATGCTGAACGTTTTTTCATATACTTGTTGGCTATTCGAATGTCTTTCTTTGAGATATGTATGTTCAGGTGCTTTGTCCACTTTTTAATTGGTGTTTTATATTTGAGTTATTTGAATTTCTTCTATATTCTGTATATTAGTCCCTTGTCAGATGTATAGTTTGCAAATATTTTCTCCCATTATACAAATTGTCTCTTAACTCTATTATGTTTCATTTGCTGTGCAGACAATTATTAGTTTAGTTTGTTTACAATTTCGTTTGTCTATTTTTGGCTTGGTTGTCTGTGCTTTTGAAGTCTTATCCATAAAATCTTCTCCTAGACCAAAGTGCTGAAGCATTTTCCCCATGTTTTTTCTAGCAGTTTTATAGTTTGGGCCTTCAATTTAAGTCTAATTCATTTTGGTTGATTTTTTTATATGGTGAGAGATACAGATCTGTTTATTTACTATGCATATAGATTTCCAGTCCTTTGTTAAAAATCAGTTAGCTGTAAAGACATGGATTTATTTCTGGGTTTTCTAACCTGTTTCATTGTTCTGTATATCTGTTTTTATATGAATACTATGCTGTTTTAGCTACTATAGCTATATAATATAGTTTAAAATCAGATAGTGTGATGCCTCTAGCCTTGTTCTTTTTCATCAGTATTGCTTTGGCTATGTGGAGTTTTTTATTGTTATTGTAGCTCCATACAAATTTTAGGACTGTTTTCTCTATTTCTGTGAAAAATGTCATTGACTTTTCAGTAAAGATTGCATTGACTCTGTAGATTGCTTTGAATAGCATGGTCATTTTAATGATATTAATTATTTCAATCTATAAGCATGGGTTGTGTTTCCATTTGTTTATATTTTCAATTTATTTCATCAGTGTTTTGTAGTTTTTATTTTAGAGATCTTTCATCTCCTTGGTTAAATTTATTTCTAAGTTTTTATTTGTGGTAGATATTGTAAATGGGATTAGTTTCTTGATTTTTTTTCCATTGGTTTGTTATTGGTATATATAAATACTACTAATTATTTTATGTTTATTTTGTATCCTGTAACTTTACTTAATTCATTTACCAGTTCTAAGAGTTATTTGGTGAATGCTTTAGGTTTTTCTATATATGAGATCATATCATCATCAAAAAGAGACAATTTGACTTCTTGTTTTTCCAATTTAGATGCCCTTTATTTCTTATTTTTGCCTAATTGCTCTGGCTAGGACTCAGTAATATGTTGAATGGCAGCAGGGAAAGTGGGCATTGCTCTCTTGTTTTAGTTCTAATAGGATAATCTTTCAGCTGTTCCCTTTTCACTATGATGTTAGCTGTGGGTTTGTCATATATGATCTTTATTGTGTTGAGGTATGTTCCTTCAATACCTGAGTCATTTAGAATTTTTATCAGGAACAGATGTTGCATTTTATTAAATGATTTTTTCTGCATCTATTTAGATGACTATACAGTTTTTGTCAGTTATTCTTCTGATGTGATATATCACGTTTATTTACTTGTGTATTTTAAACTATTCTTGCATCTCTGGGGTTGATTCCACTTGACTATGAGGTGTTATAGTTTTGATATGCTGTTGGACTCAGCTAGTATTTTGTTGAGGATTTTTGTATCTACATTCATTGGAAATATTGGCCTAAATATTTTTTTTTTTTGAGAAGGAGTTTCACTCTTGTTGCACAGGCTGGAGTGCAGTGGTGCAATCTCAGCTCAATGCAACCTCTGCCTCCCAGGTTCAAGCAATTCTCCTGCCTCAGCCTCCTCAGTAGCTGGGAATACAGGCATGCGCCACCATGCCTGGCTAATTTTGTATTTTTGGTAGAGACAGGGTTTCTCCATGTTGGTCAGGCTGGTCTCAAACTCCCAACCTCAGGTGATCCACCTGACTTGGCCTCCCAAAGTGCTGGGATTACAGGTGTGAGCCACCATGCCTCGCCGCCTAAGGATTTTTACTATTGCTGTTGTGTCTGTCAGGCTTTGGCAGCAGGGCAATGCTGGTCTTAGGGAATAAATTATAAAGAAATCTATTCTATTTAATATTTTAAGATACTTTGAAAATAATTTATGTTAGTTCTTCCTTATAAGTTTGGTAAAATTTAGCAGTAAAACCATCTAGTCTTGGGCTTTTATTTGTTGTAAGACATTATTCAATCTCATTACTAGATATCGAACTGTTCAGGTTTTCTATTTCTTCTTGATTCAATCGTGGTATGCTATATTTGGCCAGTGTATTAGTCCATTTTCACACTGCTAATAAAGACATGCCCAAGGCTGGGCACTTTACAGAAAAAGAGGTTTGATGGACTTACAGTTCCACATGGCTGCAGAGGCCTCACAATCATGGTGCAAGGCAAGGAGGTTCAAGTCACATCTTAAGTGGATGGAGGCAGGGAAAGAGAGAGTTTGTGCAGGGAAACACCCCCTTATAATACCATCATATCTCATGAGACTTATTTGCTATCATGAGAGCAGCACAGGAGAGACCTGCCCCCACGATTCAGTTACCTCCCACCAGGTCCCTCCCACAACACATAGAAATTCAAGATGAGATTTGGGTGGGGACACAGCCAAACCATATCATTCTGCTCTGGCCCCTCCCAAATCTCATGTACTCACATTTCAAAACCAATCAAGCCTTCCCAACAGTCCCCCAAAGTCTTAACACATTTCAGCATTGTTTTGTTTTGTTTTCCTCTTTTGGCACTTTAAATATCTCATCTCGTTCTCTCCTGGCATGGAATTTTTCTGCTCAGATTTCTACTGATAATCTGATGGGTATTCCTGTATATGTAACCTGACATTTTACTCTTGCAGTTTTGATAGTTCTCTCTTTGACTTCTACTTTTTTTTCTGGTCTAGTTTCTTTTTTTTATTATTATTATACTTTAAGTTTGAGGGTGCATGTGCACAATGTGCAGGTTTGTTACATATGTATACATGTGCCATGTTGGAGTACTGCACCCATGAACTCGTCATTTACATTAGGTATATCTCCCAATGCTATCCCTCTTAACATATTACTAGATTATTAGATCCCTGACCAATGATGATCAATACTTGAAGACATCGATGAGAAATCATAAATTATTTTTCACTCTTTATGTTTTCTTTTCACATTGGGGAAAATAGTACATTCTTGATAACAATTTGTGGTTAGTTGCTTCCTAATTCCTTGTCAACATATTCTCCTAGTCTGTTCACTCATTATATGCCAATATACCACTTATCTGAGGGTAACCCATACTGTTATTACACAGGAACACATTATAGAAAGGAATAGGGCAGTTAGAAGGAAGAGCAAGTATGCTTTTTCGGATTTTTTTTTTTTTGGTCAACAAAACAAACACAAGAATTATGAATCAGAATGGGTCATGTGGCTTCTAAATGATGAGAATGTTATCACAAATGTGATTCTGATTCTACAATCAAAAATAATTCTGATGGGTGAGAGAAGGATTAGTTTCCCAAAGAAAGCCACATAACTGCACAAAGACTGCAACGGTAAACTTGGTTCTTTGAAACTAATGAGAACAAAGATACAATGTAGCAGAATCTCTAGGACACATTTAAAGCAGTGTGTAGAGAAAATTTTATAGTACTAAATGGCCACAAGAGCAAGTAGGAAAGATTTAAAATCGACACCCTAACATCAAAATTAAAAGAACTAGAGAAAGAACAGCAAACAAATTCAAGAGCTAGCAGAAGACAAGAAATAAGATCAGAGCAGAACTGAAGGAGATAGAGACACAAAAAACCCTTCAAAAAATCAATGAATCCAGGAGCTGTTTTTTGAAAAGATCAACAAAATTGATAGACCGCTAGCAATACTAATAAAGAAGAAAAGAGAGAAGATTCAAATAGATGCAATAAAAAATGATAAAGGGGATATCACCACCGATCCCACAGAAATACAAACTACCATCAGAGAATACTATAAGCACCTCTGTGCAAATAAACTAGAAAATCTAGAAGAAATGGATAAATTTCTCGACACATACACCCTCCCAAGACTAAACCAGGAAGAAGTTGAATCCCTGAATAGACCAATAACAGGCTCTGAAATTGAGGCAATAATTAATAGCTTACCAACCAAAAAAGTCCAGGACCAGACAGATTCACAGCCAAATTCTACCAGAGGTACAAGGAAGAGCTGTTACCATTCCTTCTGAAACTATTCCAATCAATAGAAAAAGAGGGAATCCTCCCTAACTCATTTTATGAGGCCAGCATCATCCTGATACCAAAGCCTGGCAGAGACACAATAAAAAAAGAGAATTTTAGACCAATATCCCTGATGAACATCGATGCAAAAATCCTCAATAAAATACTGGCAAACCGAATCCAGCAGCACATCAAAAAGCTTATCCACCATGATCAAGTGGGCTTCATCCCTGGGATGCAAGGATGTTTCAACATATGCAAATCAATAAATGTAATCCAGCATATAAACAGAACCAAAGACAAAAACCACCTGGTTATCTCAATAGATGCAGAAAAGGCCTTTGACAAAATTCAACAGTGCTTCATGCTAAAAACTCTCAATAAATTAGGTATTGATGGGACGTATCTCAAAACAATAAGAGCTATTTATGACAAACCCACAGTCAATATCATACTGAATGGGCAAAAACGGGAAGCATTCCCTTTGAAAACTGGCACAAGACAAAGATGCCCTCTCTCACCACTCCTATTCAACATAGTGTTGGAAGTTCTGGCCAGAGCAATCAGGCAGGAGAAAGAAATAAAGGGTATTCAATTAGGAAAAGAGGAAGCAAATTGTCCCTGTTTGCCGATGACATGATTGTATATTTAGGAAACCCCATCGTCTCAGCCCAAAATTTCCTTAAGCTAATAAGCAACTTCAGCAAAGTCTCAGGATACAAAATCAATGTGCAAAAATCACAAGCATTCTTATACACCAACAACAGACAGAGAGCCAAATCATGAGTGAACTCCCATTCACAATTGCTTCAAAGAGAATAAAATACCTAGGAATCCAGCTTACCAGGGATGTGAAGGACCTCTTCAAGGAGAACTACAAACCACTGCTCAATGACTTCTGCTTCTGAAAGTTTAACTACAATATGCCTTTAATATGACTTTTATGGTTTAATCTGTTTGTGAATCTTTGAGTCTTGGGATGTCTATAGCTTTCCCAAGACTTGGGAAGTTTTCACCTATTACTTTATTCAATATGTTTCGCATGGCTTTTCTCCTCTCTTCACCTTTGTAACTTTCCAAATGGAAAGATTTGTTCACTTAATGCTGCACCAAATCTCACATAGACTTTCTTTATTCATTTTTTTGTTTGACTGGATTATTTCAAAAGACCTTTCTTCAAGTTCAGAAATTCTTTCTTCTGCTTTATCTAGTCTATTGTTAAAGCTCTTGATTATGTTTTTTATTTCTTTCACTGAATTTTTTAATCTAAGATTTCTATTTGGTTCTTTTTAAAATATGTATCTCTATGTTTTATTTCTTATTCAGATTATGAATTGGTTTCCTGACTCGTTTTTATTGTCTACTTGTATTCTCTCATGTCTAGCTTAGTTTTCTTCAGATCATCATTTTATATTTTTCAGGCCTTTTATAGATTTCCGTTTCTGTGTCATCTGTTACTAGAGAATTATTGTGTTCCTTTAGAAACTATGTTTCTTTGCTTTTTCATGTTTCTTATGTCCCTACCTTGATGTCTGCACATCTGGTGTAACAGTCACTTATTCTACTTTAATGAAATAACATTCATAGAGGAAGACTTTTTACTGTAGATTTATCTACAGTGTCAGGTAGGGTATTTTGAGTTTTTGTTCTGGATGGGCATGGTAGTGTAGTCTCATATGATTTATTTGGCTATATTTAATGTCAGGGTGTCTGCATGTTCCTCAGTGGCTTAGGTTATAATTGCTTATAGAGGCTGCGGGGCAGTTTTGCTGGTGACAGAGGCACTGGGAAAGCTAGTTCTCAAGTCCCTGACTAGAATATGTGGATACCAGCAGCGACAGCAGCAGGCTTTATACAAGCCAGATCTCAGGCCTCTGGGCAGCACATGCAGGTACCCTTAGTTTTCTTTAAAATGCATTTTCTTTCAAGAACAAATTTTTTTAATTTAAAACTTATTGGCTGGTGATTACCATGGCTCTTCATGCGTCCTTTTACAAAAATCACCCATTTGCAACATTTAATTTCATAGCAGCTGCTGGAATCTTTAATACTGTTACATATTATCTCCATTACACGTATAAATAATTCTATATACTTTAATATCCAAGTTTTGTTCTCAAGTTTATAGGACTCTTGTTAACAATCTTAATGTTTATTAAGGTCTCAAAGAACTTAATAGTGAAATAAAATAGTGAAATTTTCTTCAGTTTAAACATAAAGTAATAGGTCAGATTTACGTACAAAATTTTCTGTAATTTTACATGTACAATTAGATGAATTTTGACTAATGTATACAGAATATAATGGCCACCACAATCATAATGTTAAAAAAAGCCATCAATCAAAAATTCCCTCATGTTCCTTGGTCAGTTCCTCCCTCAGTACGCAGCCCCTGACAATTACTATTTGTCTGTGGCATAATTTGTTTTGTGTCTTCTAAAATGTTACACAGAGAGTGTCATACAGTATGTAGCCTTGTTTCTGCTTTTTTACTTCACAAAATGTTTTTGACGAACATCTGTGTTTGTCATCTGTGTTTGACAAACATCTGTGTTGAATATATCAGCAGTTATGTTACATCGTTGAGTAGTATGTCATTGCATGATTATTCTACAATTTCTTCATCCATTTATCAATTGATGAATGTTTGGGTTGTTTCCAGTTTTCAACTATTATAAAGGTGCTATGAAGATCTGAGTAAAATATTTTATATGACTTTATGTTTTCATACCTCTTTTGTAAATACCTACAAGTAGATATGCTTGACTGTATGGTAAGTATATAACTAACTTTACCAGAAACTTTCTATTTATATAAACTTAGATGTAAGTATAGATGAAGTATTTGGTAGATCTAAATCATAAAACACCGACTGGTGGTTTCATTGTGGCATTTTTGTTGTGTTTTGTTTTGTTTTGTTTAGACACAGGGCCTCAATCTGTAACCCAGGCTGGAGTGCAATGATGTGATCACAGTGCATTGCAGCCTCAAACTCCTTGGCTTAGTAAGTCCTTCTGCCTCAGCCTCCAGTAGCTGGGACTACAGGTATGTACTACCATGCCTAGCTAATTTTTTAATATTTTGCAGAGACAATGTCTCACTATGTTGCATATGCTGGTCTCAAACTCCTGGCCTCAAGTGATCCTTTCGCCTTAGCCTTCCAAAGTGCTGGGATTATAGGTGTGAGCCATTGTGCCTGGACAATCTGTGGGCTTTAAAACAATGTGACTTGTTAGTATTGGATACAGACTTTTATACATAAATGAGTTGTTCATTGCTTTAGTGACTTAATTATGCCAATAAATTTTTTGAACACTTAGCATTTTTGTTTCATTGATCTATTAATTATTGGACTAGAAACACTAAGTTATTCCACAATTATTATGGATTTTTCCATTTTTCCTTGTAGTTCAGTTCATTTTTGATTTACATACATCAAAACTATTTTAATTGATATATACAAACTCAGTTTTATCTACCCAGCAAATTGTACAACTTGTTATGCATTATTTTTCTGTTATTTGTAAGTACGTAGTTCATAAGTACCCCAAATTTCTTAGTATTCTCTTTAATAAGCCTCTAATTTATTTTGTTTACATTTATTATTTATGTTTTTTTTGTACACATCAGATACCTGGATTTTTTAAAGCTTGCTTTTGTTATTTTGGATATTTAAGATTTTGCACATTCATTCCTGGTTCCTGCTAAGCTATGGATTTAAAATATGTTTATTACATATTGTTCAGGGTAATTATTGATTTTCCAACAGAAACTCCTTTTCAGGATGTTTATTATTTGTATTTCCCAATATGGAGCTCTCAATTCATTTTCAGACTGCAGCAACAATATGTTAAAATTAAAAGATAAATCCGAACATACAACTTCTTGATAGCCCTAAATGGTTTCCTCTTGACTTTATTGGTCCTTACCACACTATATGAGGCTTTGAAATATGGGGCTGCTTATTTCTCCAGCTTCAACTTTTGTCAATAACAAGTTATACTTTTCATTTCAAACAAGTTACATGTTTTATACCCTCAACATCATCATTTTCTCCTTGGACTCTGGTCTTTGATGCATTTCTTTTTCTCTCCACAGAATTTGTCACCTATACCACAAAGACCACTCCAGCTCATCCATATGTGTGCTAGATACCTTTTCTAGTTTTCTCAGGGTTGCCGTAAAAAAAGGACCACAGACTAGGTGGCTTAAAAAACATACATTTATTTTCTCACAGTCTGGAAGCTAGAACTCTGAGATAAGGTGTTGAAAGGGTTGTTTTTTTCCCCAAGGCTGCTCCTTTTGGCTTCTGCCTAGGCCTTTACATGTTCTTCCCTTTGCACTAATATGTGTTCAAATTTGTGTTCAAATTTCCTGGTCATATTGGATTATGTTTCATTTTAATGACCTCATTTTAACTTATTTACCTCTTTTAAGACCCTATTTCCAAATATAGTTACATTCTGAGGCACTGGAGCTTAGGACTTCAATATATAAATTTTGGGGGAAACACGATTCAGCTTATGAAACTTGGTACTTCTCCTAATTTAGCACAAATTTCTAGATGTATAATATTTATTTATTTGTATCCTCCAGAAGACTATGTAATTTGAGAACAAGTTTTGATCATCTTTGTCTTATCATATCACTGGAGCTTGATCCAATACTCAGTACATACTGATGAATAAATGGGTATGAGTTTTTTCAAAATTAATTGACATTTGCTCAGATCTATACTGAAATTTATTGTTCCTCTATATTACAAAAAGTCTACCGGGAGAGGTGGAGGTTGCAGTGAGCTGAGATCATGCCACTGCACTCCAGCCTGGGCGACAAGAGCAAACTCTGTCTCAGAAAAAAAAAAAAAAAAGTTCTACCAGGAAAATATATAAATATATATAACTGCTTTAAAGTAAAGAAAAAAATTCTTTTATATACTTTAAGTTCTGGGATATATGTGCAGAACGTGCAGGTTTGCTACATAGGTATACACGTGCCATGGTAGTTTGCTGCACTCACCAACCTGTCATTTACATTAAGTATTTCTCCTAATTCTATCTCTTCCCCAGCCCCCCAGACCCCCAGCCCCTGACAGGCCATGGTGTGCAATGATCCCCTCCCTGTGTCCATGTGTTCTCATTGTTCAACTCCCACTTTAAAGTATTTTAGAATTTTTGTTAATGAAGGTGCCAAGTATAAATGTCTTTATTTAGTCAATGATGTGCAGGCACACCTTATTTTATTGTGCTTAGCTTTACTGAGATACACAGATATTGTACTTCTTAAAAAGTGAAGGTTTCTGCCATCCCTGTGTTGAGCAAATCTGTCAGCAACATTTCTTTCCAATAGCATGTGCTCACTTCATGTCACTGTGTCACATTTTGGTCTAATTCTCTCAATATTTTAAACTTTTTAATTATTATTATATCTATTATGGTGATATGTAATCAATTATTTTTGATGTTACTATTGCAATTGTTTTGGGTGCCACAAACTGTGCCCATATAAGAAGGCAACCTTAATGAATAAATGTGTTGTGTGTTCTGACTGCTCTACCAACTGGCTCTTTCCCCATCTTTCTCCCATTGCTTTGGCTTCTGTATTCCCTGAAACACAACAACATTGAGATTAGGCCAATTAATAGCCCTAAATTGGCTGCCATGTGTTCAAGTGAAAGGAAGAGTTGCACATCCATCACTTTAAGGAAAAAAGTAGAAGTAAGTATAATGAGGAAGGCATGTCAAAAGCCAAGATAGGCCAACAGGTAGGCCTCTAGTGGCAAACAGTGAGCCACATTGTGAAAGAGCAATGACAAAGTTATTGAAGAAAATTAAAAGTGCTACTCTAGTGTTAAGAAAGTGAAACTGTCTTATTGCTGATATTAAGAATACTTTAGTGGTCTGGATAGATCAAAGTAGATACAACAGTCCCTTAAGCCAAAGTCTGATCCAGAGCAAGACCCCAGTGCTCTTCAATTCTATGAAGGCTGAGAGAAGTAAGGAAGCTTCAGAAAAATGTTTGAAGCTACCAGAAGTTGGTTCATGAGGTTGTAGGAAAGAAGCCATATTCATGATATAAAAGTGCAAGGCGAAGCATCAAGTGCTAATGTAGAAGATGTACCAAGTTATCCAGAAGATCTAGCTAAGATCATTGATGAAGGTGGCTCCTTTAAACAACAAATTTTCAAAGTAAATTAAAATAAATTGATTGAAACATGCCAACTGGGATTTTCATAGGTAGAGAGAAGTCAGTGCTTAACTTCAAAGGTCCAAGGAAAGGCTAATTCTCATGTTAGAGGTTAAAATAGCTGGTTATATTAAGTTGAAGGCAATGCTCTTTCACCATTTCAAAAATTCTACGACCCTTTGGAATGATGCTAAATCTCTGTGTTCTATAAATGGAAGAACAAAGCTTGGATGACTGCAAAACCATTTGCAACAGGTATTACTAAATACTTTAAGTCCCCTGTTGAGACCTATTGCTTTTTTAAAAAAGAGATTATTTCCAAAATATTCCTGTTCATTGAAAATACACCTAGTCAAGTAAGAGCTCTATGGAAATGTACAAGGAGATTAATGTTGTTTCCATGCCTGCTAACATATTCCTTCTTCTGCCCATGAATCAAAGAGTATTTTTGACTTTCAAGTCTTATTATTTAAGAAATATATTTTGTAAGAGTATAGTTTCCATGAATAGTGATTCATCTGATGGGTATAGGAAAAGTAAATTGAAAACTTTCGGTGAAGGCTTCACCACTGTAGATGCCATTAAAACATTTGTAATTCAGGAAGGAGGTCAAAATATTAATGTTAACAGGAGTTAGGAAAAACTTGATTCTGACCCTTATGGATAACTCATAACTCTGACAGATTTAACACTTCAGTGGAGGAAGCAATTGCAGATATAGTGAAAGAAGCAAGAGAAATAGAATTAGAAGTGAAACCTGAAGGTGTGATTGAATTGCTGCAATCTCATGGATCAGATTTGAATGGATGAGAAGTTGCTTCTTACAGATGAGCCAAAAAAGTGGTTTCTTGAGATGGAAACTATTTCTGGTAAAGATCCTGTAAACACTGTTGAAATGACAACAAAAGATTTAAAATGTTACATAAACTTAGTTGATAAAGCAGCAGGAGAGTTTGAAAGGATTGAATCAAATTTTGAAACAAATTCTACTGTGGTTAAAATGCTATCAAATAGCATAACATGCTACAGGGAAGCCTTTAGGAAAGGAAGAGTAAATTGACACAGCAAACTTTATTGTTGTTTTATGTAAATAAATTGGCTCATCCATCCAAGCTTCAGCAACCACCACCCAGATCAGTCACCAGCCATCAACAATGAGGCAAGACGTTCCACCAGCAAAAATATTATAAATCACTGAAGGCTCTGGTGATTGTCAGCATTTTTTAAGAAATAAAGCATTTTTAAATTAAGATATACACATTGTTTTGTAGACATAATGCTATTACACACTTAACAGACTACTGCATATTGTCAATATGACTTTTATATGTACTGCGAAACCATAAACTTTGTGTGACTCACTTTATTGTGATAGCTATTTTATTGTGGTGGCATGGAAACAAACTTGTAATATATCTGAGGATCTGAGGTATGCCTATAATTCTATTTAGAGAGAGAGAGAGTGTGTGTGTGTGTGTGTGTGTGTGTGTGTGTGTGTATTCCAGTCTTCCAAACAACAGTTATCAAGAAGGAACAAGATATATAGGACAGTTGTTGGAGGAAATGCAAGTGAACAAACGATAGAAAGCAGAGGTAGGTGTGGAGACTTCAGACCACAATGCAAGGTTGACCCCTTTGAAAGTAGAGAGAGGTGTAATGAGGGCTGCATAGAAAGAGCCTCTGATTAGAGTGCAGTTCTCAGAGAATTTCAACCAGGCTAATGGGGACCCTCAAAGCAAAGACTGCCCATTGACTAAGTCTTTCATTTGTCAGGAATGGTCCAGCTCCAATTTCCCTGCTTGCTTAGCCATTGGCTGAGAGCAGCCCAACATATATGTGAGGACAGTGTAAACTCTACAGCACACCTTGAAGGTGTAGCCACTGGAGAATTCCAGGTTATCAAATTCTCCCAGCAGTTCCTCCCTTTAAGCACAATCTCCGTGGCATTTTCCCATGACTGCCACAGAGACCTGGGGGTTGTATGCCCCTCTGGACTTTAGCCATGCCAGGCTGGCTGACTGATTAGTCCAGGTATAAACCCATCAGCAAGGAAACTGAATCTGGGATCACCAAGAGAATTTTAGACTGTAATCAGGACCTTATATCGTCTATTCCCCTTTATTTGGCTATGATTAAACAGCCAGATACCCAGTCCTCAGAGATGAAGAAAGCACTTCACCATTAAATCAACTGCAAACCAGTTCCATTTATACTTTTCTAACCCTATATTCCATGGGAGTCATTCTTTGCCCAACACCATATTCAACTGAGTACTTGATATTCTGTGGATATATATGTGCTTTGTCTTAGTAGACATTTCCTTGCCACTTCTCTAGTCATTGCCAGTTACTGGAGTCCTTAAGTAAATAGATTTTTGTAAGTGCATCTATATTCTCCACTGGGCCATGACGTTCAAGACAAAATAAAATCTAACTCATTTCATAGATTTTGTCCAATTACTGGAGCTAATTTTTCAAATGAAAAGAAAAATAAACAAGAAAGTTTTTAGTTTGTTTGTTAGGCACCAATATAAACCATTTCACCTTAGAATCATGATCCGCTATTTGACACTAAAGATATAAAAGTAAACATATTTTAGTCTCCAGTTTTTAAGTTCCTACATTCCGTCTGTAAAGGAGTCTTTTAAGTATACCTAATCAGAATATTCCATGCTCTTATCCTCAGCATTTAATCTACTGAAATTAGAGCTAATACTACTGAAATCTATTTTAACTGTCAATTGCAGCTTCACAAAGTGTAATGAGTTAGAGAGATGCAAAAGCAAAAGTGGCAATTGGGAACAATTTTCTGAATGAGAGGAGGAAAGTTCTTGTGTAACTCAAGTGCTGTGCATGTAATTATTGTCTTTAGAATGATTTGAATGTGCTTTTTGTGATTTAAGTTCAAGATAAGTACACAATCTTATTCCACATTAATGCAAGTAGGTTGGCAGATATATTAAGAACATTGTCAGTGTTCCATTTGAACTATTGCCATCTCTTTTGTACTTAATTTATAATCACTGACTCTTGATTTGCTACCTGAGCAGAAAAGTGTAGCACATGTAGTACCATGGATAATTCTGTTTCCTATTCAAGACTAAAGAACATATAAAGAATTTACTGTACTTATGTTTTTGAAAGAACATTGGGCAATATAAGATCAATAGCACCTGGCCAGGAGCAGTGGCTCACGCCTGTAATCCCAGCACTTTGGGAGGCCGAGGTGGGCGGATCACGAGGTCAGGAGATCGAGACCATCCTGGCTAACACAGTGAAACCCCGTCTCTACTAAAAATACAAAAAAATTAGCTGGTCGTGGTGGCGGGCGCCTGTAGTCCCAGCTACTTGGGAGGCTGAGGCAAGAGAATGGCGTGAACCCGGGAGGCGGAGCTTGCAGTGAGCCGAGATCGCGCCACTGCACTCCAGCCTGGGCGATAGAGCGACACTCCGTCTCAAAAATAAAAAAAATAAAAAGCTCAACAACACCTGGCTTTCAGGGGAAAAAATATGATAAAAAATCAATTGTCAACCAGGCACGATGGCTCATGCCTGTAATCCGAGAAATTTGTGAGGCTAAGGCAGTTGGATCACTTGAAGTCAGGAGTTTGAGAACAGCCTGGCCAATGTGGCAAAACCCCATCTCTACTAAAAAATACAAAACTTAGCTGGGTGTGATGGCATGGGCCTATAATCCCATCTACTTGGGAGGCTGAGGCAGGAGAATCGCTTGAACCCAGTAGGCAGAGGTTGCAGTCAGCTGAGATCGTGCCAATGCACTCTAGCCTGGATGACAGAGCAAGACTCCATCTCAAAAGAAACAAAACAAAATAATGCATTGTCCAAAATACATTTCTTTGTAAATATAAGAACATGTGCAATAAAGATAATCAGCCCCATGGAGTAGTGAAAGTAGCACAGTTATAGGAGTTAGAGAATTTAGACTATAATCTTAGTATTTTCATATTATTGGCAATAATTTTTGAATTTAAAGTGTTTTTGAAATCACCACTTTTTTTTTTTTTTTTTTTTTTGAGATGGAGTCTGTCTTTGTTGCCCAGGCTGGAGTGCAATGGTGCAATCTCGGCTCACTGCACCTCTGCCTCCCAGGTTCAAGTGATTCTTCTGCCTCAGCCTCCCGAGTAACTGGGACTACAAGTGCGCACCACACCTGGCTAAATTTTTGTATTTTTAGTAGAGACGGGGTTTCACCATATCGGCCAGGCCGGTCTTCAACTCCTGACCTCGTGATCTGCCCACCGCGGCCTCCCAAAGTGCTAGGATTACAGGCATAAGCCACCACGCCCTGCCTTGAAATCACTACTAAATCAATATGTTATCTTGAGATGTGCTATAATTGGCATCTTAAAGAAAATGGTTGATCCTGTCCTTTCACCTGATCTCTGTGTTGCTTTTCTGCACATGCACCAGGAAGTAAGAGATTACATTTCTAATAGATAGGTAGGCTTCATGATGCAGAGAATGTGTCTCTACTTACTACTCTATTCTCAAATATTAATCGTGTTTGGCACATTGTAGGTACTTAATAATTACTCATTTAGTAGATTCAATGTACAACTATTGCAAAAAATAAACCTATTTTAACTAGATTTTTCAGATAGCTAACGTCCCCCTCGTAAATATGCTGGAAGAAACTGATTTTCTAAAGCTCAAAAGAAAATCACTATAAAACTTAATAAAAATGGTCACTTTATATTTCTTACAACTTTTGTGGGTCAGGAATTTAGAAAAATCCTTACTAGGATTTTATGCCCTCTGCAGTAACACAGTGACTATATCTGGACTGAAAGTGGCCAGAACTGCTGCAAACTTGCAAGTATCTCTCTCAGTCTCTCTCTTAGTCTTGGTGATCCCAGTCTCGTCTTTTCTAGTAGATTATTTTTGGCATCTTCACAGCATGGTGGCCTTAGGTCAGTAGGGTGTGTATATGCTGGCTGAAGATTTCAAGAAGGAAAACTAGTGTGAATATCACCTTTTATGACCAACTCTCAGAAGTCACATAATTTCAGTTGTATCATAAAAAAAAGTTTCATTTGTAGAAAAAGTTATAAAATCCAATCCAGTTTCAAGAAGAGGTAACAAAGACCACTTCAACATTCACTGTGAGAAAGGTCAAAGAGTTTTTACACAAATTTTAAAACTACCACAGAAAATTAAGAGGCTGTATATAAAGAGGTCTTGGGTATAGTCAGCACTTAGTCATTTGACAATATATGATTAATTGAATTAAATGAGCTATGTGAATTTCTAAGGAGATCATCTATATATGACTATCCAGTCAAAATAATAAAATTAACCCAACAGTCTGTTGTAAACTTAAAGTATAAATTCCAAGCGGGATTTTTGTATAAGGGTAGAAGTTTCCTATAATTATTAGCTTAGGTGTATGATTAGATATTTTTATAATCAAGTTGATAATTGAGTAGAAGTTTCAAATATTCATCACACAAATCAGATAGTCATTTAAAAAAACCCTAAATAAATAAAAATGTGCAAAGCTGTTGTTTTGTATCTGGGGGGCCTCGGATTTCCCTTGTCTCTCTATTTTTTTTATTTATTGACCATATTATTCAGGATAAGAGAGAGCTACCAGTATACCTCAATGCTCATAATGCCATTTCCAACAAAAGAAAATTATTAGTAAGCCTCGGCTCCAATAATTACATTCTCAATAAAAATGTAAGCTGGAAGTTAATTCTGAGTTAAAAGTAATAAGACTGAATCCACTGAAACTATCATATAGTAACTCTGTGTTTAAGTGACTAAACTAATGTTTTCAAATGAGTAAGAATTATGTGCAAAAATTCTTCTCATCTAAACCAATTTATTCTAGTAATTTTTTGTTCCAATTCCCAGCCAGCAATCATGCTGAGATCAAAAGACAGACAAAAAACAAATAAAATAAAACCTCCTAAAACTGTCTCTTCTTTAAACTTGTGACACCAGCCTTCCTTCAAGGGCACCCTTGAAAACGTATACAGTAGCAAAAATTAACTTGCTGCTAAGATTGACGCATTCTATCATCCAAACCATCACAAAGAGGAAACAGTCTTCACTGAAGTCAACCCCCTAGGGCTTCTTTTTATAGGAGTTGCTGGTACACTAGAAATAATGCATACAGAAAAGGCGGGCACTGCATTTTTTTTGTTGTTTAAAGAAAAGAAATGGCACAAAAGTAATTTAATATTAAATCAAGATGGCAACATTGTATTAACTCTTCTGGTTGAACCTGCCCATGCACTGAGAAGTAAGAGATTACATGAAAGGGGTCCTTGCAAACTGAACAAAAGAATAGCAACAGACAATGCTCATTTGTGATACAGCATTTATCTATTTATAGTAACAATAGCATAGGGAGAGATGGTACAGTTGGCATCATAGCTTTCATGTAAAAGATTTTGAATGACGAGAGGGATAAAGTGATACAAAGTCTGTATTTCTTTATATCTGAAATCCTGCAGAAGTCCTAACACTATTCCCAATAGCTTGATTCTGAGTCCTTTAAATATTTGACATTTATATTTTCCTCAAAGATTATCTGAAGATACACTAGTGGAGGGATTTAAGCTATATATATAAAATCAGATAAAAATCTGATTATTTAGCATTGTATAGGCAGAACAGATTAGGGGCTGATATTCAACATATTGTTTTATTATCTCAGAGAAACTCTTACTTTCCCTTTTAAAATATGGCAAGCTTGAAATTAATAATTATGCATTTTCAAGAAAAGGAAAATGTAGTTTTACAGAGCAACCAAGAAAAGTAGGTAATTCCTAGCCACACTTTATATATTAGCTGTTTTAAGAAATTTAGGGGAAAAAATTACTCATACCTGTCATTAGATAGTTACCAGTGCTTTGCTCAATGGGAAGGACAGAGTAAACTGCAGTCCTATAAGCCATTTACTCTGTATCTGGCACTGGGCAACCAAAAGAAATGAAGAACCTCAACTACATCTCCTCATAAACATACTAATGTAATAACCCCCCACCCTGCCTTTTCCCACCAGATCTCCTGGTCAAAGTGCTAATGTTATTTACTAGTGGACACTGGACAATTATCAGAGTTACAATCAGTTAAATGTTTTAAGCAGCTTTTACCAGATATGATTAGATACTTTATCTGTAAGTCAACTTGGAAGTTATGAGTTTGCAGGGAATGGCTGGCTGGAGCCTGGAAGCTAGTCAAGTAAGCTGTGTATTAGTTGGGCATAGCTGGGCATGCCTGTGGTCCCAGGTACTAGGGACACTGAGGGAGGAGCATAAGTTGAGCCTGGGAGGTTGAAGCTGCAGTGAGTCAATGATTGCACTACTGCACTGGAACCTGGGGGACCGGGCAAGACCCTGTCTCAAAAAATAAAAAATAAAAAGCTGCAGTGAGTCAATGATTGCACTACTGCACTGGAACCTGGGGGACAGAGCAAGACCCTGTCTCAAAAAATAAAAAATAAAAAAAGTACACTGTGTAATTAATGGATTATAGAACAAGAATGTTTCAAAACCTTCAGCACTCCCTCTGTGTGATTGATCCCTCTCCATACATTTCTCAAGAAACACATCTCTTAAACCTAAAATTAAAATAGTTCTGAATCTGGGAGCAAAGGTGCATTTTTGATTAGTCTCAGACTGCTGTAAGAAGACAGTATTTCTCCTGATCTAGGGACTGCTTGTCTCTTTTGAATTATTAGTCAAGTTTAGCATTGGGTAAATCTATTACTCATGAATGTGTGATATACAAATAAACAATATGTCAATATTATAAAAAGAGGTAAATATTAAATAACCTAGTTAAAAACCTGCCCAGCATTCTGACTGTTGAACTAAGCTCAGTCTCCTATACATCATGTTGACCTTAGCACACAAAGGTAGAATTCTTTATTTGCACACAGTTCTTTAGACAACAAACTATGAAACCAGACTTCAATGCAAAATATAAATTCTCTTGCTAAAAGTTAATCAAAAATTGTCATAGTTGATCCTTTGATTGATAATATTAACTTATATTGAGATATGATTTTATAAACTTTTAAGTGAATCAAATAATATTATCTACACTTTTTTATCTTGTGATATTTAAATGCTTTAATGAAACAATTACTAAAATTTGGAAAAGCTGATCTTAACCAAATGGGGAGAAATAGGTCAACATAAGAAGAAGCAGCAATAGATTTAGCACCTCTGGCATAAAACATTACTATCATTAGAACACTATTAAAAACCATATTTGTATTTTGGCCTTGGGGCTTTATTTCTTCGGATAAAAATACTTAATAAAGATAAAAGAAATAATTCAATGGAAGCTTTAGGCAATCTATAAGAATGTGGGTTACAATTACTTTTTTTCTATTTGGAGTACATTTCATTATTATATCTCATTTTTCCCCAAAATGTTATAGTCTTTGGTGCAGAATCATTTTAAATTAAAACCAAAACGCGAAAGCAAAACATAAAAACACTTCATTCCACTTAAAATATAAATGAAAGGAACATTTTGTTTCCTGCTTTTTGGTATTATAATCTATTTATTGAATCCCTAATGATAAATGTCATACCCCATCCTAGGCTCTGAGGATACAAATATAAACTAATTAGACCCATTATCTTCTTTGAAAGGCTTTATGGTCCAGTAGAAGGGACATAATGGAAATAAAAACTGATAAATGCAAAAAAATATGTAATTGCTGACTATATTTGATGATATAAAAGAAAAAAGCTCTCTGAAAAAGATTAAGGTAGATACTGTATCCACTTTATTTAATGTTTTTAGAGAAAATCCTCTGAATGGTGACTATTGTTAAGTATGAACATAAGCTCACTTATTTTTATTCAATACAAACTGAATTGAGTTGCTTTCTCTGTTTGTGGAGATTAATAATCTAGCACCTAAAAATCTGTTAAAAATATATCCAAAGGATTTTAATAGGACATTTTTGTGAGAAGTCTGACATAGAACACAAACTATTTAATTTTTATAGGTTGAGAAATATCAATAAATATTGGACTCAAAGTTTTTCAAGGGCAAGGCCAATATCTTATTAATTTTGTTCTTCTGGTATTAGCTTAGTGCTAATTCTCAATATGAAACCATGGAGGCAATTCTACCATAGAACTAATCAGCAAGTTCTGATTGTTACCCTTCTCTAATAAAAGTTTTACCTTTTAATATACTTTAAATATAGGTGATATTTCTCTGCTTGCAATGAATATAATAATTCAATTATCGTAAACTACTTCACTCTATGAGAAAGTTAAAAATATTTGAAAATTATATTTACACTTTTGCATATGCCATTTTAATGTAGTACTCATTGCACCTCCCAGCAGCAATCGAAATGATTTGGTCACTAAGGACTGTGTTGTTTCATAGAAAAATGTTTAAATAATAGCTCACTGCCCCCTGAAAAATAGAACAGCAATGTTCCCACCCAAATATCATGTCGAATTGGAGGAGGGGCCTGATGGGAGGTGATTGGATCATGGGGCCAGATTTCCCCCTTGCTGTTCTCATGATAGTGAATGAGTTCTCACAAGATTTGATTGTTTAAAAGTGTGTGGCACTTCCCCCTTATCTTTTTCTCTCCTGCTGCCATGTAAAAAGGGACGTTTACTTCCCCTTCACCATTCGCATGATTGTAAGTTTCCTGAGTCCTCCACAGCCATGTGTAACTGTGAGTCAACAAAACCTATTGTCTTCGTAAATTACCCAGTTTCAGGTAGTTCTTTGTAGCAGTGTGAAAATGGACTAATACAGAAAATTTGTACTAGGAGTCGGGCACTGCTATAAAGATACCTGAAAATGTGGAAGTGACTTTGGAACTGGGTAGCAGGCAGAGGTTGGAACAGTTTGGAGAGCTCAAAGAAGACAGGGAGATGAGTGAAAGTTTGGAACTTCCTAGAGACTTGTTGAATGGTTGTTATCAAAATGTTAATAGTGATATGGACAGTGAAATCCAGGCTGAGGTGGTCCCATAGGAGATGAGGAACTTGTTGGGAACTGAAGTAGTCACTTTTGCTATGCTTTAGCAAAGAGACAGGTGGCATTTTGCCCCCTCCTAGAGATCTGTGGAACTTTGAATTTAAGAGAGATGATTTAAGGTATCTGGAAGAAGAAATTTCTAAGCGGCAAAGCATTGAAGAAGTAACCTGACTGTTTCTAAGAGTGTACACTCAAATGCATGAAGAAAGAGATGGTCTGAAATTAGAACTTATATTTAAAAGAAATAAAAGTTTAGCAAATTTGCAGCTCATCCATGCAGTAGAAAAGAAAAACCCATTTTTCTGGGGAGAAATTCAAGCCTGCTGCAGAAATTTGCATACATAACAAGGAGCTGAATGTTAATAGCCAAGAATATGGAAATATGTCTCCAGGGCATTTCAGAGATTTTTACAGCAGCCCCTCCCAACACAGGCTTGGAGTCCTAAGAGGCAAAAATTGTTTCGTGGGCCAAGCCCAGGGCCCTGATGCTCTGTACAGCCTCAAGAAATGGCACCCTCTGCCCCAGCCTCTCCAGTTCCAGCCATGGCTTAAAGGGGCCAAGGTACAGCTTGGGCCATGGCTTCAGAGGGCACCAGCCCCAAGCCTTGGCAGCTACCACAATGTGTTGGACCTGTAAGTGCACAGAAGGCAAGAGCTGAGGTTTGGGAACTTCCACCTAGATTTCAGAGAATGTATGGAAATGCTTGGATGTCATGGCAGAAGTCTGCTGCAGGGGTAGAGCCTTCATGAAGACCCTCTACTAGGACAGTGCAAAGGGAAAATGTGGGGTTGGAGCCCCCACACTTAGTCCCCACTGGGTCACTGCCTAGTGGAGCTGTGAGAAGAGGGCCACTGTCCTTCAGATCCCAGAATGCTAGCTCCACCAACAGCTTGCACCATGTGCCTGGAAAAGCTGCAGGCACTCAACACCAGCTCTGAAAGCAGACAGGGGATCTGTACCCTGCAGAGCAATAAAGGCAGAGCTGCTCAAGGCTGTGGGACCATACCCCTCACACCAGTATTCTCCGGATGTGATTCATGGGGTCAAAGAACATCATTTTGAAGCTTTAAGATGTAACAACTGTCCTGCCAAGTTTTGAACTTGCTTGGGACCAGTTTCCCCTTTCTTTTATCCAATTTCTCCCTCGTGAAATGAGAGTATTTACCCAATGCCTGTACCTCCTTTGTATCTTGGAAGTAACTAATTTGTTTTTTATTTTACACACTCATAAGACAAAGGGACTTGCCTTGTCTCAGATGAGACTTTGAACTGTAGACTTTGGTGTTAATGCTGAAATGAGTTAAGACTGGAGGACTGTTGAGAAAGGATCATTGTATTTTGCAGTGTGAGAAGGACATGAAACTTGGGAGGGGCCATGGGCAGAATGATATGGTTTGGATTTTTGTCCCTGCCCAAATCTCATGTTGAATTGGAGGAGGGGCATGGTGGGAGGTGATTGTGGATCATGGGGATGGATTTCCCCCTTGCTAATCTCATGATAGTGAGTGAATACTCACAAGATCTGATTGTTTAAAAGTATCAGGATTTTTGAGATGAAATTTACTTACTCCTCATTTAAGAATCTTATCAAAAATTGCTTTCAATGTTTATATCTGAATTTTAGTAATATAAAACAAATTTTACACATTTTAACGAGAGCTTGCATGATTAAAATTAATGATAAGCAAAAATAGTTATCTGATTCTGTTCTATACAGTTCCATTTTATTATGATAAACTAAAAAATTAATGGAAAATGAAGTCCAAAACTTTATTTTCATTGCTTGACTAATGTATTTTAATTACTAAGTATGTGCACATGCATACGGACATACCATTGGCACTTTTCGGAAGAATTAAATTAAAAATTACAAAGTGCACAAGATTAAAAAATTGGGAGAAATGTACAAAACTTTTTTGTCTTTTATTTAATTTATATATCATATCACAGTTCAGCTCTGACACTGTTCCTAAGGAATCACATGGAAACAGTTATGTGCATACAAACAAAATAAATAGATTCATGAATGCAAGTAATTTATAATGATAATAGTTAAAGTTTGTTGAAGGGTTTAAATTTTTTTAAAAGTGCCTCTTGAATTTTTTATATTTTAGAATTGATTAAAAAATAAGGTCCAACAGGTAAAATTTTAATACATGAGACTTTACCGTCTTCTCCTGTAAACCCCCATAAGGCCCACAGAAAATTTTTAGACAATAACTGCATCACTCCAGCCAAACCACAGAAAACAGCAGTCCTACCCCAGTCCTCATCCTGGTGTGACGCCTACACTTTCATGTTTGTCTGACTACAGCAGGCACCTCAAACAACCTGGTGGTGTCAGAGAAGGCATATTCATTCCTGTGAGGCAGTACCAAGCCCCTCTGCCTAATGTCAGTGGAGACCAGGTGAGGAGTCTGCACTTCTGATATGGACAGGAGAGAGGGAAATACTGGGTAGAAGAGGGCAGATTCCTGGCAAAGGCCCCACCCTAAAGCCTGAAGACCTGTGACCCTAAATGAGGACAGTCATTTCTGTCTACACACCCAAAAAGTTGCCTTTTGGCCCACCACACCTTCATCCTCCCCCCATATAAACCTGAGACCTTAGCAGGCACACACACAAATGGCTGAACGTTGGGACCAGCAGATCAGCAATGGTCTAACAACGTGGCAGAGAAAGAGAGAAGAGAAGGGATGTCTGGATGCAGAGGGGAGTTCAGTGGGGGTGGTCAGAGAAGAGTCCGGTGGCTGGGCAGCCTGACACCAGGAAAAGATCACCTTCCCACTCCATCCACCCATTCTGGCTCCCCATCCATCTCGCTTTGAGCCACCTCCATCACTCAATAAAATTTTGCACTCATCCTTAAAGCCTATGTGTGGTCTGAGTCTTCCGGTACACTGGGCAAGGACCTGGGTTACAAAAGGCTGCCACACTGGTGCCTGCCCTTGCAGTAAGACAGAGGGTCCACTGAGCTGATTAACACACAAGTGGTCTGCAGATGGCAAATCTAAAAGCACTTAGTAACATGTGCCCACTTGGACCTCGGGAGTCACAGACACCACCCCCTAGACGCTGCTGTGGGGCTGGAGCCCAAAAGCGCTCCTGCAGGCCTCTCCATCTGTCATCTGCAGGCATGCTCTCCCTAGGAGTTTGAGCTGCAGGGTGACCAAGCAGGTGACACCCTGTCACACATCCCGCGAGGGGAATCACGGACCGCTCCCATTTCACTCCCACAGGTACTCAGAGGTAAAGAGACACCTTTCACCCTCCCTGTTGGGGTAGGTCAGCAGAGGAGTAGTGGAGAACCAGGGTTGTATCAAAGCAGGACTTCGGGAGAGTGAAACTCCTACACCAGCAGCAATAATGCAAATCTCCTCCCCATCTGGGTCAATGGAGGCCAAAAGTAAAACCTAGACTTCCATCAACACTGGGCAGTGATGTTAATTAACTTGCTATGAGTCATAGATAGTTTAAAAGTAAGGCAAAATGGCTACAGAAAATAAAACAATAGGACGTCCGTAATATTCCAAACAAAAATCATAATCATCCCTCATAAGTTTATTCAGTTCTATGCAATTGATTTTTGTCCCACAAAATTTTGGGTCAGCAGTCTCACGAACCTATCTGTTTTCAGACTAGAGTTTTCAGTATTCTGGGTCAATCCACTTGTATCACTAAGAGTTGTTTTTTGGTTGTGTGTGTCTGTGTTTGTTTGTTTTGTTCTGCTCGTTTTGTTTTGACAGGGTCTCATTCTATCACCCAGGCTGGAGTGCAGTAGTGCAATCTCGACCCATTGCAACCTCTGCCTCCTGGGCTCAAGTGATCCTCCCACCTCAGCCTACTGAATAATGGGGACTACAGGCATGTGTTACCATGCCTGGCTAATTTTTTTTTTTTTTTTTTTGTAGAGAGGATGGGATTTCACCCTGTCGCTCGGACTGGTTTCAAACTCCTGGACTTCAGTAATCCACCTGCCTCGGCCTCCCAAAATACTGAAATTGCAGGCATGAGCCACCGCACATGGCCTGAGAGTTGTTAAAGTGATGCTATCAGAATCCTGAGGCCAAAATCACCTGGTATAGTCATGTTACATGGGGCTCTGAGACAATCTATCTGTTAAAACCAAAGCATGTTGGCCTGCAGCTGATTGCAAGAGCTTGCAGGAAAGCATCAGAGCAAAATAAAATACTGTCTATAGATCACAAGAAACTTAAAATGTTCACGATTATATTTCCGTGATGTGCTATTTCATACAAATTGGATGACTTTTTGTAACTAGCAAAAGAACCCTGAAACTCATTTCAAAGAAATAAAGGGAACAAAAATAAATAGGTATAGTTATTGTTCCTCCAGACCTCCATTTCAAGCAGCACACTTCTTTCTCTGCACACTTGTACTGACAACCAAGAGACAATGATGGCAGCAAATCTCAGAATCCTCCAATGCTTGAATTTATGGGAATAGCCTATTCTTAATTTGATAGAATTTGGAGGAAAAATGGTGGCTCATGCTTGGACATGGCAATGAATAAAGGGCCCAGGGGTTGTTTGAGAGCTATTTTTCCATTTTGCAGAGACAATAAAACCATCTCTTTCTTTACTATCAAAAAAGGAAAGAATAATCAAAATATCTATTGAATTCTGAAGCCAATGAACACATATTTTCTTCTGACTCTAGCAAACACGCAGCCTGTAAGTTCATTTTATTGGTCAGAATCTGTAAAGAGGTTGCACAATGCTGCACTGTTTTCAACAGTGATAAGGAAGTAATGATTTCTATTGAGACTTTGAAATTTCTTTAGCATATCACAACTAAAAATGTGTGTGTCTATATCTATATGTGTATATACATTATTTAGTTTTTGTGTGTGGATAGGTGCCATCATTAAAAATAATACATTCTGTTGTTTAAGTAACTTTATGACTTTTGGTAAGTTCATCTATAGAAGTCACCCAACAGGTTCTGCAAGAAAAGCTAGTTTTCAAGATAAGTCTTTAACTTTTTGTGTGTTTTTAATATAGCCCCTCTAGATGAACACAATGGATTAAACAGCAATCAATTCAAATGAAATTTATTCTCAGTCAATTATAGAATGTCTCATAAGACCTTGTATTTATATACATACCTTAGTAAATGAATCACAATATGCAATGTTTTAATAGAGTATTTCCTCGTGTGAAACAATTAATTTTAAATGAATCTTTTTTTTTTTTTTTGAGACAGAGTTTCGCTGTTGTTGCCCAGGCTGGAGTGCAATGGCGTGATCTTGGCTCACTGCAACCTCTGCTTCCCAGGTTCAAGCGATTCTCCTGCCTCGGCCTCCTGAGTAGCTGGGATTACAGGTACCTGCCACCATGCCTAACTAATGTTTTGTAAACATTTGTATACAAACTAATGTCTGTATTTGAATCTTAAAAATAAAAACAATATAGTATTCTATGGTATGCCTACAAAATGCCTACAAAATGCCATTGATTGATAAACATCAATGGCTATTGTAGATTGATTAGGAAAATAGTAAATCAAATAAAACTTTCTCATTTAAAGATATTATTTGAAGTCACAACAATCAAGATACATGGAAGAAATTACTTTTGCATCTTCTCAGATGGTGCAAATATTCTGACCTCAAACTCAGCAAGTTTTGCCTGGAACGTGTGGCTGATAAACCTAAGTGAATGAGAGCTCCATCAATGCTTTCTGTGCTATTTAGTGAAATGCTGTATAAAGTGTGAGGCCATTGGACATAAATTGTGTAGAATTCACAATGTCAGAGACTAATAAAGTCTCATTCAATTAATTTCCTAAGCTTAACAATATACAGATAGAACATAGATTGCCACTTGTTGATCTAAAGGTGAGCATGATGACAGATCCTTGAATCAGCTAATAACACTGAATATTAAGACAAGTTTACAGGAAATTGATGACATTTGTTTTTAATGTTCAAAAATAAATTTAAATTTTTAGTAGAGAATGAACATTTTTAAATATCACTTTATTTTGTATAATTGGCATATTAAAAGATGTACATATTTAATACGTTCAACTTAATGAGCTTGAAGAGAAGTATATACCTGTGAAAATATCACCACCAAGGTCATACACATATGTGTTACCTCCATTTTCTCCTACTCTCTTTTGTTATTATTATATTTGTGTATGTGTGTGGTAAGAACACTTAACATAAGATCTACTCTCTTAGAAAACTTTATACAATGCAATATTGTTAGAGATAGACACTATGCTGTGCATTAGAACTTGCATAAGTGACATTTTGTACATTATGATCATCATCTCACCATGTCCCACCCCACACATGCCTTCACCACAGCCCCTGGCAATCAGCATTCTACTCTCTGCTTCTAGTTTCACTATTGTGTATTCCACATATAGGTGAGATGATACAGGACTTGTCTTTCTGTGTCTGGCTTGTTTCACTTACTATATGGTCCTCCAAGTCCAACCATGTTGTCACAAATGGTAGAATTTCCTTCTTTTTAAAGGCCAAATTATATTCCACTTCATGTATATACACATTTTCTTTATTAATTTGTCCTTTAATGAACATTTAGGTTGATTCCATATTGTACTTATTGTGACTAATGCTGAAATGAACATGGGAATGCAAGTATCTCTGTGAGATCATTATTTCTATTCTTTAAAATAAATACCCAGAAGAGAAACTGCTGCATCATTTGGTAGTTCTGCTTTTAATTTTTTTGAGGAATCTCCCTTCACAGCTCAGTACTGTCCTCAAGATAGTGAGTTTTCATGAGATTTGATTGTTTAAAGGTGTGTGACAACACCCCTCCCACTCTCTTTTTTTCTCCTGTTGTGGCCATGTGACGCAGCTGCTCCCAGGTAGCTTTGTGCCACAATTGTAAGCTTCCTGAGGCCACCCTAGAAGCTGAGCAGATGCCAGCACCATGCTTCTATAGCATGCAGAAACATGAGCAAATTAAACCTCTTTTCATTACGAATTACCTGGCCTCAGGTATTCCTTCATAGTAATGCAAGAATGGCCTTACACACTGCACACTGTTTATGATAATGAATGCACCAGTTTATACTCCCCCCAACATCCACAATGGTTCATTTTTCTCCATTCTTCAATAATCTTTTATATTTAAAAAAATATCTATACTAACAGTTATGAGATGATATATATCTCATCATGGTTTTGATTTGCATTTCCTTGATGACTAATGATGTTGAATACCTTTTTAATATGCATGTTAGCATTTAGATGCCTTATTTGGAGAAATGTCTATCTAGGTTCTTTGCCCACTTTTAAATTGGTTTACTTATTTATCTATTTTTCCTATTGAGTTGTAGGACTTATTAGATGTATGGCTTGCAAATAATTTCTTTCATTCCTTAAGTTGACTCTTCACTGTTGATTGCTTTTTTTGGCTGTGAAGAAGCTTTGTAGCTTGATATAATCCCAATAATCTATTTTTTCATTTGTTTCCCGTGTTTTTGAGGTCATGTCCAAAAGCTCATCGCCTAGACCAATGTCAAGGAGGTTTTTTCTTATGTTTTCTTTTAGTTTTATAGCTTCAAGACTTACCTTTGAGTCTACTCCATTTTGAGTTGATATTTTTATATGGTGTGAGCTAAGGGTCTAATTTTATTGTTCTATGTGGATAGCCAGATATACTGATACCATTTATTGAGGAGACTATCCTTTTCCTTATTTGGTATTCTCAGAGCACTTGTTGAAGACCAGTTAATCTATATTTGTGGGTTTATTTCTAGACTCTTTGATCTGTTTCATTGGTTTCTGTGTTTTCCTGCCAATACGATGCTGTTTTGATTACAGCATGGTATTGGCAGAAAATAGCTTTGTAGTATATTAGCTTTGTAGTATATTTTGAAATCTGATAGTGTGATTCAGCCAGCTTTGTTCTGTTTACTCAAGATTGGTTTGCCTATTCAGGGTCTTCTAAGGTTCCTTTTGAATTTTAAGATTGTGTTTTCTATTTCTGTAAAAAATGCCTTTAAAATCTTAATAGGGATTATATTTAATCTGTAGATCACTTTGGGCAGCAATATGGTTTGGATTTGTGTCCCCAACCAAATCTCATGTTGAATTGTAATCTTCAGTGTTGGAGGTGGGACTGGTAGAAGGTGATTAAACCATGGGGGTAGATTCGTCATGAATGATTTAGCACCATCCTCCCTTGGTACTGTATACTGATAGAGTTCTCACAAAACCTAGTTGTTTAAAATTGTGTAGCACCTCCCCCTTCTCTTTCTTCTTTCTGTCCTGGCTATGCAAAGTACTGGCTCCCCCTTGGCCTTCTGCCATGATTGTAAGTTTACTGAGCACTCCCCTGGGAGCTGAGAAGATGCCAGTGTCATGCTTTCTGTACAGCCTGTGGAACTGTGAACCAAGTAAACCTCTTTTCTTTATAAATTTATCAGTCTCAGGTATTTCTCTATAGCAATATGAGAATGGACTAATACAGAAAAATAGTACTGAGGAGTTGGGCATGGCTATAAAGATACCTGAAAATGTGAAAGCAACTTTGGAACTGGGTAACAGGCAGAGGTTGGAAGAATGTGAAGGGTTAAGAAGAAGACAGGAAGATGAGAGAGAATTTGGAACTTCATAAGGACTTGTTGAATCATTGTGACCCAAATGCTAATAATGATGTGGACAGAGATGGCCGGGCTGATGAGGTCTCAGTGGAGATGAGAAAATTATTGGGAATTGGAACAAAGTTCACTTTTGCTATGCTTTAGCAAAGAACTTGGCTACATTGTGCCCCTGCTCTAGGAATCTGGGGAAAATTGAACTTGAGAGTGATGGTTTAGGTTATCCAGAAGAAGAAATTTCTAAGCAGCAAAGCATTCAAGATGTGCCCTGGGTGCATCTAACAGCCTATGCTCATATGTGTGAGAAAAGAAATGACTATTACAGGTCGTATGAAAATTTTAATGGTATTTGTTTTTCCACTCTATGAACTTGGGATATCTTTTCATTTCTAGTTGTGTCTTGTTCAACTTCTCTCATCAGTGTTTAATATTTTTCAGGTTACAGGTTGTTCCTTGGTTAAACTGGTTAAATTTTTCCTAAGTATTTCACTATTTTTGTTGCTATTATAAATGGGATTGCTTTCTTAATTTCTTTTTTGAGTTTCAATTGTTTTAATAGTCCTAATAATTTTTTGAACAGTCCCAATAAACTCCATTCAGCAGTTTAGTAGCCCTTTATATTTGAAATAATCTGAAATATTTATATTTTGAGATACTTCCAAAATGTACCTTGTTCCAGCTCACTCTGTGTAGTATGGAACTCTCAAATATTTTTGCTCTTCCAACTTTTATTTTAGGTCCAGGTGGTACATGTGCAATTTTGTTATTTGGGTAAATGGTGTGTGCTGGGGTTTTGTGTACAAATGATTTTGTCACTTAGGTAATGAGCATAGCATATGACAGGTGGTTTTTCAATTCTCACGCTCCTTTCACCCTCCACCCTCAGGTAAGTCCCAGGGTCTATTATATCCTTCTTTGTGACTATGTGCACTCAATGTTTAGCTTTCACTTACTAAACTGTGAAAAGAAGGTATTTGGTTTTCTGTTCCTACATTAACTTGCTTAAGATGTTGGCTTCCTGCTGCACCCATGCTGCTGCAAAGGACATGATTTCTTTTATAACTGCGTAATATTCCATGGTATATATGTACCACATTTTCTTTATCCAACCCACTCTTGTTAGGCTATTGTGAAAAGTGCTGCAATGAACATACAAGTGAATGCATCTTTGTGGTAGAATGTTTTATATTCCTTTGGGTACATACCCAGTAATGGGATTACTGGAGAAACCCTAGTAAATACCATTCTGGACATAGGCCTTGGCAAAGATTTCATGATGAAGATTCCAAAAGCAATTGCAACAAAAACAAAAATTAACAAATGTAGCCTAATTAAACTAAAGAGCTTCTGCACAGCAAAAGAAACTATCAATAGAGTAGATAGAAAACCTACAGAATGGGAGAAAATATTCACCAACAATGCATTTGACAAAGGTCTAATATACAGAATCTATAGGAAACTTACACAACTCAAAAAAAAGACCCCATTAAAAAGTGGGCAAAAGACATGAACAGACACTTCTCAAAAGAAGACATGTAAGCACCAACAAACAGATGAAAAAATGCTCAACATCACTGATCATCAAAGAAATGCAAATTAAAACTACCATTAAAATTAAAATGAGATACCATCTCACATAAATCAGAATGGCTTTTATTAAGAAATCAAAAAGTAACAGATGCTGATGAGGCTGCAGAGAAAAGGAAACACTTATACACTGCTGGTAGAAATGCAAATTCATTCAGCCATTGTGGAAAATGGTTTAGAAATTTTTCAAAGGAGTTAAAACAGAACTACCAAATATTTTAAATGGTATATTTTAGCAAATAGAATAATACTCTATTAAAAACAGCTTGGAAATTACTTAAAGAACTTTTGATTTGTAAAGTGGTTTGGAAATTTCTCTAAGAACTTAAAATAGAACCACCAAATATTTTAAAGGGAAGATTTTTAGCAAAGAGAATAATACTTGGCTTATAAATATGAAGTAAATGAATATAGTTCTTCCATGGGGCAAGTTTAGTAGTAAAATAGGAGGAAACTTCAAAAATATCATAGTTGTTATGAATTGAGTGACATATTTTGCTTTATTTGCCTTAAAAACTGAATTACCTTTCTTCCTATTTGAATACTCTTTATTTCTTTCTCTTGCATGATTGCCCTGGCCAGAACTTCCAAACTATGTTGAGTAAGAGTGGTAAAAGAGGGCATCCTTTTCTTGTGCCAGTTTTCAAGGGGAATGCTTCCAGCTTTTGCCCATTCAGTATGATATTGATGGTAGGTTTGTCATAAATGGCTCTTCTCATTTTGAGGTATGTTCCTTCAATACTTAGTTTATTGAGAGTTGTTAACATGAAGGGATGTTGACTTTTATTGAAAACCTTTTCTGTGACTATTGAGATAATCATGTGGTTTTGTTTTTAGTTTTGTTTATGTGATGAATTACATTTATTGATTTGCATATATCAAACCAGCCTTGCATCCTGGGGATGAAGCAGACTTGATCATGGTGGATAAGCTTTTTGATGTGCTGCTGGATTCGGTTTGCCAATATTTTGTTGAGGATTTTTGCATTGAAGTTTATCAGTGATATTGGCCTGAAGTTTTCTTTTTTGTTGTATCTCCGCCAGGTTTTGGTATCAGAATGATGCTGGCCTCATAAAATGAGGAAGCCAAACTGCCTTTGTTTGCAAATAACATGATCTTATATCTAGAAAACCCCACTGACTCAGCTCACAAGCTTCTTAAGCTGATAATCAATTTCAGCAACATCTCAGGATACAAAATCAATATGAAGAAATCACAAGCATTCCTATACACCAACAACAGATAAGCAGAGAGCCGAATCACAAATGAACTCCCATTCACAATTGCCACAATGAGAATACAATACCTAGGAATACAGATAACAAGGGAAGTGAAGGACCTCTTCAAGGAGAACTATAAGTCACTGCTCAAGGAAGTCAGAGAGGACACCAGCAGATGGAAAAACTTTCCATGCTCATGGATAGGAAGAATCAATATCATGAAAACGGCCATACTGCCCAAAGCAATTTATAGATTTGATGCTATTCCCTTTAAACTACCATTGACATCTTTCACAGAGTTAGAAAAAACTATTTTAAAATTCATATGAAACCAAAAAAGAGCTTGTATAGCCGGGACAATCCTAAGCAAAAAGAACAAAGCTGGAGACACCATGCTACCTGACTTCAAACTGTACTTCAAGGCTACAGTAACCAAAACAAGATGCTACTGGAGCAAAAACAAACACATAGACCAATGGAACAGAATAGAGAACCAAGAAATAAGGCCAGGAACCTACAACTATCTGATCTTTGACAAACTTGACAAAAACAAGCAATGCAGAAAGGATATCCTATTTAATAAAGGGTGCTGTGAGAACTGGCTAGCCATATGCAGAAAACTGAAACTGGATCTCTTCCTTACCCCTTATACAAAAATTAACTCAAAATGGTTTAAAGATTTACATGTAAAACTCAAAACCTTAATAACCTTAGAAGAAAATCTAGGCAATACCATTCAGGACATAAACATGGGCAAAGATTTTATGATGAAATCACCAGAAGCAATTGCAACAAAAGCGAAAATTAGAAAGTGAAATCTAGTTAAACTAAAGAGCTTCTGCACAGCAAAAGAAACTATCATCAGAGTGAACATACCCCCTACAGAATGGGAGAAAATTTTTGCAATCTATCCATCTGACAGATGTCTAATATCCAGAATCTACTAGGAACTTAAGCAAATTTGCAAGAAAAAAAAAAACATTCCCATTAAAAATTGGGCGAAGGATATGAACAGACACTTCTCAAAAAAAAAAAAAAAAGGCATACATGTGGCCAACAAACCTATGATAAAATTCTCTACATCACTGATCATTAGAGAAACGCAAATCAAAACCACAATGAGACACCATCTCGCACCAGTCAGAAGGGCGATTATTAAAAAGTCAAGAAACAGGGCTGGGCACAGTGGCTCACACCTGTAATCCCAACACTTTGGGAGGCTGAAGCAGGCAAATCATGAGGTCAGGAGTTAGAGACCATCCGGGCCGATATGGTGAAACCCCATCTGTACTAAAAATAAAAAGAAAATTAGCCAAGCGTGGTGGCACGCACCTGTAGTACCAGCTTTTCGGGAGGCTGAGGCAGAAGAATCACTTGAACCTGGGAGGCGGAGGTTGCAGTGAGCTGAGATCATGCCACCGCACTCCAGCCTGAGCGACAGAGCAAGAATATGTCAAAAAAAAAAAAAGTCAAAAAACAACAGATGTTGGCAAGGTTGTGGAGAAATAGGAACACTTTTACATTGTTGGTGGGAATGTAAATTAGTTCAACCATTGTGGAAGACAGTGTGGCATTGGTGGTTGCCAGGGGATGGGAGAGGGGCAAATAGGAAGTGACTATTAATGGGGTTGGAACTTACTATTGGAGTGATAAAAAGATATTCTAGAATTAGATAATGGTGACTAGCATACAACCTGTGCACATTCTGAAAGCTCTGAACTGTTCTCTTTAAAAGGATGAATTTTATGGTATGTGAATTGTATCTGCATAAAGGTCGTATAAAAGTATCTACCATGGCCAAGCAAAAATAAAAAAAATAAAACTCATTCGTTAAAAAGGCGAACAGTTTATTTCTTACTCATGCACATGTCTGTTGAGGATTACCTGGGGATCTAGGCTGACTGAAAAGCATTTATATGAAATATTGCAGGAATAAATTAAAGATAAATGGCAAAGCATACCCTGGATCTTAAGGCTTCTCCTTCAAGAAGCACAAATAACTTCCACAACCATTTCACTAAATAAAGAAGTTTCATACTGATACAAATAGAACATGTTATATATACAAATTACTGTCATAAAGCCTTTTAAATAATTGTTTGAAAAACGATGCTTAAACATTATTACCCAATACCAAGAAATTATCTAGTAAATACTCTTCAGATGAGGTAATAGAAATATGATTACATACATTTCTTACCTTTTCTTCAAGTAACCAGAGTATGTGAACATTACCTTTCCACTGCTCCTTTTAAGCAGATAACTTTCTGTTGGCAAAATCCTATTTCTGCTCCACTCAGGGGACCTACTTTGGGTCGAACATTAAAAAAGATTTAAATCTCACAGAGGGACAAAAGCAGTGTGGTAATATTTAATGTATATAAATAAATACATATTTAAAAAATAAATAGACATTATCTTTTTTTTAGTAGAGAATAAAGGGACAGTGGACCTCTTCTGATGTCTACAAATCTGATATCCTAAAATTTCCTTCTCATTATTTATTTTTAGATTAATCAAGTAATAAGATTTAATCTAGAGATAGGTTTTACCTTTGATTCTAACATTTGGAATTCTGGAGAGTAAGTTTCAAATTATCACAGCTTTTTCTTCAGTTTAGTTTAGAACTATAAATATTAAGGAAGAATAACTTATTTGCCTTTGACAGACCAATGAACTCTTGGCCAGGGAGGACATTCCCTGAAGTCGGAATCTTTGAGAAAATTGCACAGTAATGAAACCACACTGGCATACAGAAGTGTGGCAGTGATTTAAAACAAATATATGAGTGTTTTGTTTTGTTCTATCTGCAGGGAATATGGTTAAACACTTGTTTGTATTTATCCTTAGAGTTCACTATTTTTATTAGCATATGACTAGATGTGTACTTCGTTTTCTAATTCAAGATGATTTTGGTGTGCCCCTTTGATCTGCAGTCCTCTTCAAAGGCCAAGGACCTTTTCTCTGAGTATTTGTTTAATAATTGTCATTCTTTGGATGGTTAGGTACATATATGAATATCCTCTATGTCTCTTGTCTTTTATAATTTTTGATTTCTAATATTTTTGTTGCTTTCTTTGTGAGATTTCCTGTACTTGGTTTTCAGGTTATTATCTTGGGTCTCAACAATGGCAGTCCTCTCCCTTAATTCATGTACCAATTTTTTTTTCAAAATCATTGTTGAAGCTCCAGAAATGCATACACACATACACATTATACTTGAATCTTTCATTATTATTATTTTTTAATTCAGGTATTCAGCTCTTTCCTTCAGCAACAGTTTTATTTCATTGGGTATAACAGTTTGTTATAGCCAGTGTAGATATACTGCATATAGTAAAATAGACATACTATATGTATTTTGGGGGATATTCAATATTTAATATCATGCTTTACTTGAATATTGAAAAAGCTGGAGAAATGAAAGTCAAGGAAGATGCCAAAGAAAATCAGTGAATCTATAGGTAGAACATCAGGAAAATATTGAGAAACTGAGCCTGAAGTATCTAAGCAGCTTGTTCCCTAAAGCACATCAGGAAACTACAGTCATTCTCAAGAGTGCTGAGAGAATTCCTAAGATCTCTCTACATCTGTGGCAGTAAAGCACTCACCAAGAAGCTGCAATTAATACCATGGTTGCAACTGTTTCCAGAATATAATAAAACTATTTCCATCCTACCTTTATGATGTCACTTAAGTTTCTCTCATAGAGAAAATTCCACCTTCAAACTGAACAGGGAAGAGGAATCTGAAAAACACAGCTCTAAATTTCTGCTCTTAAATGTAGAGGACGTCTTAGAAAGAATGAGTGTGGTAGCAAATTAATGAAAGACAATTCAGGACTGGGCACATGGTGTAATTGTTCTACTTGTGTCTTTTCTGTCTCAGATTGCTGGAGTCTTTTCTTTTTTAGGTTGAATGCTATTTTGCTCAGTTTGCTGATTTGAGGGTCTAATCTAACTGATACATTCTTAATGACGAGGATTGTGTAACTCATGAAAGACAAAATTCTAGCTCTCTGAAATCACGTTGCATGGTGAGGTTTTGTTGCTCGTGGGATTTTGCATTCTAGATTAGTAATCAATCTTCTAGATTAGCTTCTAGATTAGTAATCAATAAGACCTTATCTTAGCAGCTAAATCAGTCTCCACCATCTCTGCCTGATCCACACAGAGCTGAATGCTCAGCTCACGCCAAGCGAGCCACATTCCTTTCTTTGAGCTCCACTCAACACTCTTGTAGACTTGTCAGCCCATGAAGAAGAAAGCTACACTGGGTCCTACCTCTGGAGCCCAAACAGCCGATGGCCTAACTCGTACCTAGTCAGCTGATGTTCCCCGTAAATGCTTGGTGCGGAGACAATTTAGAAGTTGGTGGGAAAGTGAATAGCAGTCAATTTGTCATATTCTAAGATTGACTCATGAAATATGATTTTTAGTTTTGCTGGTCAAGTATTTTTTAAAGGAAATAATATGAAGGAAAGAACTTTAAAACATTTCTAGGTATAGGGGAAGATGGCCTACTAGACGCATTTTGTTCTCACCTCCTCCACTAAGAAGAGCCAAAATAGTGAGTAGATAATCATACTTTGAATAGATCATCCAAGAGAGAACACTGGAATTCTACAGAAATGTGACAGGAAACACCTAAAGCAAGGAAGGAGAGGGAAGTGAGGGAGCCTACTTGACCAAGTTCAGGTGGGAGACAGGAGGGACTTCCACATGTGAGGGAAGGGTAAATGAAAGACCCTCAGTGGTCCACATTCTCACATGTATTTCTGTAATCTCAGTCATAAGAGAGCCTCTTGATCCCTGGGCCTTGAAACTTACATAGGCAGCTATCAGGAGATGGTGCAACAGCACTACTCCTGAGAGGGAGCTTGCACTGGGTTCCACACACTCCTGAGCAGCTACAGCAAGGCACCATTTTAGAGCCCTGCCTCCACTTGACAAGGCACTATTCTGGGACCCAATAGTTTTGAAGCTGAGGCACAAGAAAAGTACAGGCTATTCCCCCTGGAGCTGAGGCATGAGTGAGGCATGGGCCACTGTCACTGGAAGTAAGGCTTGATTGCTGCAGTGGCTGAAGCACAAGCAAGGTGCATGTTCCCCACCTGCTAATCTGGGTTGCTGCCACTGAAAGAGGTCCAATGCTCCATAGTGGCAGGGCCACAGTGTGGTCACTACCATCTTTCAACCTGAGTACTCTGCCTGAGGCCTGGGGATCATACCTTCTCTGCCCACTACGGCTAGCGCCTGCACACACCAGCAGGGGGCCTCAGGACAAGCAAGCTCAGCCTGGCTTCACACTCCTCCCATGCCATGGCACACAATCCAGGGCCAGGGGATTACCCAGCCTAGTCTGCCACTGAAGAGTGCACCTGAACACTCTTCCCACGGTCCTGAGCTTGGGCTTGTTCACTCTACCACTACCACCACAGCTGACACCTACCTAAAAGTGCCACCTACAGGCCTGGAGACTGCCCCACCCAGTCCATCACAGCCACCACCAACACCAATGTGCACTGCTTGGGATTCAGCAGGTTGTCTCACCATTGCTACTGTCATCACCCACACCATGCTAGCCACCAAAGAGCCCAGGGATCTGCCCACCTGCACGGTCCATTGCAGCCACTACTAGCATCCAAGCAAGCCATGTGGAGGCCCAAGAACTAGTCCACTTGGGACCTGCTAACACTGATCTCAGAGTATTCTACTCTGGGGCCAAAAAAACAGCCATGGTCAGTCTATTTTTGCCACCACTGGCGGCTAAAGACTGGCCTGCCAGGCATCCAAGTCCCCAGAAAACTTCACCGCAGCCTCCACTAATAAGTGCATCCTAAGCCACTGAGAAAAATAACTTATACCACTGATGCTGTTTACAGTGAAATAAATCATACATACACTATACTACTGCGTGAAACCAGAATCAAAGCCAGAAATCGCCTACCCAACCAAAACTATAGATGCATTTTAGGGAAAAAAATCTCCTCCTCTAAAAGCAAATTCAAAAACATTAAAAGAAGCAACTGTTAAAACCAGTGCATGAATATCAACATAAGAAAACTGAGAACATAAAAAAGGAAATATGATACCTCCAAAGGAATAAAGTAATGCTCCAGCAACAGATCCCAATTGAAAATAAATTTACAAAATTTTGTAAAAAAAAAAAATTAAATATTCATTTTAAACAAGTTTAGTGAAATACAAGAGAATGCTGAAAAACAATACAAATAAATCAGAAAAAACTGGGATAGGAATGAGAAATTTACCAAATACATATTAATAGAAGTGTAACAAGAACCAAATAGAAATTCTGGAGTTGAAGAACTCAGTGAATGGAATACAAAATACATATGAAAGCTTTGACAATAGATAGCATAAAGCAGAAGAAAGCATCTCAGAACTTGAGGACAGGTCTTTTGAAATAACCCAGTCAGACAAAAAAAAATAAAGAAAAAATAATTTAAAAGAATGAGCAGAGCCTTCATGATCTATAGGACACCATAAAGTGACTAATTATTCTAGTTATCTGTTTTCCCAGGGGAGTGAAGAGAAACAGAAGGGTTGGAAAACCTATTTAACAAAATAATAGATAAAAACTTATCAAAGCCAGCTAGAGATTTAGACATCAGATACAAGAAGCCCAGAGAATCCCAAACAGGTACAATGCAAAAAGGTCTTCAAGGCACATTATAATCAACTGTCTAAAGTCAAAGACAAAAAGAAAATTCTAAAAGCAATAAAAGTGTTGAGTCACCTTTAAAGGATTCCTCCATTAAACTAGCAGCAGATTTCTCAGCAGGAACCTTACAGGCAAAGTGAGAATAAAATTATATACCCAATTGTTAGGGGGTTAAAAAAACCCCGACAGCCATGGATACTATATCCAGCGAAATGATCCTTCATAAATGAAGGAGAAAGAAAATCTTGCCTAGAAAAACATAACATGAGGGAATTCATCACCACTAGACTGAACGTCCAAGAAATGCTCAAGGAAGTCCCAAATTTGGAAGTGAATGGACAACATTCACCATCATGATAACACAAGAATATATAAAACTCACTGGTAAAGGAAACACACAAATTAGGACGAGAAAGAACACAAATGGTGCCACTGCAGGAAACCATTAAATCAGAATGACGAGCAACAAAAGAAAAAGAAACAAACAAAAAATCAAATCAAAATAACTAGAAAACAATTAGCATTAGGAGAAATACCTAATGTAAATGACTAATTAATGGGTGCAGCAAGCCAACATGGCACTTGTATACATATGTAACAAACCTGCACGTTGTGCACACGTACCCTAGAACTTAAAGTATAATAATAAAAAAGGACCAAATATATATATATGAACAAAACTTCACATATCAATAATAACCTGGAACATAAATGGGTTAAATTCTCCACTTACAAGATACAGAGTGGATGAATGGAGAAACAAACAAACAAATGAACATGATCCAACTATATGCCGCCTATAGGAAATGAATTTTACATATAGAGACACATATAGACTGAAAGTAAAGTGATGAAAAAAGATATTCCATGCAAATAGAAATTGAAAGCTAATAGGAATAGTTACACTTATATCAGATAAAGTGGACTTTAATTCAAAACTAGTAAAATAAAACAAAGAAGGTTAATATATAATGATAAAAGGATTAATCTAGTAAGAGGATATAACAATTGTAAATATGTGTACATCCAATGCTGGAACACTCAGATTGATAAAGCAAATATTACTAGATGCTAAGAGAGAAATCAAATCCAATGCAGTAATAGAGGGGGACTTCAACATCCTACTCTGACCATCAGACAGATCGTGTAGGTAGGAAATGAACAGAAAAAGTTGCATTTTAAATGGATTTTAGACCAAAAAGACCTAACAGCCATCTACAGAACATTTTATCAAACAGCTACCTAATAAAATGCTTCTCAACAGCACATGAAAAATTATCCAGGATAGAACATATGTTAGGCCATAAAACAAGTCTAAAAAATTTAAAATATAAAAATAATATCAACTATCTTCTTCAACCACCACAGTGGAATAAAACTAGAAGTTAACCCCATAGAAAGTTTGGAAAATATACAAATAGATAAAAATTAAACAACATATTCTTGAATAACCACTAGGTCAATTAAGAAATTAAGATGGAAATCAACAAATTTTGAAACAAATTAAAATGGAAACAGAACACACCAAAACCTGTGGGGATGCAGCAGAAGCAGTGTTAAGAGGGTAGTTTTTAACCATAAATGCCTATCTCAAAAAAGTAGAATGATTTTTAATAAATAACCTAATGGTGTGCATCAAAATAACTAGAAAAGCAAAAATGAACCAAACCAAAAATTAGCAGAAAGAAGGAAATAATATAGAACTCTTAGGTATAGGATATATACACAAAGACTATTAACTTCAAGTCACTATATCATGCACTTGCTAGTTACATATTTAGATTTTTTAATACTTTACGATATGGTTTGGCTCTGTGTCCCCACCCAAATCTCATCTTGTATCTTCTCTAATTTCCATGTGTTGTCAGAGGGTCCTGGTGGGAGATGATTGATTCATGGGGGTGGGTCTTTCCCATGCTGTTCTCATGATAGTGAATGGGTCTTATGAGATCTGATGGTTTTAAAAATGGGAGTTTCCCTGCACAAGTTCTCTTTTTGCCTGCCACCATCCATGTAAGATGTGACTTGCTTCTCCTTGCCTCCCTCCATGATTGTGAGGCCTCCCCAGCCACGTAAAACTGAGTCCACTTAAATCTTTCTTTTTTAAATTGCCGAGTCCCGGGTATGTCTTTATCAGCAGTGTGAAAACAGACTAGTACACTTTATATAGCATCCTTTCTTTCTTTCTTTCTTTTTTTTTTTTTTTGAGGCTGAGTCTTGCTCTGTCACCCAGGCTAGAGTGTAGTGGTGTGATCTCGGCTCAGTGCAACATTCGCCTCCCAGGTTCAAGCAATTCTCCTGCCTCAGCCTCCTGAGTAGCTGGGATTACAGGCACCCACCACCACACCTGGCTAATTGTTGTATTTTTAGTAGAGACGGGGTTTCACCATCTTGGCCAGGCTGGTCTCGATCTCCTGATCTTGTGATCCACCCTCCTCGGCCTCTCAAAGTGCTGGGATTATAAGCATGAGCCACCACACCTGGCCTATATCGTATCCTTTCTAAATTACGGGAATAATTGCTAGTTATTTCTATAAAGCATGTGAATTAAAGATAATGTATTTTATTAGAAATTAGAGTATTAAAAAACAAAATTATACATTTTGGAAAAATTAAATGATGGTTATATATACACATTATTGTATTTTAAGCAGTTAGATAAAATCAAAACAGTGCTTTATACTATGTCATTTATTTTGCTTTGACTCAAAATCCTTAAATGCATAGTATTAATAGAATTATCTTTACCCAGTTTTTATTGAATGTCTACTAGAATTAAGTATATTATAGAGAAAATGTTCTAGCAATATTAAGAAACACCATGGAAATACTATCAAAATATTTCCCTAAATTTTTGCGAATAAAGAGTTAAGGAATATATTTCAAAATATTTTTACTGATTTTGCTTCTATATTGTAAAAGGCAGCTATATGCAGTAAAGATTTTTTCAATTACGGCTGACGAAATGTTTGAACTATTTACAGCCTGCAAATCTTATCTACCTCCCACCAGTGGAATTTAATGACAACTTGTCTGTTGAATTAGCTTGTTGAGTGAACAAATCCAAAATGCAACAATTATGCAAAAGCAATATCGTACATACAGTGACATTTCCATAAACAAGTACCTACTGTGACAAAATTTTTCTATTATTATTTTTGATGTTTCAGATTCAATCAACCTGGAATACTCAATTTGTAAGGTCAAGTTTTGCATGACTTTCTTTCTCATAATTGTAACAACTTGACTCTGCAATAGTCATATGGGAACTGCTTATGCCTTGGAGCTTGTTCTTAATTGTAACTAACATCTTCAAACACACAAAACAAGTCTTTCCATACTTGCAGAAAATTACTCAAGGCATGGCATTTTCTAGGCTTCAGGAGATAATAGGGTATACTAACTAGATCTCTGACTATACAGCTTGAATGATGGGGTGCAATTTCTAGCTCTTGGAAGTATAAACCAAGAGCTAGAAACACTAAAAGCCAGATAACTTTAAACACATTAGGTAACATCTTTGAGGGACAATTTTTTATTTGTAAAATACCTAGCTACTTTGAGTATCTTTGTTCTAATTTGTAAAAAATATTATTTAATATTGTTTGGTAGATTAAGTATGGTAAAATACACCAAGCATGGAGAATATAGATAGCTCTCAAGTTATCTCAGTAACAAAATTATTATTATGAATGTAATTTGTATCAAAATCTAATTGTTTAAGAAGAATTGGGGTACAGGGAATTGCTGAAAAACAAAACACTGCTTTGGGATGATGTTGGAAGGAAAGAAAGAAACCTAATATCCCTACCTGACATCTATTCTAAATAGATTTAAAATGTGTGTAAATCACTTTATGACTTTGTTTCTGATTCCTTTATATGTGATCTAAAGGGCTCAGATTAGATGATCACTTAAAATCCTTATTTTTCTGACAACCCTAAATTAAATGCACATTAGAAATTAGGCATGCAGATGATAGATGTCACATTTGACTAGAGAACGCACAGACTGTCTGTGGGAGATCGTCTTATTATTCTCTGTAAGAAATTAGTGCTGTAAGGCTGATTAGAGCAGCTGAGTATTATAAATCTCACATCAGAAATAACTCTCCTTTCATGACTGCTAATATCTACATATGCTGTTACCATAGAGACCATATAGATCTGCAGTATAGAAGATTATACCCATATATCATGACTATTCAGTCAGAAGGACTTGCCAATGCCTTCCCTTCTGGCAGTATAGTTGAGAAGCTTTCTTCCCAGATCCAAAGAGCCAGAAGTTTTGTCACTGTTCTGTCTTATACATATCAGCACAGATTATTGCTGGAAGGACACTGATTATCCTCAATCTTAAAGAGTCAATAGTTGAGTCAACAAGATCCTTGTATTAAGAATTTTTCACAATATATCACAGTGACATTTTTAATATTCAAAGGACAATTAAAAATTTTATTTTTGATAAAGTATAAAAATACAAAACCACTCTTTGTTAAATTTATCTTTTTTAAGAACAACTCTTTTGATACGTAATTAACATAACTTTCAAACTCTCATTTTACATGTACAATTCAGTCATTTGAGTATATCCACAGATTTGTGCAATCATCAGCATAATTTAATTACTGAATATTTTCATCCCTCTAAAAAGAAACCCGGTACAAAATTTCAGTCACTTTCTCATTTCTGTCTTCCCCAAGCCCCTGGAAAACAGTAAGCTACTTTCTGATTATATGTATTTACATGTAATGAACATTGCATATAAATGGAATCATATAACATATTACTTTTTGTATTTGTTTTCCTTCACTTAGCTCATTTTTAAGGTTCATCCATGTTGCAGTATTTGATATACATATATATAGACACACACATATATATACACATTTATAACTTTATAAATTTCTTACAAACGTGTTTACATTTTATGATTTTTATACATCTTCAATTTCAATATAAGGGGATATTTACCAAGTTGATGCAAATAATAGTCACCTTTTTAGAAGTGCTATTTTCTAAGCACTTTGTAACTGGTTACCAAACAAGAAAGTTATGGCCAGAATATACTCCAAGATCAACCACATGCTTGGCCATAAAGCAAATAGCAATAAATTTAAAAAATTGAAATCATACCAGCCATATTCTCAGATTACAGTGGAATAAAAATAGAAATCAACACCAAGAAGATATCTAAAAACCACACAACTATATGGAGATTAAACAATTTCCCCCTGAGTAGCTTCTGGTTAAACAATGAAACTAAGGGAGCAATCAAACAAATCCTTAAAATAAATGAAAACAGAGATACAATATACTAAAATTTCTGAGATGCAGCAAAAGCAGTATTAAGAGAAAGTTTATAGCACTTAATACATACCTCAAATAGTTAGATCTCTAACAATCTAGCATCACACCTAGAGAAACAAGAAAAATAAGAACAAATTAACTACAAATCTAGCAGAAGAAATACCTAAAACCAGAGCAGAACTGAATGAAATTGAGAACCAAAAATTCATACAAAGAATCAAAAGAACCAAAAACTGTTCAGGGTGAGTGCTTTTGGGTGCCAGCAGGAGCAAATTCCGTGTGGCCTCACAGCAGTGTCTAGGGGGCTGCCTGCTACCCCTGAAGCCTCCCAGGGTGTGTTACAGTGCTCTTTTAGCTATGCCATCTTCAGATGGCTTAAATGTTAACAGCTCAGTGGGCCCTCCTTCTACCAGCGAGGGCACAGTGTCAGTGTGACAGCCTTTTGTATCTGCATTCATGGCTCCCGAGCTCTTGTCCAGCATCCAGGAAAAATAAAGTCACAAGAACAAATTGAAGGATAGTAAGTGCAGGGGATTTTATTGCTGCTAAAGTGGCTCTCAGAGGGAAGGGGAAGTGAAAAGGGGATGGCAGGAGGGGTAGGTAATCTTCTCCTGAAGGCTGGCCATCTCTGGCCAGATATTTTATAAAAGTTACACCATCAAGCTGTCCCTCTGAAGTCAAGCTGCTTCTCTCCAATGTCCAGCTGTAGTTACCAATGTCCAGCTGCTTCTCCTCTCTGTCAGCTGAGTCTGGGATCTTTATAGGCACATGATAGAATGGGGCGGGGCCTTGCATGTTTCAGGAAAAGGAAACATTTATGTGGGAAAACAGAGATGTAAGTTCTCACTGCGGGCTGCAGTTTAAGGCTTCTTGGATAGAGGGTGGGATTTTGTCAGGACACACCCTTTTCTGCCTAGAATTTCTCTGCCTGCTGCAGCTATCAATATTAAGCACCTTTTTGTATACCTTGGGCCCTTTGTCTTCTTTTGAGAAATGTCTACTGAAGTCCTTTGCCCATTTTTAAATAAGTTATTTGGTTTATTTTTGCTTTTGAGTTGTGGAAGAAACTTAAGTATTTTGGATATTAACCCATTATCAGATAGATGATTTGCAAATATTTTCTCCCATTCTGTTGGTTGTTTTCTCACTCTATTGAGTGTTTCCTTTGCTATGCAAAAGCTTTTCAGTTCAATACAGTCAATTCTACTTGTCTATATTTATTTTGTTGCCTGGGATTTTGGTGTCAAATCAAAGAAATTATTACCAAAAGCAATGTTAAGAAGCTTTTCCTTTATGTATTTTTCATAGAATTTTTTAGATTTAGGTCTTCATTTAAGTCTTTAATCCACTTTCAGTTAATTTTTTGTGTATGGTGTAAGACAGAGTTCTGATTTTATTCTTTTGCATGTGGCAACGTAATTTTCCCAACACCATTTGTTTAAGAAAAGATTCTGTCCCCATTGTGTGTTCTTGGCACTCTTGTTGAAGATCAATTAACTGTATATGTGTGGGTTTATTTCTGGGCTCTCTATTGGCCTACATATCTGCCTTTATGCCAGTACTGTTAGTAGCATTCCTATTTTTATTTATCCGTATACTGTAATTATCCAATGCATTTTACTATTAAAACAATACAAAGTTATATTTTAGATCAATTAAGAATAAGAAAATACATATATACTTTTTACATAAAAATCTTTACCCTGGCCCAGCATGGTGGCTCACGCCTGTAATCCCAGCACTTTAGGAGGCTAAGGTGGGTGGATCACCTGAGGTCAGGAGTTCGAGACCAGCCTGACCTCACCCTCACACCTTTCTGAGTCCCCATTGTCTGTTACGTCAGTGACAGAGGCACATCATGCTACCATTTTTCAATTATATTTTCAGGGAATCAAATTGTGTTAACCTCATAGCTTTCAACAATGGTGATTTAGCGGACTCATCTTTTTTGGGTCTTCTCTAAATCAGCTATCCATCAGCTTTTCAGCTTAAAAAATTTTACTGGTTCTTGTCTTCCACTTTACTTATCCCTGTAATTTAATATTTCTAAACTATATTTTTCTATCATCGTAATGGGGGTTCAGGAGGAAATAAAGCTAGATGTAGTTGTTCAATCCTCTACCTACAACCAGGACAGCAAAATGTGGTTTTGTTTCAAAAATATAATGTGCATATATGGATATGTATGGTAATTGTAGTAAAAATTAAATAAAAGTCCTAAATAATCTTAGTAATTGGAATAATATTTTATGTGTTTATTTATATAAATTGTTATGAATATGTATTTGTAATTATAGAAATTGCATCTAGCTTTGTATAAGAAAATTTTCAACACATTTGTTAAACAATACATTTAAATGTAAGGTAAAATTATTACTTTATACAAGTCTAAAATAAACATGTGTCCTAAATTTTACTTAACTAATTAAGTGAACAAGTAAGACGTCACAACAATGTCACGGTAAAATTTAAAGAACCGCACACTTAAAAGACGAAGAAGAAATGCTAAAATGAATTTACATATGGTTGCACAGTGTGTCTTTCCATTGGGCAATAGGCAATTCAATTATATTACACACAATTAATTTGCATTTTTGGAATAATAGTGATATTGGTTAACAGATTTTAACAAATTTTAGAGCTGACATATAGCTGAAATCAAAGAAAATGTTATGTAACTATGATGTGTGTACTAGACAAGACATATGAAAGCCTTTGTCCATTTCAAGGTCATCATCACTATATAATTAATCAAATAAATGTAAATAATTTTAAAATATTATAAATCACTTTGTGTACTATGAAAGCTAAACAAATGTAAAATATAGTTTACTCAAAATATTTTAAATATTTTTCCATAAAAAAATGTTAGTTTGTGATGCAATCTCTTTTGTCTATTTTCCTTTGATGCCTGTGCTTTTGGGGCCATATCCTAGACACCAAAGTTTTTGTTCAGATCAATATCATAGACTTTTTCTTCCATGTTTTCTTCTAGTAGTTTTAAAACTTTAGGTCTTAAATTTAAGTCTTTAATCCATTTTTAGTTGATTTTTGTATACTATGTGAGAAAACGGTCCAGTTTTATTTTTTTGCCTGTGGATTTCCAGTTTTCCCCACACAAGTAATTGAAGAGACTATTCTTTTTCCATTGTATGTTCATGGCACCTTTGTCAAGAATCAATTGACCATAAATACATGGGATTTTTTTCTAAGCTCTTTACTCTCTACTATTGCTCCATGTGACTGTTTTCATGACAGTACCATGGAGATAGTACCATGGATTACTGTAGCTTTTTAATATATTCTGAATTCAGGAGGTATAATGCCTCTGGCTTTGTATTTTTTTCTCCAAATTACCTTGGGTATTCAGTCTTTTGGAATGCAAATTAATACAGGCATTATGGAATGCAGTATGGTTTTTTAGTATGGATTCTGAAAGATCCTAGAATTATCATATGATCCAGCAATCTCACTTCTGTGAATATATGCAAAGAAATTAAAATAAGTATGTCAAAGAGACATCTATACTCCCATGTTTATTACTGTATTATTCATAATAGTCAAGATATGGAATCAAACTAAATGTCCCTCAGTGGATTAATGGATAAAATGTTTTATATATATATGTATATATATATTTATATATACATATATACACACACACACAGAGTAAAATATTATTTGGCCTTAAAAAAAGAAGGAAATCCTGTTACTTGTAACAACATAGATAAACCTGAAAGATATTAAGTGAAATAAGCCAGTACCATAAAATAAATACTGCATGATCTCACTTATACATGGAAATCTAAAAATATCAGACTCACAGAAGGTGGCTGTCAGAGGTTGGGACAAGGGAGAGGGAATGAGAAGAGTTTTTCAGAGGCTACCAAGATTCTATCGGACAGGAGGAATAAGTTTTGGAGAGCTAAGTATGGTGACTATAGTTAACCATGTACTGTATATTTGAAAATTGTTAAAAGAATAGATTCCAAATGTTCTCACTACAAAAAAATGTATGTGAGGTGATAGATACATTAATTAGACTGATTTAATTACTCTACAGTGTACATGCGTGTAAATATCACATTGTACCCCACATATACAACAATTATTTGTTAGTTAAAAATAAAATTAATAGAAATAAAATGGTGAAATTAAACAATGAGAAATCTTTTACTTCATTTTCAAAAGTAAGGACCATAAAATTCAAAGTGAATATAGAAGTTGATTAAAATAGCAATTAGTCCATCATAGAACACTTAATAAAACTTGATAGGCTCATAATTAAGGTACAACTGAAAGAATTAACTAATTTAGCAAATCACACAAATAGCAGCAACTGTGTGTGTGTGTATATGTGTGTGTGTGTGTGAGTGTGTGTGTCCATGAAGAGATAGACTGTTGTGTTTGTTTCACTAAATATTGTGTCATATTACAAAACAAAAATTAGCAAAATTTTATTGTATGCAATAACATATAATAGAAATGTAACAAAAGAAGTTAGGATAAAATAATGGCTAAAAACATAGGATTTGAAACTCTAAAAATATAGCTTTGCCACCTATAATGTAAACTTTCCATGTCTCAGTTGTCTCAACTGTAAAACAGAAATATAAATTACCACCCTAGAAAATTGTTATAATTATTAAATACAACTTATTTTGACGCAATTCTAAAGGGTAAACTATAACACTTAATATATTATGAAACTTAAAGAAAACATAATAGATTAAATAAACGTCATTAAATATTGCTAAGTATTGGAAGAACTAAGAATATGTCAAAACCAACAAAACTGTGAGCGTAGACATCATTATTTAATAACTATTGTTAAAAAATAAAATGGCTGCATAAACGAGGAACTCTTACTCCTCTCCATACACTCAATTTTAGATAAATCAAACATTTATGAAAATCTTATTTTAAATGTCCATGAGAACACAGGATACAACAGTTATCCTGGTATAGAAAGAGAAATAGAAAAAATGGTGGGTTTGATCATTTGGCACATCAAATATATGCAAATATACAATAATAAAGTTTATATGTCCAATATACATAAAATATATAGATTAAACAGCTACAAAACCAAGTAATATGTCTGACAAAGTTCTAACCTGTATATGCTATTCTTTGTAGCAGTTTTCCATTCAAGTAAGCTTTAGATATGTTTGAACATGTCTTTCAAGCTAATTGAGAGGACTCTCTGTACTACCCACTAAATAACAATTTACAGGTAGCCTGAGGAACTTCTTGGTACATTTCATTCTTCAGAGGGTGGCATGGTGACTGTAATTCAATAATACCTTTTTAATGGAAGGGACAGCATGTCATTCAGATTATTTTGGAACCTTGGCTTAGTCTCATATGTAGCATAGGGAGCATAAATTCAACTGAAATTAAAACATAAAATTAGCTCTGCTAAAGTTCTACTTTGCCAGGGTCCATTATACACCATTGGTACTGTGCACCCAGTGATCATTGGGAGCACTGGAGACCAAGGTGCCCATGCAACTGCAATGCAACTTAGAAGGCATTGGTAAGACACCCTTGGTGACTGTCAGGCATATTTCTCTGAGAAAGGAATTTATAGGGGACTGAGTGACAGTAATGTCCTTTGTTATTCATTTAGATGCAACGAAACAGTAAAATGTGTGTTAATAAATGAGTTAATATGTTCCTATTTGTGCCCGAAGACTAGTACAATCTGGTTAAATTCTATATTCTAAAAGAAAAGGGATTAGGCAAATATATTATTTTCTGCAAATATTTTATGGGGAGGACGAGGAGGAAATAGGTAGATATATTATTAATATAATAATATTATAATTATATATAATTAATAATATATTAATTTCTGATATATCAGAAATTACAGATTTAAAATTAGATAAATGTATACACTTAGTAACACTTATAGAAATGCAATTAAAAGAACTCTCTAGCACAATTTCAGATTTCATTAAAGTAGCTAAAACAAATAAAAGTGATAAAAACCAATGTTGGCAAGTTTTACCAGTGACACTCAAATTTGGTTTCCTCTTTCCGGAGAGGAATTGAGTATCATGTAACAAAATCTAAAACAGGTCACATTTTTGCCAGGTGAATTTGACTGTATGTATCAGAAAAAACTCAGATTTTATTAAAAATATTGTATCCAAAGATCCAACGACAGTATTGTGTATAATATCCTAAGATCAAAACAACATGGCTGGGCATGGTGGCTCACAGATGTAATCCCAGCACTTTGGGAAGCCAAGGCAGGCGGATCATGAGGTCAGGAGATCGAGACCATCCTGGCCAACATGATGAAACTCTGTCTCTAATAAAAATACAAAAATTAGCCAGGCGTGGTGGTGCGTGCCTGTAATCTCAGCTACTTGGGAGGCTGAGGCAGGAGAATTGCTTGAACCTGGGAGGCAGAGATTGCAGTGAGCCGAGATTGCACCACTGCATTCCAGCCTGGTGACAGAGTGAGACTCTGTCTCAAAACAAAACAAAAAACAAAAACAAAAAACAAAAAAACAAAACAACTACAGAAACATACATTCCATAATTCCATGATAAACAATGGTATTCTATAAATACGAAGTCCACAAGGAAAAAAATCAATTGTATAGTGAGTTGTACCAAGCTGGTATGGTATCTATGTTAGCTGAAGGTCAGGTGGTTTTCAAAGCGTATTGAATTAATCCATAGGAATAACAATAGTATGGTGATGCTGGAATTTAAATACTGATAATTTTATTTTCTTAATATTAATCCCAAAAATGTAGTTCAGCTCCTGTGCCAGTTACCTCAGAAAACCATTTGATGGAATGGTAACTTTGTGATGCTGCTTGGTGAGGGTCATTTAGGTCCACAGCATATGCAACTAACTAAAATCAACTTAGATGCACGCTGTGAATTAAGATGTGATGTCTGTGTGTGTATTTGTTGTTTGTTTGTTTCAAAACAGGGTCACACTCTGCCACCCAGGCTGAAGTGCAATGGCACAATCTTAAACAATGCAACCAATCTCTGCCTCCTGAGGTCAAAAGATCCTCCCACCTCAGCCTCCCAAGTAGGTGGGACTGCAGCCTAGCTAATTTTTGTATTTTTGGTAGAAACGGGGTTTCACCATGTTGCCCAGGCTGCTCTCGAACTCTTGGGCTCAAACGATCTACCCATCTCAGCCTCCCAATATGCTGGGATTACAGGCATGAGCCACTGTGCCTGGCCTGCAAGAGTTATATTTTAGCAGATTTCATTATGCCTTATTTCTGAAAAGCTTCCTGCAAGGAAATAATAAAGTACTAAAGCAGCAAAGAAAAGATTTCTTCTGCTAAATCAAAATAGACAACAACCAGGCCCCTGGAACAAATGCCTCCTGCCTCCTTCCCCTATGTCCTTAGGCAGAGGTGTTCATTGGTCTGCTAATCTTCATCCAAAAAGTGGGCAAGGCTCGTTGTTTCAGAGTTAGTGTGGATAAAATAATATTTCTGGCTTTTTCATCATGTGCCATATGCTACCCTGTGATAAGACATCAAACCCAGGACAGGCAACACAGTAACTTGATACAAAAGAGGAAGACAGGTAATAGTCAGATAGCATGTCCCTCTTAAGCTGAATTCTTTAACACTTGTCAACATAGTTATGAGAAAATTGACATGTTCATTTATACCACATTAACATCTGTTGGCACAGTCCTCAGGAAAATAAAAATCAGTGTGCGGAACTAGGTGATTGTATGTGACAACGTAGCCAATATTTGTCAGCTTTAGTTATTGTCTTTTGAAGTTGTATTTCTTTTGCTGTGTGAAGTAAAGCATCATATTACACTCAGGGGATGGTGTATTTTTGTAGATACTACATTTCCAATTGGGATAAAAGTTATTGGTGACTTGAATTGTCCAGTAAGATGACTAATGTCAGAGGCCCAAAGGACATTTTGTAAAAATGACTAGAAGCCTGAGGGATCTGTTTTAATTGCACCATTCCCATTTTTATAGACATTCTGCTGGTATATGGTATCACATAATCTCTGCCCTTCTGCTTTCATGCATTCTATTCTTAGAGCTGAGGAAGGAGACCTGATCTCTTACCTGTTAAGTTCTGTTCTGTCACAGAAATGATCCAGTTCTTTCTATTCTTAGCACTAGTCTAAATAAAATACGTTTTAATTGACCAAGGTTTAGGTAACAATGTCAATGGAATGGAAAACATTGGGAGTCATAATATAGAGCCATTGACTGTAATTGTTGGTTGGGTTTCCAAATCTTTGTCAGCACAGGCAATCTTCACCAGGGAAAGCAGATAAACACATGTATATGTTGATACATACAACTTGAAGTAAAGAGACCTAGACTGAGCTGATTATTAAAAAATGTCCTAATGACATATTTTGCTCAACATATTTTTGCTAACCCCACAGAATTCACTGTGTGAAATTGCTAATCATTCATTTTAAAACATTTCTAGACGTTGACTCATGACTTCTGGAATTTGCTTTATCAAGACACTGGAAAACTATTTGAGAGGCAACATGAAGACTGCTTGGCATACTGTGTAGTGGAAGAATGACACAAATAAAATTAGACGTGGTTTCCACAATGAGTCCTTGAGATGAGGGTTTCGTACTCCAGTAGAATTCAACGAAAATATTTTCACTCATTTTGGAGTAATAAAATTAAGCACTCTTTTCAACAGGAGAGCCCCTAACTTTAATTCTGGCCTGGCGCAGTGGCTCATGCCTATAATCCCAGCACTTTGGGAAGCCAAGGCGGTGGATCACTTGAGGCCAGGAGTTCGAGACCAGCCTGGCCAACATGGTGAAACCCCATGTCTACTAAAAATACAAAAGTTAGCTTGGCGTGGTGGCACAGGCCTGTAATCCCAGCTACTCAGGAGGGTGAGGCACGAAAATCGCTTGACCCGGAGGCTGAGGTTGCAGTGAGCCAAGATCGTGCCATTGCACTCCAACCTGAGTGACAGAGCTCTGTCTCAAAAAAAAAAAAAAAAAAAAATTAAAAAAAGAGAACTTAAAATTTATAAATAAATAAGTAAATAAATAAATAAATAAATTCAAGTTGCCAAGCTCTGATAAATGACATCCACATGCAGGGCAATGGATTTTTTTACTTTAGAAGCCAATGTCCCAGTCCCATATGAAGATGCTTATTCTGAATATGATACAGTAGGGCACAAAATATAATAGGTACTTCCACGTACTGTCACTGACGTTTGATTACAGATGCATTGAATATCCTTCGTAATGAATATTTTTAAAAAGGATAGAAAATCTGTCCCTATTACTTTATTTTCAATAATGTAGTTTTCCCTGGGTTCTAGACTTTCTGCCCGGGTTACATAGCTAAGTACCAACAAAAAGAAAAAAATGTTATTCATAATCTCTAGAATAGTGACTGATTGAAATATACACACATTAACTATATTAATAAACTGATTGAAATATACACACATTAACTATATTAATAAACTGATTGAAATATCAAATAAACTGATTGAAACATCAAATAAAAATACATCTACTGAGTCCGTGCCCCTTCCACCTCTCTCTCTCTCTCTGTCTTTCTCTGTCTATCCACCTATGTATCTGTCTATGTAGATCTCTCTCTTTACATATTGATACGGGAGTGCTGGGAAGGGAAGAGCATGGTCTCTTTAAAAGATAGGGAAGCAGGGAAGGGAAGTGCTGGGTAGAGGAGGGCGTGGCCCCTGTCTAAGGCCCCACCCCCACAGACTTAAGTGAAGACCCGCATTCCTACTTTCTATCCCAAATGTTGCGTTTTCTAAGACCACTCTGGCCCGCCATACCTCCATCCTGGGCCTATAAAAATCCGAGACCCTAGCAAGACAGAAACGGAAGCTGCTGGACGACGAGATGAAAATATCGGCCAAAGAAGACAAGCCACCGGACATTGAGAGGACATCGAGGGGAGCCCCCGCTTGTCGCACGCCCTGCCACAGGGATGAGGGAACCTCTCCAGTTTCAATATGTATGTATATCTATCCACACACATATATAGCCATATATATATATTTAGCTTAACAGTCTTTAGTAGTAAATATTATTGAGAGGTGACAGCATGCTAGCTCGCTCTCGGTGCCTCCTCGGCCTCGGCGCCCACTCTGGCCGCGCTTGAGGAGCCCTTCAGCCCGCCGCTGCACCGTGGGAGCCTTTCTCTGGGCTGGCCGAGACCGGAGCCGGCTCCCTCAGCTTGCGGGGAGGTGTGGAGGGAGAGGCGCGGGCCGAAACCAGGCCTGCGCACGGCTCTTGCGGGCCAGCGCGAGTTCCGGGTGGGTGTGGTCTCGGCGGACCCCACACTCCGAGTGGCCGGCCGGCGCCACCGGCCCGCGGCAGTGAGGGGCTTAGCACCCGCGCCAGCAGCTGCGGAGGGTGCGGCGGGTTCCCCAGCAGTGCCGGCCCGCCAGCGCTGTGCTCGAATTCTCGCCGGGCCTTAGCTGCCTCCCCGGGGGGCAGGGGTTAGGACCTGCAGCCCGCCATGCCTGAGCCTCCCCCACCGCCGTGGGCTGCTGCGCCGCCGGGACCCTCACTGACTAGCGCCGCCGCAGCCTCACTGACTAGCGCCGCCGCCTGCTCTGTGGTGCCTGGTCCCATCGACCACCGAAGGGCTGAGGAGTGCGGGCGCAAGGCGCAGGACTGGCAGGCAGCTCCACCTGCGGCCTCCTGCAGGATCCACTGGGTGAAGCCAGCTGGGCTCCCGAGTCTAGAGGGGACTTGGAGAATCTTTATGTCTAGCCAAGGGGTTGTAAATACACCGATCAGCACCCTGTGTCTAGCTCAGGGTTTGTGGATGCACCAGTCAGCACTCTGTGTCTGGCTAATCTGGTGGGGACTTGGAGAATCTTTATGTGTAGCTAAGGGATTGTGAATACACCAATCAGCACTCTGTATCTAGCTCAAGGTTTGTAAATGCACCAATCAGTACTCTGTGTCTAGCTTAGGGGGTTTGTAAATACACCAATCAGCACTCTGTAGCTAGCTAATCTAGTGGGGACTTGGAGAAGTTTTGTGTCTAGCTCAGGGATTGTAAACGCACCAATCAGCAGCCTGTCAAAACAGACCAATCAGCTATCTGTAAAATGGACCAATCAGCTGTCTGTAAAATGGACCAGTCAGCAGGATGTGGTGGGGCCAGATAAGGGAATAAAAGCAGGCTGCCCAAACCAGCAGTGGCAAGCCCCTGGGGTTCCCTTCCACAGTGTGGAAGCTTTGTTCTTTTGCTCTTTGCGATGTCTTGCTGCTGCTCACTCTTTGGGTCCACACTGCCTTTATCAGCTGTAACACTCACTGCGAAGGTCTGCAGCTTCACTCCTGAAGCCAGTGAGACCAGGAACCCACCAGAAGTAAGAAACTCCGAACACATTGGAACATCAGAAGGAACAAACTCTCCCGACAGGCTGCCTTTAAGAACTGTGACACTCACTGCGAGGGTCCGCAGCTTCATTCTTGAAGTTGGTGAGACCAAGAACCCACCAATTCCGGACACATTATCATTTCCATTTCATAGAAGGAAAAAGAGAGCTTAGCAGAGTTAAGTAACATTACCATGGTCAATAAAATAGTTGTACTGAACTAATAAACAAAGTACAAGCCTGTCCAAGTACAAAGCATTGCTTTAAAATCAGGATATTATTTGTAAAGTCATTTCTCTTCTAAAGGAAGAATGATGTTAAGATTTTACAAATAATTCAGGGTCAGTATTAAAGATTCTTGGGGCCAGACGTAGTGGTTCATGCCTGTAATCCTAGCACTTTGGGAGGCCGAAGCGGGTGGATCCCCTGAGGTCAGGAGTTCGAAATGAGCCTGGCCAACATGTTGAAACCCTGTGTCTACTAAAAATACAAAAAATTAGGTGGGCGTGGTGGCAGGACCTGTAATCTCAGCTACTCAGGAAGCTGAGGCAGGAGAATCACTTGAACCCGGGAGGCGGAGGTTGCTGTGAGCCAAGATCGCGCCATTGCACTCCAGCCTGGGCAACAAGAGCTAAACTCCGTCTCAATAAATAAATAAATATATAAATAAATAAAGATTCTTGGAAGCCACTGACAGTGCACTGGTATCTTAGTGAAGAACATTTTGGTGGCACCCTCCTAGTTCTCTTGTCCAGATATAAAAACTTACTTATTTCGTGTATACAAAATAATAAGTAAAAATGTATCATATAAAAATCATATGTATTATATATGAGATATATGTCTAATATATATGTAGTAGATATAAATATCACATCTTATATTTCAATTATTATTGTATATAGCAGCAGTTCTTAGGTGACTATAGTTAATGATCTTTGAACAATATTAAACAATAGGAGACATTTTCACGTCAATAAGATATTGCATATTAAAATGCACAAGAAAACTTTAAGACAACTAAACTGTCTTCACATATGTGGATACACATATTCCAAAATATATTTTTATTTTTCAATAGCATGTAACATAAAATTGTAACATATATTTAATAGGCCCTACTTTTGCAAGATGATGTGAGTTTCTTTGCTTTGGAAAATATTCTGAATTCATCTGTGACCCTCCAGTGCTTTGTATAGTGCAATGGACTGAAAGTTTGCCCCCTAATTCATATGTTGAAAGCTTTTTCCATAATGTGACGGTATTTATAAGTGGGGCCTCTGGAAGGTAATTAGGATTAGATGAGGTCATGAGGGTGGAGCTCTTCATAATTGGGATTATGAGTGTTCTTCTTATGAAAGCCCAAAAGGAAGCTTGCCTTTCTGCCCTTCACCATGTGGCCATACAATAAGAAATCAGGGTCGGGCGAGGTGGCGCCAACGCCTGTAATCCCAGCACTTTGGGAGGCCGAGGCAGGCGGATCACCTGAGGTCGGGAGTTTGACACCAGTCTGACCAACATGGAGAAACCCCATCTCTACTGAAAATACGAAATTAGCTGGGTGTGGTGGCACATGCCTGTAATCCCACCTACTTGGGAGGCTGAGACAGGAGAATCACTTGAATCCGGGAGGCGGAGATTGCAGTGACCTGAGATCGCGCCATTGCACTCCAGCCTGGACAGCAAGAGGGGAACTCCATCTCAAAAAAAAAAAGAAAAATAAAAATAAATCATCAGTCTGCACCCGGAACTGGACTCTCACCAGAACGCTACAGTGCTGGTAGTACCCTGATCTGGAACTTTCAGCCTCCAAAACTGTGAGAAATTGATGTCTGTTGTTTATGTACCACTGAGTCTATGGTAGGTTGTTACAGTAGCCCCAACTGACTAAGACACGGTATCAGGACCCAAATTGTAATTCTCAAGTTAGCATTGGTTTAAGGTCCAAAGACTTCGCTTTGGCTTCTACTTTTTTATATTCCACAATAGTAAGGATGATTAAATTTCTTTCCTGATTTCTAACCTATACTTTATTAATAATGATAGTACAAGTAATAATTATTCAAATAGCAGCAATAGCTATAGCTAAGATTTAACAAGAGTTCACTAAAGCAAGTATTTATTAAGTACTTTATATATTATCTCATTTATATCTCCTAATAACCCTTCAAAATGCACACTATTATTGTGACTATTTTGCAGTTGAGAAGCTCAAGTTAGAATTGGCCAGAGCACAGAGCTAATACCTAATGAAACGGTGTTTTGCCTCAAATATCTTCCTATTCCTCACTTGTAGATTCATCCTTTAAGGACTGTGTTTCCCAACTGAGGGATTCAAGATCCTGTTCCATGTAGTTCATGTTTTTCAAATGTATTAAAGCTTTATTGCTGTTTTTTAAGGTAGAAATAAAATGGTATTTAAACATTTTCTCATAGAAGAAAAAGAAACAAAGAAGACAAATACTGCTTGTGTTATTTGTCATAAGAAGTCATCACCAATGGTCTTAATGAATCCATTATCCTTTGGACCTCTTACTCATTTGAATACAGCTTACAATAGTGATAATTTTGATAATTGTTATTTTTAATTGCATTCTATAATTTGCATGTATTGCTTAATTTATTCCACTATAACCACTAGTAAATTAGACATCAAAAATAAATAAAAATTCAAAATAAGTACAAATATTTTAAAATTAAATAAAACCACATACCAAAGATTGGCAAATATCCAATCTTTTTTTTTCCACTTATATAAAGTTTAGTTTAGATTCCCTCAGAAACTGTTATGTGAAGATTAAGTACAAGTATTTTATTTTGGGAATTGTTCCAGAGACAATAGTATGGAAATAGAAATACATGGCTCTTATTACTAGTACATCTGGCATTGAATAACAGTGCATTCTAAGCTCTCTATATTGTATATGGTGTGATATCAACTTTCATTGGGGATTTGGAGAAAATAGAATATACTGAGCTGAAATTAGACCTCTTTCCATTTCTGTTACCGCAGCCTCTTCATATCTCTACTATTTCTCCTTTACTCCTGACATTCAAAGTGTTTTGCATTCTATCAGTATTTCAGAATTAATTTATTTAACTGTGTTTAGTAACTTCATAACTGAACTAAAGATAGATGACAGTACCGTCGAATAAAGCAATGGAATAAATTCTGTTAAGAATAAAGAGATAGCAAATATCGAAATTGATTCATATTAGCAAGGACAATATCAAGCAAATTAGACATTTGGATTTCTTTCATGTACTTAGAATAAATAGCTCCTTTGGAGGGATAGGAGCAGAAAACAGATTTCTGGGGACGTAAGAAATAAAGGGGAGATAAGAAGCAATAATACCCTTTCAAGAAGCTTATCTATAAAGAAGAGAATATAGTACCTAGTGGAGAAATTAGGTCAAAGGAGATATTTCTGGACTTATTTTTAAAGCCTGTATTGCTTTTTATAAAACTAAAAAGAATTCTTGTTGATTGTACAATATTGAAAATCCAAATGACTTTTGGTTAATATAAGGAAATATCTTTTTTTAATCACTTAAAAATGGAAAGGGATGATTTATTAGCAAGTGAATTATCTAATGATGCTAATGATTTTTCAAATAAAAAGTCATTTCCTGAATCAAATTCCTTTCTAATTATGTAGAAATATCCTCCTGTATTGTTTGCTTGGAGCTCTTTAGCTATATATACACTAACTGTGTCTATGCTCAAACACTTCCAGTTTGTGCTACAGGTAAGTTTTTTTAAAATATTTATGTTGTTTTCTATGTGGTAGATGAGAGTTACACCTCATTTTTTAGTATTTATATAAGAGATTAACAATGTGCTCTAAGAATAACCACTGAACAGTATTTTAAAGAAAAAAAAAGTTAGACTTTATATGAAGAAGAAACACAAGTGTATATATAAAAGAGAAAACATAGAGATATTTTTCATGGTTAATTTAATTTCCAGATGAAAATGAAAAGTGCGCATATCATCAACTTCTCTTAGTACTCCACTTAAATTTTAGGTTTGTTACGTAGTATAAACATTTGTACTAAGACCTCAGTCTCAAATTCTGGGATAGAGTTTTGTTCCTCAGAGTCTACTAAACTTTTGAAAAGCTGAAAATATTTCGCACAAGGGAAACTTTTTATTTCTTAAAGATAAAATGTTGAAAACTCCATTGTTCTCTCTCCATTTATGCCTATGGTGACACAGTTTATCAATTTTTACATAGGAGGAGCTGGGATGAGTAAATAACTCAGGGCTGGTATATGATTAAATATATTTCACACTGCGAGAGGTTTTTATTTCTAATTTAAGATCATGTTGGCAAATTGCTTGAATAATATTGATCATAGTTTTCTGACCCCCAAAGTTGTTTAAAATGAGTACAAATAGAAGAGTTACTGTGATGGTAAATTGTATATGCCAACTTGATTGGGACATGGGTGTCCAGATTAAACATTATTTCTGGGTGTTTCTGTGAGCATATTTCCTGATGAAGGTAGCCTTAGAATAGGTTGGCTGAGTAAAGCAGATTTTCTTCCCCAATGTTGAAGACCATCCAGTCCACTGAGAGCCTGAACAGAACAAATAGAACAAGAGAGTGGACTTCTCTCTCTCTACCTCACTGTTGAGCTAGGACATCAATCTCCTCCTGCTCTCCACTTAGACAACATCGGTACTCTGATTTTCCTAACTATGGTGCTAGTTTTCTTGGGTCCCTAGGTTGCAGATAGCAGAGGTGGGACTTTTTAGCCTCCATAATTTTGTGAGCCAATTCCTTATAATAAATCATATATACACTCTCTCTGTATATTTGTATATGTCTTTATGTGCATTGCTTGTTTCACTTAGCCTAATGTCCTACCAGGTCATCCATGCTGTATCATATGACAGCATATTATTTTTCAAGGCTGATTATTATCCTATTATATATATGTACTACATTTTCTTTATCCATTCATCTTTATTATTATCCTATTATATATAGGTACTACATTTTCTTTATCCATTGAAGGACACTTAAGCAAATTCCATATTTTGACTATTGTGAATAATGTGGCCATGAACATGGGAGTGCAGATACCTCTGACATACTGATTTCATTTCCTTTGGGTGTATATCCAGAAGTGGGATTCCTGGGTCATGCAATGATATTGTCTTCAGAAATATGAAAAAAATTCTAAATTTATATGAAACCACAATAAAACCCAAATAGTCAAAATAATCTTGATCAAAAAGAACAAAGCTGGATACATCACACTACCTAATTGCAAAATATGCTACAAAGCTATAGTAACCAAAATAGCATGGTATTGACCTAAAAACAGACACATAGACCAATAATAGACCAATAATAATACAATAATAGACATATGGAACAGAATAAAGCATCCAGAAATAAGTGCATTTATTTTACAGCAAACTGATTTTTGACGAAGGTATCAAGAATACACAATTGGGAAAAAAAAATCTCTTCAGTAAATAGTGTTGGGGAAATTGAATATCCACATGCAGAGGAATGAAATTAGCCCATTATCTCACACCACATACAAAACACAATTCAAAATGGATTAGAGACTTAAATGAAAGACTTGAAACTGTAACATTTTGAGAAGAAAGCACAGACAAATTGTATTAGTCTGTTCTCACACTGCTATAAGGACATGGCCGAGACTGGGTAATTTATAAAGGAAAGAGGTTTCATTAACACACAGTTTTACAGGGCTGGGGAGGCCTCAGGAAACTTATGACCATGGCAGGAGGGGAAACATGATGGCAGCAAGGAGAAATGAAGAGCAAAAGGGGAAAAAGCCTCTTGAAAACCATCAGATCTTATGAGAACTCACGCACTATATCAGCAGAACAACATGAGGGTAACTGTCCCCATGATTCAATTACCTCCCAACGGATCCCTCTCACTACTTGTGGGGATTATGGGAACTACAGTTCAAGGTGAGATTTTGGTGGGGAAACAGGTAAACCATATCGGGAACATTCTTGATATTCCTGTAGGGAATAATTGTGTGGCTCTGACCCCAAAAACACAGGCAACAAAAGGAAAAACAGCAAACAGAATTGCATCAAACTAAAAAGCGACTGCACAGCACAGGAAACAATCAACAGAGTGAAGAGACAACATATATAATGGGAGAAAATATTTGCAAACTATCTATCTGATAAGGGGTCAATATTCAACATATATAAAGAACTCAAGCAACTCGGCAGCAACAAAGCAACCAGATGAAAAATTAGCCAAAGGACCTGAATAGATGTTTCTCCAAAAAGGCATCCAGATAGCCAACATGTATATATGTTCAACACAATCATCAGGGAAATACAAATCAAAACCACAATAAGATGTCACCTCACACCTGTTAGAATGGCTTTTATCAAAAAGGCAAAAGATAAGTTTTGGCAAGGATGTGGAGAAAAGGGAACCCTGTGCACAGTTGGTGGGAATGTGAACTAGTATAGTCATTATAGAAAAACATATGGAGGTTCCTAAAAAAAATTTTGTTATTTTAATGTTAGACAAAAGCATCTCATTTTTTATATTAGTTTTATCACATGAAAGTTGTGTAAACTTTGTGTTGGTCTCAGACCTTTGTCACTAAAATGAAGGTTAAAATGAGATGAGCCATGTAACCCCCCAGAAACAGTGTCTGACATAGAATAACCATGATGGTGAGGTGTGGGAGGAGGAGGAAAAGGTGAATTCAAGTCTGTTATGGAATACATGGTTAGAAAAGTGGCATCAGTGGTGTTGCCTTTCTTGAGAATTTAATTTCTCACGTTATATTACCTAACATTAAGTACAATGAAGTATTGGAATTCAGGAGCCATTTATGGCACTTTGAAATCCATTTTTTGTTTTCTTTCCTTTTTAATAATTCTACTGTGACATTTCTCTATTCATTAAGTGTATACGTGTCTTTCTTATGTATATTTTAAAAAGCAATCTTGAATTTTGTTGTCTGAGAGATTGGAATTTCTAGTTTTATTTTTCACTTGTATTCATATTTGGCTTTATTACCATTTTTTTTTTCTTGAGACAGAGCTTCACTCTGTTGCCCAGGCTGAAGTGCAGTGGTGTGATCTCAGCTCACTGCAACCTCTGCCTCCTGGGTTCAAGTGATTCTCCTCCCTCAGCCTCCCAAGTAGCTGGGACTACAGATCTGTACCACCATGCCTGGCTAATTTTTGTATTTTTAGTAGAGATGGGATTTTGCCATGTTGGCCAGGCTGGTCTTGAACTCCTGACCTCAAGTGATCCACCCACCTCAGGCTCCCAAAATGCTGGGATTACAGGCATGAGCCACTGTGCCTAGCCTTATTACCTTTTTTAATGACTGTTGATATTACTTAATTACTTTAAAAACATTGTTTATTATATGTGTGTACATGACTGCATCTATATAAAGTTTGTGATAAAAGTTACTTTAAAAACATTTATTATATGTGTGTACATGACTACATCTATATAAAGTTTGTGATAAAAGTTATTTCCCTTAAAGAGAGTTATACAATCTTAAGACAAACCAGAGTATATTTGTTTATTTTAAACACTTCTGCAGATTGTATTTTATTATTCAAACTGTAAGAATTCATTTCCCAATGCATATCTGAAAATTATTGAGGCATTCATTTTTGTATTTCAAAACACAGTATACTTTTATTATTTGTAATGTTCTCCTCTTCTCTTCTGTTTTATACTAAGACAATTTAATTGTTGGTTGCTTTATATATTTTGTTTTGCTTTCCCTTTTTTCATAGAAAGCTTTATTTTCCAAAGTGTTTAGAGTTCAAGGTACTAATTATTTTTTTATTTTAAGAGATGTTACTTCATTTTTTTCCTTCCCTTTTACTCTGTGTTTTCATTGTTGCTCAGAAAATGAAAACAAATATAGTAGGATTGCTGTATTTGGGTCTATATGAATAATGAATTTGTGATGTACTTAATCTGTGAGGCCATACATAGTAACTTTAATGCAGTCAACTTAGTGAAAATTAGTGCTGTAGATACTTTTCATACATTATTTTATTTAATCATTAAAGTGGCATCATTATTCCCACTAAAAGAAAAGTAGGAATGTGAGTAAACTTACTAAGGTTAAATAGTATTCCCAGCAACAAATAGTTAAGGGAAGGGTTGGAGTTTCTAACCTGTATCTGTCCTATTCTAAAGATGGTCCCCTCCCCTCAACCAACCTTGACAGTCCATTCTTTCCTTTCAACTGTGTATTTGCTTATTTCATTGATTTTCCAACTTCCTTAAACATTTAATGTCCTCGTTATAGGACTCATAATTATCCATGCTTATGTAACTTTTAATTACAGCTTATTAACTTCCTTCCCCATAAATGATTTAAATGTGTCTATAATACTGAAAAGTATCATTTTTAAATTAAAATATTTTAACTCCCACATTTATTTGCCACTTTTTCACTCCACGCTTGTTTAATTTTTAGCTTGTTACACTTGAGAATATTTTGAAATTGATACATTCTTATTTTAGTGTCATTTTCTTTCTAAATAAAATGGAAAAAATATATATTAGACTTTCCCTGCTTTGCAGTCAGCCCATTTTCTCCACAGTCTTGATTTCTTTTCCAGTTCGTCTGTAGGATAAATTCTGCTGTTCTTAAAGTTCACAAAACCTTCCCTGCCAGGATTTGAATGATGGCCCTTCGGCTCATCCCACTAAGCTTTCCCCCACAGTGGCTCATGCACCAGAAGCCCACAGTGAGTTCCTTCCCCTTGCATGTGCTCCACTTTTTCTACATTTTTTTCTTTCTTTTACTTTTTGTTCCTCTGGCCTTTTTGCCTTCCTGTGCCCGAGACAAAGAGGATTTTCTTGTTGTCTTTCTACTTCCCCTTTTGTATTTCCTTCTCTCCATTTCACATCAAACTTTCATGTTTCCCCATCTTCTCTGTTCATAGTTAAGATTTTCACCTTGCTGATTTCATGGGATTAACAGTGAGCAATATTTTCTGAGTAATCTTAAAGAAGTTCTATAACAACAATTTATTTTCATTGTTTTTTCAAGTTCCACTGCCAGTGTGCTCTTCCTTTTATTAAGTGAGCCAGGCCATAGACACATGAATCCAAGTGGCAGTTGGTAAAATAGTGTGTACCACAGTATTAAGTATAACTTTTCTGTGACAGGTCCTGGTGTTGGGAACATTTCTCCAGTAAACGAGGCACACTCTCAATGCAGAGACAAGCTCTCATTCAGTTTTATGCTCAAGGTGCCTAGCAGTGTCAAGCCTATGGAAATATTTGTTGAGTGAACAATGCATGAGTGGAAAAAAAAACAACAAAATCAAATCCGAGGTTTTCCTCATAAATAACCAACTATAAAGCTATCAACTAACAAATGCTTGTCCTTTTATAATTAACACCAGTATTTTTTGGGGGGCTGGGGGAGAGAGTCTACTCTGCCTTAGGATAAAATGAGCTTATTTAACTATAATTCCATTGAATCATATGGCATGACTTTATTTTAGATAATTACACAGTCCAGTGTATCTGGATATATAAAGTATCATATGAAATATTTACTAATATTTTTAAGTAAGTGTAAATTTTCATGTCAATATTTAATTTGGATAAGCTTCTAGCCATTATTCATCATGGTTTTTTTTATGCATACTTTTATAAAGCTGTGATCAGTAAAAATTCACCAATATGAGAAGATTATAATATGTTGCAAATATTGTAAAGCTGAAAATGGCAGAAAAAATAAAAATGAAATCATAAACTGAGATTTTGTTCTTAAGACAATGTGCTGTAAAGAGGAAAGGAGCAATAAAATAATAAAAATACAAAATATTTTTGTTTTATAAGTTTATTTTGGTAATTACATAAAGCTATATAAGATGGTTCTACCCGTCATTTATACAAGCCAATTCTAACGTCACCATCTGTGGAAGAGGACAGAAAAATAAAAATAAACAAATAAGCCAATTCCACCCCACACACTCGCCCCCATGCATACACATACATATACATCTTTTAGTTTTATATTAACCTGATGCCTATAACATGCCCATTAGGAAACTGGCGGATAAACAGGTTTCACATTCTGAAGTCCCAGACTACGTTAGTCAAATTGAACCCTTCAGCACTTATGCCTTTTCTGTGTTTTCTGTCATCAAACTGCTTAACTTAGTTTAAATTTTTATTTATTTTAAATAAACTATGCATACATTCTAAAAATTAAAAAGTATATACTCATATAAGCTATTGAATTAGAGTTTCTTCTAATTATTTGAGAGTTATTTTCTTTAAGGAAGAGAAAGAAAACCACAAAGCTTCACTACCGTTTTCTTGTTAGATGTTAGACTCTTTTGTGTTTGAAGAAATGGCCACTGAATGAACATTAAGCAAGGGAGGTTTATTTTTATGATTGAAAGCATAACAAAATATAGGACATAGTTTGAAGAGCACACCTTCAGTGAAAAAAGTCAGCTTTCCCTATATGTCTATAACAAGAGAGAACAACCCAGGCCTTCTCTGGCTGCAGAGGTGAGCTACCTCATGGCCCCAGGCATGCTTTGCTTTCTCCTTTCCTGATCTGCCACTTTTGTGGCTCAGCTGTTTTCTCCTTATGCTTGTGGTGCTTTATGCTTGTGATGCTGACTCACTCTAGTTCAAACTCTAAAGGGACAAGGTGGCTGACTGTATTATTTTCTCAATATTCACTATCACGACCTACCATGTCTCTTCTATGGGCCGCTCTATGGAAAAACTGCACATGCCTGCTCTCTTGACCACACCTATGTCATGCCACTTGCTTGGCCAATGTAATGTGAGTAGAAGTGGTGTATGTCATGCCCAAGTAGGTGCTTCAATAAGTCAGAATGTTGTTTACTATGTCCGTTTCCCCTCAACCAGCAGATTGACAATGTTCAAATAGAGGTTCTCTGTCAATCTGTCTCCTGAACTGAAGACACTTGGAACAAATCTACAGTCAACCACAATGGATATGTACCATGAGTAAGACATTCTTGATTGTTATTTTACACCACTGAGATTTTAGGGTGATTCTTCTATCATAGAATAATATAGCAAATCCTGATACAGAAATTCTAAGATGGCCAGGTGTGGTGGCTCACGCCTGTAATCTCAGCACTTTGGGAGGCTGAGGTGGGTGGATCCTGAGGTCAGGAGTTCAAGACCAGACTGACCAACATGGTGAAATCCTATCTCTACCAAAAATAGAAAACAAAACAAAAAAATTAGCTGGGCGTGGTGGCGCACGTCTGTAATCCCAGCCACTCTGAAGGCTGAAGCAGGAAAATTGCTTAAACCCGGAAGGCAAAGGTTGCAGTGAGCCAAGATCACACCACTGCTCTCCAGCCTGAGCAACAAGCAAGACTCCATCTCAAAACAAACAAACAAACAAACAAAAAAGAAATTATAAGATCAGTTGCCTAGCATTAACCTAAGGAATTTATCTTGGGTGGTGCTATTGTACCAACTTATGGGTTGATAGCCTATACATTGGCTACCTTTTAGTTATACAGCTATTCCTCATTTAGTCATCTGTGGCCAGCAGAGAAATTTCAGGTAGAAACAGACATGATTATCTGGTCATAAAGAATATCTCAGAGTTTTCTTTTGAAAACTTTCTTGTTCTAAAGAGGCAAGAACATAACAGCCAACATAATACAATTGGATTTTGATATATGTTTGAGTAAAAGACAAAATAATTTGGGAGCAACATTCTTGTCTAATAAAACTTGTGGCCAACTTATTTGTGAGTGGTGAGATTAAAAGTTCTTTGTTCAAAAGGCAACTTGCCTATTCAGTATTAATCCAGTGATACATGCAATGTTTTGGAAATAATTATATATATTCTAGAGAAGAAATTCAGATATTAGGACATAGGACATAGCTATAAAAAGCATTTTTAAATTTAGAAAATAAATCCCTTTATAATTCCAACTATATCCATGTGCTAAATGTCATTGTGACATAATTTTAAGTTTTACAAAATGAATTTTAAACTGTGGAGATTATAATGAAATCCTTTTTCTTCTTTGTGAAGTAAAATGTCATTGAAGTAGGTTCAATGTGACCTTTATTCAGAGTTGCAACTATTACGCTACATAAAGTGTTCAAACTATGCAGTGCCAGATGAAATTATAGCAAGTGAAATCACTAAAGCACTCCTAGAAACATTCAGACCGTTATGTGTTTATACATTTTCATTCATGTAGCCATTCATTCATTCCTCCATTTAATCAGTGAATAGTTATCGAATGTTTATTATGTGCTAAGGACTATGCTAACTATTCAGAAAGCAGCAGCAAAAAGCACACAGATCTGTTTGGAAGTTTTCCTCCTGACAAATGTCTTTAAATTAATAAGCAGTAACTAGTTATGTGCATTCCACATTCTAAGAATTTAAGACAATTAAAAGAAAATAAAACTAGCATTTTAGAAGAGTAGACCAGAATAAGAATATGTCATAAAATATTCAGAAAGTACATCATAATATAAACGCAATAGCGTTTATTTACTTTCATGTCTATGAGAAATATATTGGTTAATAGATTATATGTTCTAAATAGTACTAGTGAATATCTTAAGTGAAATGTTTTCCCTTGAATCATTTTGGAAATTACATTTTTCAGTTAGCAAATATTTTGTTATATAAAATAATTTTAGTAAATCTCAGGGTATATTAAAATATTAATATTTATCACATAATACATTATTTTAGTATTATAGGATTTCCCAAGATGACAAAAGCAGGTCTAATTTATTCCCTGAAGAAAGTAATATTTTAATATGAATGATGAAATAATATTGCATAGATTTTTAATACAAATAAGTCTATAACAAGTATTATAAGGGAAGTACAGGTAAATCATAGATAGTTTAGAGAAGAGCAAAATCACCCTTTGATGTAAGATTAGAAGATATTTTTCTCAAAGGTAACCTTTATGTTTTGCCTTATAGATAACAACAATTTCAGTAGTCATAACAAAGCATAAATGAAGAGATTAATGTAGGGTAAGATTGACAAGGCTGTAACACGAGCGTGAGAAAATGTGAATGGTTCACTTTGTCTGGAGCATAGTTTTGCGTAAAGTGCAGAACAAAGTTGAATTGACGGGAGGAACTTGATGATAGGGCACCTTAAACATTACTTTAAAGAAACTAACTCATTCCATTGGAAGTAGGGAGACAGTGATAGTTTTTTCACAGAAAGCAGGATAAGCATAAGTTTTTCACTAGAAAGTTTAATCTAACAATAGTGTGCAGAATACATTACAAATGGAAGATGGTAGCACTAGGAATAATATAAATAAAAGCAATTGAGGATCTTTAAACATTTAAAGGAGGAGATAGGAGAAAATCAAAGATATTAAACATAATGATGAAGAGAAAATACAACAGAGTAAGGCAGTAGAGAGTGGGAAAGTCAGAGATTCTTGTCAGAATAGGGAAACTCAAAATTCTTGATTTTGAATATCAAACAATTTCAAGAAATAAGTTTAACAGGTAGCTATGTCTGAATCAGAATCAAAATATGTCTTGACTTATAGAATAAAATTAATTATGCTTATCCTAAGCTTATTATTTTTTCATGAATAAGGGTTTTCCCTTGACAGTAGAACCAGATTGCTAAATATATGGACCTTAAAAAAGCTCAACATTTTAAAAAAATAAGTCATATGAGGATATCAGAAGTGTTCGTAATATGTTAAAACTGACCATGTATACAGTACACATTATTGCTTGTCCACATTTGGTAAGCATATACACACTCCATTATACTTGTTTCTCTTTTGAAAACTTTCTTGTTCTAAAGAGGCAAGAACATAACAGCCAACATAATACAATTGGATTTTGATATATGTTTGAGTAAAAGACAAAATAATTTGGGAACAACATTCTTGTCTAATAAAACTTGTGGCCAACTTATTTGTGAGTGGTGAGATTAAAAGTTCTTTGTTCAAAAGGCAACATGATTCCAGCTATTCCATTAGTCTCCATTATATTTTTCTCCTGCCTGGCCAAATATGAATAATACAAAATGATGAGTCATCTTTGTTATGAAAAGATGAATACTTTTCTAGAAAACCCCCTTTAGTACAAAATCTTATAAAATAATAATTCATTAAATGATATTTAGAAGAAACATTTTATTAAACATGCAATTTAAGCATCAAGGTCATATTTTAAGTAGCAAAGATGGTAATAAAGTGGTTGTCGAAAACTTTAAACATACCCATGTGACTTTATTTTCATCCGTTTAAAACATCAAAATAAAAGTTCATATTAGATTATCTCATATATATAGTTGTTTTTTCAAAGGCCTAAATTTAACTAATGTTTCCCATACTTACAAATACTGTTTAAACACTTTTAAACATGATTATCTGGTTGTTTATAAGATTCAGGCGAGTGGTTACTCCTGAAGAAATATTACAGTTATCCTTTACTTTATATCTGAATTAAGTCAGTATTTTACAATACAATTATTAGTCCCTTTTAATTATGGAAGTTCTCTATCTTAAGGGAAGTAAATTGTTGCCCAAGTCACTTGAGACATCCAAGGTCTGCCACGTGGGACAAAATCTCAGAATCTTGGCTGCCCTCCACTTTGGGCAAGTATTTTCTTCCTGCCTCACTTCTTTCTGCCATCTCAATTTGTGTTTTTTTAAAAGCTTCCCAACTCTGCCCTGCAATCTTGTATGGCCTTTAGAATTGCCCTATAATGTTTCTTCATCGCAACATTAAAGTATCTACTAGTTAACTTTTCCTTCCAATTTTAGGGTGCAAACACGTGCTTTAAGATAAAGGTTTTCATTGCTGTATACTTCACAGTGATTAGGGATATGGACTGTACTAAATGACGTTTACTTCACAGTGATTAGGGATATGGACTGTACTAAACGACGTTTGCTTCACACTTCTAGCCTGCCAAAAAATGGAAGAGTGCATGCCACCAAAGCCCATTTTAATGACAATTCTATAGGCTGTTTCAGATGATGGTAAATCTGTACTTTTCCTCTTGTATGATTACCTATTTCACACTTTATTAAATAAAATTTTTCTAAATAGTCCATTTCATTGTAGATACTTTTAGAAACAGAAGTCATAAAGTGCACTTTCGATGGTCATTCTGAAATAGTAGAAATGCCTGAAAGATGCATAGTTTTCTAGAGAGGAGTGGACTGTTCAAAAACAATTAAGGTGAAATAATTAAAGAGAACAGATACCTGACATAATAAAAGTCTGAATTATAAGGCTTGTAAGACTGTTCAATTACTTTGAAATACATATAGTAATCTGAGTCAAAGACTAATTAAGTGAATACAGATTAATTATATTAAGAGACAAGGATCATTTGTAGTTTGGCTAGTCAAACTTTTATGGTGGAAAATGGTAGGTAAATATACATTCTTTTTTTCCCCTTTTCTTTCTTCCTTTTTTTTCTCTTTTACTATACTATTAATGAACAACCACTTTGAAAGCTGGGAATAAAGCTAAGTAGAATAAATTTGCATTTGGAATTTAATATATATTTTAAGACACTTAAGTGTTATAAGGGGCCATTAGCTCACAATTAAAGGCAAAGATATATTTAGGGATAACTATTCATTTGTTTTCCTCAGCTATGAGTAACAAATAGCCTTTTTCAAATCAGCTCTGAGAAAAATGGCAACATTATCTCATATAGCAGGATATTCAAAGGAAGGGCCAGTGCCAGATGTGGTGAATCTGAGTCCTAGCTCTGTTTCTCAGATTTTCACCTTATTTATCATGCCAGTCTTCATTCAGTCTTATTGTTTTCATATTTGCAAGATGGCTATTAGCAGAACCTAGGGCCTTTTTTGTCTTTTCATATATAGGGTGGAAAAAAAAGGAAACTTCTCTCATAGCCAAGAGATTAAAGTTATTTCTTTATAGGGATCAAGTCAGTATAGGACTTGTACCTACCTTTAACTACTGACGTTTATCTCGAGAATATTCTCTTCTGTGTCCTGATTCAATTTAGCCTGTTTCTGTATCAATTACAGATAAGCATGATTATTTAGACGGGTCAGGACCTACCTCTGGACAGAAGGATAAAGTTAGCTTCCTGTGATTTACAAAGTCTATGTACGACACAAAGAGCCAGATTAACAAAATTGGGATTATTTTACAGAGAATAAGAAGTAACTAAATATCAGGTAAACAACCAATTATATCTACCACAGAAGGAATTTTATTTCTTCACTTTAAAACAAATACTTAAAAATGGTCAGTTGGAAACAAATTTCATAAGTTTCTGATATTTGCAAATAATTATATGTTCTCAGAAATATTTGTTTTTATTACTTAATAAATACATTTTTACTACTTAATATGTGTTGGGCACTTATAGATATTGATAATGTAACAGTAAATAACGTAACACATGTAGTCTAGCAGCGGCGTAGAAAATGTTTACGATAAAGTAATAGAGTGGGGACCACATCAGTCCATGACCTAAACCTTCTTTGCTGAACTCACTGCAGGGGGTGTACACATATTACTTATGACCCTCTTTCACATAGCCATCATGGGTGGAACCTTGGGCGAATATTCAACCTGAATATAACCACCAACTTACTCTCTTTTCAGACAGCATGGTCTTCTCCTAGAGAAGATCTAATTTAGAACATTGTCCCCCAACACTGAATTTGAAATTGATTCCTCATGTTCAGGATATTCAAAAAAGTTTTCTAAACTTTCTTTTTAAAAGTATCCAACCACGTTGATCACTTAAGAAAAAGAAGCCTTGTGCTATTAAAGAAGAATAAGGAGGAGGAAGAGGAGGAGACGGAAGAGAGGAGAAGAGAGGAGCAGGGGAAAAGCATACGGACAGAAGAACACACAAAAGACTGAGAGTTGATTCTGATGGCATTTTCTTTCTTAGGTAGTTTTTTCTAAGCTCCAGACTCATTATCATCCTTGTTTTCTACAAGCCACACTAATATCATCTTAATAAATTATTTTATTTTTTGCTGAAAAACATCTTGAGTCCTTTTCTGTAACTTGTGATGAATTAATTCCTAAATAACGTAGGTCACATGTGCTAATAACTATTGTTGTATTTGTTGTGCACTTCAGGCAGTTTACATAAATGATGGAATATTAGGTCTGAACATTTATTCAAGCCAACCATCTGGGACAATCAGTACCCTAGTCAGACATACCCACTTCAGGAGTGTTCATCTATTAATGAATCACAAAGGCCACTCTTGGGGAGATAACTGCAAGTCTTTCAGCTCTTGCTAAAATCCAAAGGAAAATAAAAGAGAATTTCAATACGTGTGGCTCTAATGTTCGGGATGAAAATGTGAACCTATCTTTCACTATATAATGTATTTTCCCAAGTACTTATTACCCCTTGAGGTAGTTATTAACACTGCTAAGAAATATTTACGACTTCTTGCCTCTATCTACATGGTGAGATTTTGTGTCCTGCTCCCTGTAATACAGGTGGATATAGCAGCAAGTTCCAGCTAAAGAATTATGAGTAAAAGTGACATGCTTCACGGCCTATCATCTCCCCCAACTTTGCCATGGACACCAACAATGCTTGGGATGATTGCTGACCTATCAACATAAATCCTTAGGAGAAGATGATGGGCTGAGTTGACAGCTAAACTCAGTATTAGGTAATTGAATGTTTCATTTGATTGTAAAAATTTAGGGTGTATTTTTAATGACGAATAAGTCACTAAATTCTACCATATTTTTCCATAGTTTGATAAGACTATCAGAGTTTTTATCTTAAGATGACTATTCACAGCACAGATGTACATATCAGTTTATCCCTGTATGATGCTTTACAATCATTTCACTGCCAACATTCAGCCAATGTCTCTATTTGTGTTTTGAAAAAACTTCACCTGTGATTAATGTGTACAACTGATTTTTGTTTATGTGTTGTTAACATTTGAGAAGTTATCCATCTATGAAAGTAATAGCACATTGAAAAGATTGGTCCTCTGAGTTTCAAATAGCAAGGGGAAAATAAATGGAGCTGTGGGAAATTTCAGGAAGGCTAAATAAACCAAATAAAGTTCAACTTCCATCTGAGTCTACTAGTCAATATTTTAAGCCATCTTCTGGATGGAAAGGAAAAGTGGAAATTTACACTATTGTACAATTGTTATTTTGTTAAATACTATCTGTACTAATAGACTAAAGGTCTCCTGTTAGGGGTGATGTGATATGTTATTAAATATAAGGGAATTAGAATGAATTATATTAAATCTACTGTGAGAATATGCCTTGTGACTTTTCAGATAAAGTCCAAAAATAATTTAAAATTTGGGATAAAGAAGAGGACGCTTATCATTGGCTTTTACTAGTTGCTTGTTAACACATGCACAAAATCATATTTACTCATTTTTCAAACATTATAAATATTTTTCCCCCTTCTCTCTTGTGTGAAGTTAAAACCGTCTCACCATGACCTTTTCAGTATTCTGTAATTTGATTTGCTTGCCATACCCACCTTGCCCTGTTTACCATCCCAGGAAGTGTGATTGGAACAGACAACCAGTCAAAATGGAGAATATTAAAAAGGTCAAAGTAGTAAAATTTACTGTCCAACTTTTCCAGGAAATAAAAGAATATTTACAGTTTAATATGTGCCTCAGATGACAGGCTGTCCAAAGAAACAAAAGTGAGCAAGATTGTATTTAGCTTATGATAGCAAATATAACAGGCAAAGGGATTCAAGAAGGTGTTATAATTAGTAGTTATCCCCATATTTATTATTTTGGATGTTTAAAAGAAAGCCTTCTTGTCGATATGTCAGAAGTAACTTTGAAACTTGAGAGGGGAAAAAGATAAAACAACTGCCTTAATTTTATAATTTTCTAACTGACAATGCATGAAATAATTCATGTTTTCACAGTTTACCAGAATTAAAATTCGTTATGTCCAATTAAATTGAAAAAATGCATACATAAGATAGAGCTGGGTCATCCATTGATGCTTATATTTTGGAGTGAGGAATTATACAGTTAACATTTATAACTAGCCAAAGTTTTATGACAAGGATTTTCAAAATTTCGTATCTCTGCTTTCTAAGTAGAAATTATATGCTTTCTATTGATATTTTTTAAATATGTATTTAATTTGCATAAGTGCATTTTATATTATTTCAAACCATAGAAGCTCAGCATAGGCTATCATAGCCTAGCATTTTATAGAGGTAAGACATTCATCCTCTTACACAGTAAGTGTTTTTTAATATTTAGTACTGTAGGTTCTCATTATTCTTTGACTAATTTGCAAATATATGGTAGCAGCCAAGATGATTTAGATCTTATTAAGACATAAAACATTAAAGAAGTTTAAAAAGAAGCATAAGCTGATAAACAATATCACCAAAAAAATAGGATAAAAAATCCTCATAAGGGCATCAATATTTGTTATTTAAAGCCTACTAATTTTTAGTTAGAATTTAAAGAAGAAGAAACAGCATTAACCAAGGTACAGTAAAAAATCTGAGAATTTTCAAATTTGAATAGAGGAAAGAGTATACTATAAGAATTTGAACTAATAGAAGCTGTCTACAAAATGTAGGCTGGGCTTGAATAGATTGTTTTCAATATCAATCTCCAGATTAAACAGCAACAACAACTAAACAAGTTTTAGTCATTTTGTAAAAAGGATTCCAGTGAAAGAACATTATCAGAAAGAAGCCAGTGTATTTTATTACCTGAAACACATAGGTAGTAGTAAATGTAGGTCAGATGTTGTGGTCCATACCAAATGGGTAAAATGAAATGCAGATAGTACTCTTTCTACTACAGAAGTAAAACTGAATGACAACCAAGTTGTATTAGGAATGCTGCCATACAAAGACCATTTTTAGAAAGTGGTGTATTTATTTTTAGAAAATCTTCAAGAAGGCGGGTGTCTTTATTAAACATACGGCTACCATCAGAAGGCAAAGATGGAGATAAGTGAACAATGCAACAAAACCAAAATTGCTGTGGGTATAAAATCTTCATTGCGGGCATAAAATAGGGAAGATAATTGAATTACTGATGCATAAAACAATAAAAACTAAGAAAAGCTTCTAGAGTGCACAGGAAGTTAATCAATTTTTTAAAAATGGAAAATAGTAACAGACAGAATGGAGTACACCTGGAACCAACCAATATTGGTTGAATAACTAGCATCTCCATAAAGAAAAGAGATAATAAGAATAAGTCCATGATTAAAAAAAAAAAAAACTAAAAGAAAAGCATTTTAGACATAAGGAAAGCCTCCATCAGCCATTGAACAATCATAAAACAAGCAAAATGCATACCAAAGCAAATCTAGATTTAAGGAATGCATTGAATAGTCAAACAAACTAATGTAAAGATAGTATGGTGTGAAATATTTTGAAAAGTGTTGAAGCAAGGAGAAAAGAAATCCCATGCAACAGGATAAAAATCAAATGAAATTCAACTGAGGATATTGAAAAGATAATTTCCAACGTGTGATTTCCAGTGAAGTTGTTTGTAATTTATAAGAACATTAAAGAAATATTGTCAGTAAATACATAATCCATCAACTTATTATTCATTAAATATGAAATAATGTTTCCAAATTACCAAAAAAAGTTTAAAGATCTCAACATAGAAAAAGTTGATAATTTTTAAAAACTACCTTGCAGAAGTAAAGCAACTGTAAATGTTAATTGCAATTATATATTTCCATGCAGGACTTCTACTAGAGTACAAAATTTTTATGACAGAAACTATGTTTTGCTTTCCTTTAGTCCTAAATTTTTAGCAGAGTATCCCTAAAAATATATTTTAAATGTTAAAAATATATACACAAGTGAAATGCAATGAAAAAAATCTGTGCACATCTGCTATTTTATATGAATTTAAAAAAAATTTTTACATTTATTTTACAAAGAGAGTAAATAAAAAAAGTCAAAGGAATTGGAGAAAATCTAAATAAGTAGAGACATATGCCAGCCATGTTTATGGAAAGGAAAATATCGTACATGTTGGAATTCTTTCCAAATTGATCTATAATTGTAAAGCAATTTTGAAGTGCATATGAATGTCTAGAAAGGGAAGAGTAAGAAAAAGCCCTCTGAATGACAGTAAAGACTGGGAATGTGAGCTATAAGGTATCAGGGTCCATAATAATTCATAATGGATTTCTCTGAAACATGGTGTACTAAATTATCAATGAAATAGAATGAGTCCAGAAATGTATATCTGCATGGACAAAATATTGATACATAATACAATTGGCCAGCCATATCATAGACCACAAGAAGGATTTTACAATAAATGGAGGTAAAATATAATTATTCATATAAAATGAAATCAATCCCCTACTTCACCTCATATATAAAAATGAATACATTCCACACAGATTAGGAAATTAAATATTCACACAAAATCTCAAATAGTGATAAATGTATTTATGAAAATGTGTTTTTTTAACACCATAGAAACACTGTTGACTCTAAAACTTGATGAGTTTGCTTAAACATAAAATAATTCAAGACACCTTAAGTAAAATGATAATTGTTGACCTTGGGGAAAAAACATAATTGAAGTTAAAAATCCAGTGGATAAATTTCATAGTAGATAAGACAGCTGTAAAGACAATGAATAATCCGGAAGACAAGTTAAATAAAATACCTGACTTAAGTATGGGAGAGGAAAAGAATGTGATTGAGCAGATGTAATGTTTGAAGAGAAAATGGCTGAAATTCAAAAAACATGAGAAACCAAAGTAGGATGAATGCAATAAACTATTCTTAGAGTCATCATAGTAAAACTACATGGAATCAAAAACAGAGAACAAATTTAGGACAGTTAAAGTGCAAGGTTATTATTTGCAATGGAACAAAAATTAGAATGATAATGGACTGAAGGAAAAAAATAGGAAGACAAATGACAATGGAATGGTATTCTGAAGTACTAAACACAAAAAAATGGCAACCATTAATTCTATACCTGATATAAATATCTTGCAAGAATAAAGGTGAAGGAAAAGCATTTTCAGGGGAAGAAAGAGAGACTTTACAAATATTGATTGCATAAATCAACAGTCCAACAACAGCACCAAAGACAATAATAATATCTAGTGAGATTTCGAAATATATAGAACCAAAATACAAAGCAAAAATAGCAAGTAATTCAAGAAGGAAGTAACCAGTTAAAATTATGTATGGTCTTTTTATTGTCCGAGAAGATCTAATAACTCTTGTTTCAATTAGACTTTGATAAGAAAGATTCATTTTTTTCAGCTCCAAGTGTTGACTGAATAAAATACAGTCATTCATTTGTCATTGTTAGGCAATTGTGTCATTCTGCCAACATCATAGAGTGTACTTCCACAGATCCAGACGTTATAGCCCACTACACACTGAGACTGTATGGTGTAGCCTATTGCATCTAGGCTGCAAACCTGTACAGTATGTTACTGTACTGACTATTGTCTACAGTTGTAACACAAGGGTAAATATTTGTGTACCTAAACATATCTAAATGTAGAAAAAGTATAGTGAAAATACAGTATCATATTCTTAGGGGAATGCTGTCGTATATGTGTCCAGTCTTGACTGAAGTGTCCTATGGGTTGCATGGCTGTAATAAGTAATTCTTGGTGTAACAAATGATCCCCAAACTTGAAACAACAAATATCTATTTCACATGGTTTCTCAGAGTTCAGAATCCAGGAGGTCATTTGGGTCGTTCTGAATTTGGGTCTTTCATGAGGGTGGCTGGGCTGCACCTTGGAATTGTAACTGGGACTGGAGTTTTCCATTTCCTAGATGGCCCATTCATATGACTGTGGCTGCAGGTTACAGAACTGATATAGGACTGCTTGGATGTCCTCAATACACTGAAGCTACTTACTTGAGAGAAAGACAATCCAATAGAAAGCATAAGGAAGAAGTAATAACGTCTTTTATTTCTGAATCTCAAGACACCACACAGTCATTTCTTCTATATTGTATTGGTTAGAAGCAAATCACATAGTACCACCCACACTTAAGGAAAGAGGAATTGGGTTCTGCCTTTTGAAGGGGAAGGCTATTAAATAATAGGTGAACATCTTTTAAAACCACCATATTCTGCTAGAAAGTCCAAATGAGAGGTCATCTACAGACACAGTTAAAGCTATTTAAGGCCAAGAATGTCTTTCAGTAAGGAATGATGTGCTCAGAATGAATTACTGAAATGGGTCAAAACTTAATAAGGCCAAAACACAAATAGCTTGTCAAGATTCAGCATGCATTACCCTTCTGCTTAGCAGACACAATCACTAGCAAGATTAAGGAAAATCCTATCACTCCGTCCATATAATATATTTTCTGGACTGTTTTCACAAGGACTGGTTAGTTTCCTTAAAGATTAAAATAAGAGCTATTTAAAATTATATGTGCTTTCATTGTAAATGTCCTACTAGCCAATCTCCTGTTTATAACATAAAGAACATACATTAAAAGTATGTTTTTGGGGGTAATAAAATGGTGTTTTATAGCAATTGTGATTACAATAACATTCTTGGTTTATACTTTATGCTCACTTTTTATGACTATGCTCACTTTTTATGACTTTACATTGGCCAAAGGAAAAAAATGCAGCTGTTTTACTAGGATTGTATTTTGATAACTTGAGCTAACGGATTTTCTACATTTTGTGCACAGAACAGAACTGATTTATGAGTAAGGATGAAAGGGTGTTCATCTTTTATTCCCCAAATACTCCTGTTCTAGCAAAATGTCAATTTAAATTGATTGGTTAGCTAGTGCAGCACACTACAGGATACAACTCAGGGAATGGTATGTTCACCTAAAGCTTGTAAAGTTAACATTTTACTAATTCTGAATACATTTTCCAAAGGTTTAAATGTGTAGTCTTTTTATTTTACATGTGTTTTTTATTGTAGTCTGTTAGTTAAAATGACAACTTGTGCTTCCTTGATTTAACTACTAGTAATCATTTCATATGAAGTTATTTTTATGAAAAATTTTATTTACTGATTGATATTCATTATGAGCTATAAAAGATCAAGTATTATGAAAGTGGATAAAGTAAATTTATAATCAGAAATTATATAGTTATTTTTACCACATTGTTAAGTTTCATGAAAACATAAAATCCAATTTCTCAAAATAAAAATGCAGTATATTTTAGAGACTATATTAATATAATTTACATACATTTTAATTCTAGTTTTTTTTAGTATCAACGTGGTTTAAAAATATTTGTGTTCACATGAAAAATTTTGTAATCAAGTTAAAGTGACAAACATGCTAAAAGCTCCTAAGATGCTTTCAATTTTAGTAAAATAATGCTCATTTTAAGTTCCATGGAATCAAACAAGATTCTAGGTGCATATTCATGATGATCAATAGTTGATGCATCTCAGGAATGAGTAGCAATAAAGACATCTATTTTTATGTCATCATTTTCTTAATTTTTCAAAACACTCATGAAGTTAATTTCACTTGTTTACTGTGTTACTGATAGAGAATTGGTGCTCCATATTTGAGTTGGATTTTTGAATTGCTCTAAAATTGGATAGTCAGCTATTTTTATTAATTATGAATGTTCTTTCACCCACTTTGATGCTCTACTTAAAATTAACATATTGGTATATGAGCATTAGGCATTTAGATGGTTTATTTTCACTTAGTTTACTCTGTAACAACAAAGAAAAATATATTCCTTAAATTTAAATGAAAATATTGCAAACATGCCAAATTTGATATACTTTCATGCTGCAGAGATTATTATAACTATTTTACTGGGTTTAACTGGATTATAATGAAAATTTATGAAAAATTCTGAAAACTTTCTTCCTTCTATCTTTCCAATTTTAATACTAAAGATGTCTTCTCACTGTTTTATAAATATCACCTTTTTATTCAAAGTGGTAACCTACATGGTGCATCCATATTATTAGAAACTGACCAACAACTTAGAAAATAACCGATGCACATCTTTCAAACCTTTGCATAGCATATATAATTCATATTAATATTAATGGGTTATGTTCATAGTATCATGGTGATATCAAGCCTGTTCTGCAGTGAAACTTAAGCACTTATTAAACAAGATAGTAAATAAGCACTTGCTGATCCTAAGTCATTTGGGAGCAGCATGTCTTCATCTTCACATTGGTGTGCTTCAGAAAGCAGAATTAACTTCAGGTAGCTTTGACCTTCTGTGCTGAGGGATCACAATTGGCCAAATTCTTTATACTCCATCATTTTCTTAAGGAACCATTTCTGACTTCCATTTTCACACAAACATCCTCAGCTCTTCTCTTTGTTATACTTCTGATTTTAGTTTTTAGAATCAGAAAATAATGGGAGTCTTAATACTATTTCTTATAAACTATTCAAATAAAATCAATTGCTAAATTACCAGAGTCTGACAACTTTTCAAAGTTACTTTAAATATTCTTAAATCTTATATTGAAATTTGGATAATTTTATTTTAGTTTGTTGATGGATTGATAGTGATGTTTGAAAGCATGTTACTCAGCGTGTCATAGCATATGATCATCTGAATCTTTTCAGGCTAGCTAAGATTGTCCTATTTTATTTTAAAACACTCTTGGAATTAGTCAGTAATGTTTTCCTGTGTATAACTATATTTTACTTTCATATTTAATGTTATTTTTTAATAGAATTTAATTCTATTTTGAAAAGTCACAATTTAGACTATATCAATCTTGAAAACTAGAATTCATCAAGTTAAGAGGAAGTACGATTGTTCAAAAAAGACACAAAAGGAAGTTAGGTGTAAAACTTGAAATGAAAATAGCTACTTTCAAGTCATATAATTATAAATTATAAATAGTTTCACAAATCCTTCTATTATTAAAATATTGTTCTTTATACAGCAAAACAAGAGCAGATACTTGACTTGCTTAAGTTCATTTTACCATTATATAACATCTATATTTAGTGCTGATATGAAATGTTGTCTTAATCCATAACATTTAATTGTATTAGAGTAAATAACATGTATCATTTAACAGCTGCACACCTACCCCCGATTCCCACAGAAGTAAGCAGAACACAATCTCAGCTCTGTCAGGGAAATTGTGCTCTTCTCTTTCATGCCCTGGGCACATACTCAGTGAACCACACTGCCATTGTTATTGTTGCTGTTTTCTTGCTTTGTTTTCCTGAAAAGCCAAATGATTTTTTCCCTTTAATTTTATCAGTGTTTGTTTTGTTTTGTTTTAACCAGTATTTTCAGCTCCATTCTCTTATCTCTTATTATTGATGACATCAGTGCAGGATTTTATAATTTTTGATGAGTTATTTTTAGAATTTTGAACCTCACTATACTAGTGGATAGAATGAATATTCTTTCTAGCTCAATTTCTATATTTCTTTTTTCCTCTCCCTTTCCTCTGCTCTAGCCCTCCTGTCCTGTCATGATGGGCAGATTTAAAAGTGATTTCATTATTCATAAAATGAATGATTACAAGACATGAGAATTTCATGTTTGTGTCAGGGTTTACTACTGATTGATATATTTGCTGTGCAAAGTAAAATTGAAGGTGAAATAGCTGGGACAGTATCTGTCTTGCTTTAGATAGAAGATAAAATGAAACTTTCTTAGAAGGAGAATATTCCATTATTTTGGAATTACTTCATTCTATCATTTTGGAATGTTGGCCTCTGGCTATGATTTTTCAAATGCTTGTTAATGTCTGAATCCATCTATTGGACTCTCCATTCACTGGATAGCTCACATTCTTTATGTTCTCCTTTTGCTTAACTTTCATTTTATTTCCAGATGCTCCTTAAAATTTCAGTTGTGGTCCTAACTTGTTTGCTACCAAACTCCAAAATGATGTTCAGAAGAAACCCTTAGGACCATCTGTTTTTAAGGGGCAAATGCTCTTTTGCATGGCATATTCATATATAGAGACATATAAGTTGAAATTTTAAACCAGAGATATTTCTCTATTTATATGTACCTGTTGCTGTTTCTTGCCCCTTTCCCAAAAGATCCACACACACATGTACACACACACAGGATATTAGTAGTCATGAGAATTCTACTCTGTATTTTTGCTGGTGAAGTGGCTGAATGTAACTTTCTAACAATAATATTTCCATTGATATGTCTGTGACTAATGCAAATTTCTTAGGTAAATATTAATCCCTCACATCATTTTTTCCATTTTACTATATTATTTTACATAACACGGTTGTCCAAAAGTCTTCCATATGTTATTTATTGAATACTGATTAAATGAATACATTTTTGAAAAATCGATTTAACAAATTTCTCTTAAACTACTGCTACCTTAGTGTGTATGGTGTTCTGACAAATTATCGTATCTGATCTTTATTTCTTGAAAACCCTATATATATAGGAGGAAATAGTCTCAGATAAACTATTAGAAACATACGTTCAATTTTCTGCTTGTTGCCCACATGATACTTCTAGCCATGTGTCCTGGAATGATTATCTTCATTTCAATAATCTCTACATCCAAGTCTAAGTTAACTTTTTTCTTTCTCATCCACCTTTCTTTTAGTAGTTCTGTTATCTACTTTATTCTCTTAAATCCATTTCTGTTTTTTAGGTGAAATGTTACTTATATTTTTCGATTGCTGATTTAATTTTCTCTTTGCAAAATATAGAACAAGATTAAATATTTTTCTTCTGACATATTTTTTCATATTCTTAGTTTTCTTAAACTAATATTTTTAACTGTTTTTGTTTTAGATATTACCAACTGTTGGAATATGAAAAAAATTAGATCTTATAAACCTCCATGTACTATATTTTCCTCTAATTTTCCAATATTGCCATTTCAAGCTATTTTTAAAATTCATATTTAATATGGTGTTAAACAGAATTTTAAGTTGGTCCCCAAGATGTTTGGCCCTTGGTGGTACATCATGTAAAATCACCTCCCCTTGAATGTGGATGGAACCTGTTACTTACTTCTAGTCAAAGCAATGTAAGAAAGGTGATTGGTTGTGAGCTCCTTGATTTGATTACCTTATATAAGACTCTGTGTTAGCAGACTGGAGAAAGAAACACTCCTTCTGGCCTTGAGGAAGCAAACAAGCAATGTGTTAGCTGGGTGTGTTTCTTCCTGGAACTCAGGATTGTTTTACAGGAAGTAGAGAGGACCACATGGCAGGGAACTGCTGGTGGCCTCTAGAAGATGAAAAAAGACAGTAAGAAGCCAGGGCTCTCCGTCATACAATCACAAGGAAATGAATCCTGACAACAATAACATAAATCATACATTTGTATGTCTTTAAGATGCTAAGTTTCGTGATAATTTGTTATATGGCAATAGAAAACAAGTATTAATACAATTCTTTACACTATCATGGCTAAAAATATAAGTTGCAGCTAAGCTTCGCTATATAAATTTTCATTTTCTTTCTTGTGCAACATTTTTTTCCTTGAAATTAATGATTAATGCGCATTTCTGTTGTGTTTAGTTATCCATGTGCCTTTGATTAATTATCACACAATTTTCTGCTAGGCGCATAATCCTTCTCTCAAGGTACTCAAACACCTACACCTGGGGAATTCTCTCCTAGAGACCCTCTCTTCATGCTCCTGTAGAAAATGGCTTCCCTCATTAGGGTTAATGAACAAATGCCATTACAGCATTTCATTTTCACATCAACCTGGAATGTCCCTTTTCTATCTTCTGTGGTGAATTTTTTGTTTCTTATTGAAAGGTTCTTGTATTTGTTCGAACCCGGAGAACGTGCCAACAGACAACATTAGGTGGTGTGGAGGAACACCCTGTTTTATTGAGCGCCTGGGTGCAGACGCGCTGAAGCCTAAAATGGCGTCAGCCCCAAATGAGGATGGGGCAGGGGTTTTATAGTCCTCTGTAAACAGGAAGTGTCCCAGTCTGACGTGACTGCTACCGTTAGTATCCGGATGGCCTCTTTCTCGATTTTCAGGGGTACGTGTCTTCAGGGCAGGGTAGGTGTTTTCTGGCCAGGGTAGGTGTCTTCCGGCCAGGGTAGGTATCTTCTGGCCAGGGTAGGTGTCTTTTGGCCAGCTCTCTTCCTGTTTCTGCTATCTTGCTGACGCACGCTGCTGGCACAAGTGGCCTTGTGCCTTGGGACTGGGCCTGAGAAGGGAGGAGTTACTCATCCCTTCAAGCCTTCAGGCCCCTGGGAGAATCTTTCACTTATGTCCTATGTGTTCTATTACTTTGTTTACTTTTTATGTTGGCAAAAGACAACCTCCAGTAGTCTCCCAAGAAAGTGTACGAGGGAGATACACTTTGTAGCACAACCAAAATCTTCAGATGTCCCTGCAGCACTGTCAGTCACTCTGATTAACTTTCTCCAGAATGAACTCTCACTCCTATTTCAGAAGATAAGCATTCCTACCTGAGATGACTGAGAAAAGAAATCTGAATCTCCCTACTTTCAGTACCCCTCCCCCTCCACATTAAAGGTTTCCCATGGCTACCAATTCCTGAGCCTTTCAAGGATTTCATCTCAAGATCAAATTTTTAGAGTCTTTGGTGCCTTCAACTTCATCTCTCTTAGATTTACTATTTCAGGCAATATTTACCCAACTTTCTTCCAGCTTTCAAATGTTGTTGCTATCTCTTTTCTCATTTTCTTGTCATCGAGGATTTCCACCTTTTTATTTGTATCCAAATAGTATAGTTTCAGTTGGGTTTTAGGAAGTGAGAAGTCATTCATGTGTTCAGTGTGCTATTTTAAAACATAAGCTCTGAATTATTTTACAAGACTCATAATTGTTCAGCCAACCACTATGTGCTAGGACATAGATATTTTTTGGATAACAGTCCTAATACAGATCATTATTTATGAATACAAATATGTCACACTGCATACTGTATATATAGTATATTTTTGGTCTAAATGATTTTGTTTCAAAGTCAAAACAAAGCTTTTTAACAATACACATTGTCTATTTGGTTAAATCATATGTGATATACATGTTCCCAGTTTCTAGAAATATGTTATATCAGTTTTGCAATTCATCATGGAACTAATAGGAAGAAATAGCACAATGTTTTATTCTGTTGTATCAATGTACTTGTGATGGGAACATCTTTGATTCAATGCCTTATTTTAATGAAATTGCGGTTGCTCTCCAGCTTGAGGTTTCAAAACTCTCTTCAAATTCATAATAACTTGCTAGTTGATGATGCCAGCTACCTTTTATTACACTATTCAGAATAAATTATTGCTGCAAGAGCTGCTCTATTAATACAGAAAACATTACCTAAAGCTTGGATAATTTGGGCTCAGGAGTTCTTTGTCATCTTTACAGTCTAGTGTTGCATTCACTGAAATAACACATTAAATTTGTATGTTCTTAAGCACCTGGCTTAATTGAAACCCATGGTAATGATAGCAAAATAACTGGCCTGGATAATAAATTATAGACAATCACAGTGCAATGAAAGGTGTCAAAAACATGTTTATATGGAGTCAAAAACAGGGGCCCTTTATTTGATTCAAAAGTAAGGGCAGAATTGGAATTTCTATCCCAATATTAAAGTGCAGATTGAAAGTGTGGTAGCTTGATTTTTTAATTTAAGATTGCTTTGCTTTAATTATGCATCAAAAAGGCATGAAGATGCTGGTATGTTTTTATTTCTTTACATACAGTGTCTATTCTGACTGAAAAATAAGGGCCATGGACTTATTTAAGGCATAAGAATTTGTGGAGCTTGAACACAAATAGTCCAGAGCACAAGGAGGCTTTGGGTCTCTGAATAATGAGTTCCATAGCTAAAATAAGAAGCAAAAAGCAAATGATTTGGGAAGCCTAATAAAGAATCCAGGAGTTGTGAGTATTTTATTAAAAAGAAGATCAACTCATGACAGATATTCCCTAGATGCCTCTGAAATTACATTGAAAAATTTTCGAACATTGTTATCACATAGAATAATTGGTAATACCAAAACCCTCTAATTTCTTATCAAGCTCTAATTGGGCTCTAGTCCCATATAGATGGCACCATAATTTAACTGAATTATAAACACATTTTTTCCCTCACCAAATCGAGTTGTTTTTGAAGATATGTTTTCCCAATGAGGCAGGAAAATAGGATCTGGAGGCAGGAAACATAAGGCTGATTCCACACTTCAGCTATAACAGGAAATATGGAGAGGTCCATGAGGCGTAGGCCAAGTAAATGACCTTGTAATTTCACTTCATCCTCTCCTTTTACATACAGTGTACCCCAGTGTAATCCTCTAGGGGGTTTTTCACTCCCCAAAATTCTGTTAACGGGGCCTTTGAGCGCCTATGCTTGGGCCCGCTCCCACACTGTGGAGTGTACTTTCATTTTCAGTAAATCCCTGCATTCCTTCCTTTCTTTGTTTGTCTGTTTTGTCCAATTTTTTTGTTCAAGAACTGGACACCCTTCTATCGTTAGCATATTTTGGTGAGCCAGCCAGGGGGAAGATGTAAGCCCAAAGTTTGGAATTTATTCTTCTCCTTTCTCTTTTTCCTTTCTTCTCCATACAGGAAAGCTCTTTTCCTTTCCAACCTGGGACGCTTGGTGGGCAGCACCTAAACATGGAAGCAACTGCAGGATTCTGGCCATGGCTAGTGAAACTGAGGAGTTTCCATGTGGAGAAGCCTGACCACTACCACCCAGTTCACTTTAGGAACCCAGGTCTTTTCCAAATTTTTTTTCTTTCTTTCTTTTTCAGTCTTTCAGAGGCTGTTTCCTCGTAGCTCCTTGGAAATTGAGGGCAGTTGGCTGGGGTGACTCCCTAGTACTGCCTGAAGGCCTAGAAATGAATGGGAATATTTGCCTTGCCCTAAAGTGGGAAAGACTTTTTTTTTTTATCTTTTCCACGTGTGGTCCCTGATCCCTACATGTGGCACAGCTTGAAGCAAATTGCACATGTTTCAGGAGACTTAAACCTTCTTTTCTCATGCTAAATTCTTCCCTTCCCCTATTCAACCGGCCAAGTCAGAGGAAACCCACCCAGCCTCCAGTTCCTATCATTAAAGTTCATGGAATGGGAAGCATGGGAAAGCATGGCCTTATCAAATTATAAGGATGCTAAAAATCGAGGATTACACCCAGGTACTGAAGGAAAGCTCATAGCAGGTTCTGGTGGGAATGCATGCAAAGTGGCACTGGTTCCCACCTAAGTAAGGTCAGAGACATCTGAAACTCTAAGATTGGACCCCACAGGAGGATGCTCTGTGGGTCCTGCAGACCTCAACCTGCACAAAGGGTTCGTGCTTGGCAGAGGTTCTGAGGTCTCCTTAGAAGTTTATCTCACAGTTTCAATGCTGCTTGACCCTAAAATTGTTTAGAATCTGAAGTTTACTGCGTGTTGGGATAGTGGGATGGTGTTGCATGTCTCCAGGCTTTTGTGCTGCTGTTGTAAGCAGGGGGCCTGGTTAATGTGTGGTGCCCTCCTTTGGTACTGTGTTAGGTATGAGTTCTAAATTTCTCTTCAAAGAATCAATATGTCAGTATGTTCAATTCTTTGCCTTCTACTTTTAAACTTGACTTCCTCATAAAGCAACCTTTTTCAATTACCTGCTCCACCCTGACTCATTCCAATTACCTGCTGCACCCTGACTCATTCCGATTACCTGCTCCACTCCGACTCATTCCAATTACCTGCTCATTCTCCACCCTGACTCATTCTGATTTCCTGCTCTGCCATAACCATTTTTCCCACCAAACGACTCACCCCATCACTCGCTTTAAATTACCCAGTCAGAATTAGTTTAGCCTGTGCGGTCTAACCTTAGCCAATAAGGAAATGACACAGCAGCAGGGGCCACATGCATCAGGGATAAGACCCCCTTCCCTTCCATTGTCCAAGTTTGTGCTCACCATTGCTCCATCTGTAAGGTTGTACCCTTCTACAGAAGTATATTGCCTTGCTGAGAATTAAAAAGAAAATTTTATATTCAAGTGCTATTTCTTTTGCGGCATCAGAACTTAATTTATAACAACTGTTTCGTCCCAGTGCTCCTTGGAGTCTGGGGAGATTTAGCCTTTAAAAATCAAACTGTCAGCCGGGCATGGTGGCTCATGCCTGTAATCCCAGCACTTTGGGAGGCTGAGGCAGGTAGATCACGAGGTCAGGAATTCCAGACCAGCCTGAACAATATGGTGAAACCCCATCTCTACTAAAAATACAAAAATTAGCAGGGCATGGTGGTGCACACCTGTAGTCCAAGCTACTTGTCAGGCTGAGGCAGGAGAATTGCTGGAACCCAGGAGGCAGAGGTTGCAGTGAGCCAAGAACACGCCACTGCACTTGATCCCAGGTGACAGAGCGAGACTCCATCTGAAAAAAAAAAAAAAATAAAATCAAACTGCCTTGGAGACTGCTTTAGCCAAAATTTTGGTTCGCAGCCTTCCTTGGATTATGTATTAGGGTAAAGTAAAAATGGCAAGCTTATATTGCTATCTTATGGCTAAGATTCCAAGCTGTCAGATCTTCATTTATGTGTGTGTATATATGTCTAAATGTGTTTATTTGTATGTACACTTATTGTTATATGTTTTGTCTACCAAATTGGCTTATAAGTAAAAGAGCACTCATAAATTAAGCAAATAAGACTAAGCAATTTTCAAGGCCATGTGACCTAAATATAACTTTACTAAACAAGCTATCTTTAAAATTATTTGTGGAACAAAAATAGAAAGGCCTTCAGAATTGTCAGCATACATTTTGTCTGAATTTTATGTTTGTCTTTGCTAGATATTTTAAAATGTCAGTGTTAATTCGGGCTGGGAGCTGCTTCTGGGGAGCCTGCCTCCCATTCTATTCAAAATCTCAGTGAGATAAACGCATATCCAACTGCTTCCTTTGAAGAAAGGCTAGTCAGAAACTCAAAGGAATGCAACTGTTTGTCTCCCCCCTGTAATCTGAAAGCTTCCAAGCCCCCTCCTCGCCTCAAGTTGTCCTGCCTTTCCGGACCAAACCAATGTTTGTTTTACACATGTTGATTGATGTCTCATGCCTCCCTTGCTAAAAGTAAAAAATTAAGTACAGTGAATGGGATAAACATTTTAGGTAAACTTTCTTGTAAATTAAAATCTTAAAGTTATTTTTGATACTCAATATCTCGGTCATTTCCAATTAAGAAAGGGTTATGATAGGGGAAATAGTTCTAAAATTGTGGAATTATTCTTACCTGTAAATGCTCATATCTATGTTGGAAATAAATTTTCAATGCCACAAAAGAAATAGCACTTGAACATGAATTTTCTCAGCAAGGCAATTTTACTTCTAAAGAAGGGTGTGTCTCACAGATGGAACAATGGCAAGAGCACACTTGAACAAGGGACGGGAAGGGGTTTTTATTCCTGACACAGGTGGCCCCTACTGCTGTGTCGTTCCCCTGTTGGCTAGGGTTGGATGGCACAGTCTAAGCTAATTTCGTTGGCTATTTTAAAGAGAGCAGGGGTACAATCCAGAGTCGCAGGGTGAGCAGTTTCAGTGGGAAAGACCATTATGGACTAAAGGTGACTCAGGTCAAAGCAGGTGACCAGGGGTGACTCAGGAGGGAGCAGGTGACCAGGGGTGACTCAGAATGCAGCAGGTGACCAGGGCTTAAACCCTTATCTTCATTGTATGTTTACTGTTTTGTGTGGATAGTGCTAAAGTAGTTATTGGTCACATGCCTAAGGTGAATTTCTTGATTGCACAGAATTTACAATGATAATGGTGAACTTAAGGATATTGAATTGTGTATCACGAATAAAATATTCAATATATGTGCTTTTTAGGGGCTTAGATAACACTGTAGGCTCTAGGGTAAATTGAGTAGGAAAATGTAGGGTTGATTTCATGTTTGTTTTTGTTTCTAGTTTTCATTCATTTGCTGTTTATTCTCTTCTGGCTTTGCTTGTGTATGCATATATATATATATATATATATAGCCATGATGCTTTTTAGTTTCTAATGGAAGGATTTTATTTTGTTCTGTGAATAGTTATTTTATTTCCTATGCATTTCTAGCGAGTCATTATTCGTTCCATTTATGTGGAATTTCTAAGCTACCTTTGTGAGGCTACAGGAATTTATGTAGCACACGAACTTTTCATCCTTAAACTAACTTTTTGGCTTTTAGGCTGCCTGATACTTTAAGTGTGTGGAGTATACTCTTACAAATAGAATTTAAGTCATATTTCTCTCCCTGCTTAGTTTCTCCAAAATTTGTACACTATGTATGAATATTCTTAATTTATGGCGATGTGTCTGTTTGCATACAGTCTAGCAGGGTTGCCAGAGCCGCTCAGGGAGAGGGAACCCAGAAACCTGGCATGCCAGCAAAAGGATAACAATTTCCTGCTAGTCAGTCTCTGGCCTCTTTCTCTCTGTGTAAACTGGATAATCAAATATTTTGTCAGAAAAGTAGAAAGTGTAATGCATTTTAGTTCATGTGACTTTAGCAATCTTTGGGAAATAAAACAGCTTTAAAGATTATTGGTAAAATACAATGTCTTCAAAATGTAAACATGTGGTCTAAATTATGTTCAAATATTAGGTTTGCTAAATGCTTTAAGGTCATAAACTGCTTCTTTGGATTTTAAAAATTGTTTAACTTGCCTGCCTTCCAGCTAGGTAAGGCCTGGGGACATGTGGAGTTGGCCATGCCCTAACTATGCTGGAAACAGTCAAACTATCAGAACATAACTTACCAGGTTTTACATTAAAGTTAAAATTGCTAAGAGTCACCATTGTAACATGCAATTAAGACTATTGGAAACAGTTTTACATGCAAGGTGTGTAAAAACAGTAGAATGTGTTTTTTTAATTTTTTTAAAGATTATAAAAGGTTTTTGCTGCTTTACAATTTCTGAGTCATCATTTTGGTAAAATAAATAATATATAATAATCTGAAATTCCAAAATCAAGCTTCAGTTTCAAAACTGTCTTTCCTAATGCCTGGCTTTCTGGATAGATGTTTTACTGAAAACATTCAGAAAAGAGGTAAACAGAATTATTTGCCACATTTGGGTACATGGGATTGCCAAAATGATGTTCAATCTTCTTTAGGTTATATTTTGTGAATAATACTAATATATATTCCAAAGTAGTATGAGATTTCTAAAATTCTAATGTCTAAGTACATGCTACCAATCACAATTATAGTTATTATGTTAAGTTATTGTAAACTACAGAAATAACCAAATTTCCTTGTATAAAGCTACTAACCCAAGTAAAACAGAAAAATTGAATTAAATATCAAGAAAATACTTTCATGTTAAACAAGCTAATGCTGAAATTTTTTAAAATAGTTTATAAGCAATGCTTGATCCCATATTTCTGGAAAAACAAAGCTTCAGGTACATTTGGTCACCTGGTGGGCCATTTAAACATTTTATAAAGGGATTTCATTCCATTGTTATTTTCAGTGCATGTTTTCTGGTTGTATAAAAGCTTTCCCATGCAAAAGAGTTGATGTTATAGCAGTAGATTATTATGCTACAGTGTATTTTCACCAGGTAAATAAAGCTTTTTATGGTTTGAATCTTCTGGAAACATCAGAGAAAGACTGTCCTTGCCATCCCCACTAAAACGAAACTTCAGGACTTTGGGCTTTGGGTTCATGGTCTCGCAACTGAGAAGGGTCCCTCCACGCTTTTGGAACTGTGCACCCATTGGAACCCTTGAGGTAAAGCTAACTAGGGAAATTTCTCCCAAGAAGAAGGTGGCATCCTTGATGTGAACAGCTTTTCTCCAGTTCGCAGATTAAGATTTTTACTGTCATGAAACTCTTATCTTTGAAAGTTTTTTCTCACTTATGCCTCTATGAACAATAGAAGTGGAAAAGGGTCTGTTATGTGCACTAATGGGGTGTAATTTTATTTGTGTAGGAGTTTGCAGCAAACCTTATACATGGACAACCTTATACTTTGATAGATAAAAGATGAAGGCCCAATGTAGGTAAGAAACTTTAATGGTACATGTGTTACCTCATAATCAGTCGAAACAAAACATTGGTTCACTCTTCTTAACCCACATCATGGACCAAAGAGAACACTGCCAGAAGGCCTTCATTCTTTTAAAAGGGCATTATTTGTTATGTCCTTTTTCCATGGTTTAAAGTAAAAGAAGCAATGATTAGAAATGTATATAGCAAATTATACAGTAAAGCCTACAGTTACACAATAGACTAAATTATCTTGTGAAAGTTATAATCGAGTTGGCTAAACAGAGAAGCACTTGTGGCCTATAGAGAAATACATCAAATGAAGATTATAGAAATTCAGTGGTAGGAGATTAACAAAGACATTGCTTAATTAAGTGAGTAAACTCTTTAGCCCATTTTTTGATCTGTTTGATTTTAGGAGGTTTGGTTTGTGGGGACCTTAAGTAAAGGGCATATTCTGAACTCTTGGTATTATCCCCCAGTAGTAATAATAACAGTCTCCCTGGTGTACTGTATTCTCTCAAAGGTTTTAAATGCTTGCATGCAGCCATCTCTAGAATGTCGTATGGTCTCTCTCCAACTGGAATAACAGGAGCTGAAATAAATGTGCAACCATGAGGACATTGTAACCTATAAATGACCTGCTGAGACTGGAAACCCAAAATGATGGTAACTGAGAGTGGCACTAAGGCCCTAAGTTTTGTTTACACTGTCACCTAAGTGAGAGCCTGACCAAAGAGGAGGAATTTTTTTAAACAAAATTATGGGAGGCCATTGTTTTGGACTAGGCTTATGCACTAGGCCCCAACAAACTATACCAAACCGAAATGGAGTATCTCATGCTAAGACTTTAAGGAAACACACAGATTCTAGAACAGAGTAGGTTTTGTTTTTTTCTGCTGCAAATCTCTATAACAAACATTTCTCACAACATAGGTACAGCATAGGTGTCCACCCCCTGAAATTCCCATTAAATCTTTTAACCAAATTCGTTTCCTCTGGCCTAGAGACCATCAAGCTTCAGATAATTATGCAACAAAGGCTCAAACAAATCACAAATTTGAATTTCAACCAGTTCCCAGGTGAAGACACCACTCCTGGCCGTCAAGAAACTACCCTGCCTCCACTAGACAGAACAGGGAGTTCTGTGATCCCCAATAGGTAGGGACTATGCCCCAAGCCAGCATGAAGCAGTTACAGAAAAAAGACCATTGATTTCTCTGCCTCCCATAAAGATTTACGGGGATCACATTTCTCGGGGGGAGATGAGGCAGGAAAATAGGGCCTGGAGGCAGGCAACATAAGGCTGATTCACACTTCAGCTATGACAGGAAATATCCTCTCCATAGGGCACAGACCAAGTAAATGACTTTGTAACTTTACTTCACCCTCTCCTTTTATATAAGGTGTACCCCAAGTAACAAAAGGATCCTCTAGGAGGTGTTTAAACTCCCAAAATTGTGTAACGGGTCCTTTTAGCCATTATGCTCAGGCCCACTCCCACTTTGGAGTGTGCTTTCATTTTCAATAAATCTCTTCATTCTTTCCTTGCTTTGTTTGTGCATTTTGTCCAATTCTTTGTTCAAGATGCCGAGAACCTGGATACCCGTTTACCATTAACATCAATACCAGCATTATTGTCTGTGCTAATGTGTACGGTATTTTGTTTGTTGTTCTCAGATAGGTGATCATTATTTTTTCTGGTTAGGAAGAAAAGAAAAACAATATCAACATTATGACAAAGGCTGATATTAAGGGTTAGAGAAGAAAAAAAAAACAATGCTTTGGGGCCAGAAATTGGTAAATCACAAATTTGAATTTCAAAATTCAAATTTGAATATCAATGGAAAGTATATTTAATTGTGTTTTATAAATTGAGACATTACTTTTGAACCTGTAGCTAAAATATTTATTTAAAAATATTACATCTGGGGCTGGATGCAGTGGCTCACACCTGTACTCCCAGCACTTTGGGAGGCTGAGGTGGGCAGATCACTTGAGGCCGGAAGTTCAAGACCAGTCTGGCCAACATGGTGAAGCCCTACCTCTGCTAAAAATGCATAAATTAGCTGGGCATGGTGGCACACATCTGTAATCCCAGCTACTTGGGAGTCTAAGACAGGAGAATTGCTTGAACACAGGAGGCGGAGGTTGTGGTGTGCCAAGACCATGTCACTGGACTCCAGCCTTAGTGACAGAGATTCCAACTCAAAAATAAATAAATAAATAAAAATAAAATATTACATCTGATATTCTAATTTTGATACTGTAATGTGTTTGTTTTTTTAGAAAACAAAAGAGAATACATTAAAGTAGTTTCATTTTCATGTAAAGAGTATATGAAAAAATGATAAGATCTACAAGAAGAAGACAGATGATAGGGAGCGGAATAGATGACAAATATTTGTGAAGATAACATATACATGTGGCATTACAATTTCACACAGAAATAAAAGAAAACAAAGTAAAACTTGATCAAATCCCAAGAAAAATTGTGGGCAAAATATGTAAAGTTCAAGATAAATAAGACAATTTTTTACCCCAATATGTAAAAAAAAAAAAAAAAAAACAAAAAACCCAGCCCAGTGATATCGAAGTTTTATTCTAGCACTCAAATTATAACTTTATGGGCCACTCAGGGAAAACCAAAAATGCCACTACTTTCAAATTTAGTTCTGAATTATATTTCTATTGGTAGAAAATAAAAAAACATTAAAAGCACTCAATAATAGAAAATTTAATTACAATTAAACATATGTATCAAAAACTTATACTCTGGATAACATTTGTGCAATTATGAAAATGTCTTAGGTTTATCAAGTTAAAAAGCCAGGAAATCCGAAAAAAAATAATACTTTGACACTTTTGTTTTAATAGATGGAATAAGGTAAAAATCATTGACCCCAGAGTTAAGCAAATAAAGGCATAAATCCCAATTCTGCCAGATTTTAGCCATATTCAGGATTAATATGTTTACAAGTGACAGAAATCCAATTGATCTACCTTAAGCAAGAATGGAGAAGTAATATTCTATATAATTGGAAAATCTAGGTTATATTTGGCTTACAGTATAGCCAGACCCTAGGAACGCAAACAATATTTTTAGGAAGAGTGAACATATAATCCATTATTAAGACATGTTTCAGAGTAAGAGACAATTTCTAAAATTAATTTTAAAAGCATGAATTTTTACACAACAAGGGTAAAACTCCCTGGCAAACCAGCATGTATGGTTACTCCACTTTATTCTGAGTTTTTTTTTTTCTCTCTCTCTTTCTCAATCATTCTCTCTCTCTCTCTCCCCCCCTCCTTCCCTCCCCAACTCCACCCCTCTCTCCCCCTCTTTCTCTCTGTCTCTGCCTCTCTTCCTATCTGAATCGACTTGAGATGCTGGGCTTTAATCTTCAAAGAAAGACACTTTTGCATTTTAGGCAAGATTGCTATTATACCTGCAGTCACTACTTCATAGTTTTTTAACTTCCCAGTCATTGGAAGAAGAGGGCTTCTCTCTCCCAACATCCATATATCTGTCAGAGAGACTCCTTTGCTCTTCCTCATCTACACATATACTTGAAACAAATGTGTGTTTTCAATGTGATAGAGTAATACAACTTGTTCAAACTAGGGACATGATGGTACCAGTAAAATAGGTAGACTATATAGCCAAGACTTTTTGGAATCACGTTTTACATCGGAAGAGTAAGCTTTTTTGGTTAAAAAACTACAGACGTGCTACAATTATTCTTTGCCTTAAACTTATTAATTAAGCCCTCTTCAGTCCCCACTTCGAATTAGAAGGTAAAAACTAACCTGCTATAAAATAATTTGTGAAAGGTTTAAGTTACTTAATGCAAGGAAGAACTTACAAGCTTGCTTCATGTGGAAAGCATAACCTAATACAAAAAAACATGACAAGAATATTATGAGGAAAGAAAATTGCAGAACACTTTCACAAATACAAATAATTCCTCACAGAATTTTCTGATGGTAAATCCATCAATATGTAATAGAAGTAACACACACTAACTGATTGGTGTTCATTCCTAGAATGTGAGGTTGGTTCAATGTTCAAAAGTCCACTGTTGCAATTTACTGTATTAAGAGACGATAAGAGAAAGATCCTGTGATCACCCCAATAGGTATATATAAAAGACCCAGTTTCTATTCATGTTTAAAAAATTTGACAAATTAGAAATACAAAGGGATTTCTCAACTGAGTAAGAGGACTCCATGAAAGATGTATGAGTCACATTATAATTGTGATGAAATAATGAATGCTCTAAGTTTGGGAAAAAGGCAGTAAGGCAAGAAAATATGATTGTATGTGGATTGAAAACAAAAATATGAATTCATTTATATTTGATGATGTCATGATTCTTTTTTTTGCAGATTTAAAATAAACACATTTTAATAATCTCCTCATTTAATGTGGTTACCATACACATGTTATAACTGGTTCAAAGGGGATGGTATAAGCAGGCACATTTATAGATCAGGAATGTTGAAAGAAATACATAAAGGGTGGCAAAACTGGTCTTAATACAGAGTGCAAGGGAAGCGTGTTGAACCTCTACTATGCAAGATGTAATTTACAGGTCTATTAGAGACCTACAACTTATAGAGTTGAAAATTAGCTCACTCAATAAAAAGCTAGAATTAAGTAATGCTTGGAAGATTTTCCTGAATGGGGCAATGCATAGTTTTCTGTTGAAAACTGTCCCCTCTGCCCCTATAGTCTCCATTCAAATAGCATTGTTTCCCTAGATTCTGATCTCTTCTCTCATTCTGCATACACCCTCTGCTTATTAATACTTAATTTAGATATGTTGATAAATTGCCTAGATTTTTTTCTTTTTTTTTTGTTATACTTTAAGTTCTAGGGTAAATGTGCACAACGTGCAGGTTTGTTACATATGTATACATGTGCCATGTTGGTGTGCTGCACCCATTAACTCGTCATTTACATTAGGTATATCTCCTAATGCTATCCCTCCTTCCTCCCCCGACAGGCCCTGGTGTGTGATGTTCCCCAGAGGATGGCATGATTCTTTACATAGAAAATGTTTAGTGCTGCAGAAAACAAACACAAGAACCAACAAGTGCAGTAGGTAGGATCACAAGGTACGAGGTCAATATGTAAGAGTTAAAGAAAGAGGAAAGAAACACAAAACATGGCTTGGCAGTCAAAGACAGGTTTTCTTTAGATGAAAGCTGAGAGGCACTCCTGGCCAATTTCAGTCAGGAGCTCTTTCTCTTACAGACTAAGAGTATATATTGGTTTTAGGGTGAGGGGACTTATCACAGGCTTTGAATGTTTATGTGTGTGGAGAAGTTGGAATCTCTCTGGGAAGAGGGGAGGTTATCTTGGGGCAGACATCTTTCTGGCCCAGAGGAGTGTTACCTTGAATCTACCATCTTCCCAGCTGGAGGGGGTTTATCTCAGGTCTAGCATGTCTCTGGTCAAGGAGGAGTTTGGGATGTTTCTAGTTGGAGATGTTATTTGTGGTGTATGGTCATGCTAACCTTAGCCATTAGGTTGATGTCCCTTTGGATTTAGGCGTTTTTTTGTTTGTTTGTTTTTTTAGGTGAACTTTAGAATGAGGGCCTTGTCCAAGACGGCAATGCTCTTGCTCTGTCACAATATACAAAATTAAATTGTGGGGAGATATATATATATATATATATATATATATATCTCCCCACAATTTTATACACACACACACACACACACACACACACACACACACACACACACAAATATTTGGAAAAGAATGTAAATTTCATTTACAATAGCATTAAAAAACCACAAAATACTTGGGAATACATTTTAAAAGATATACTCAAACTCTGTATTGCAAACTACAAAAAAATACTGACAGGAAATATGAATAAATAGAGATATATGATTTTCATGGATTGGAGTATTCAATGTATTGCTTTTCTCCAAACTGACCTACAGACCATTCAATCCAAATCATACTGTTCCAGCTTTTGTAGTTCAGTGAGTGCGAGGGAGGGTTACGGTGTTACAAGATTCCTTCCATGCCGCTTTGCCAGCCAGAAATCTCTGCAGCCACCATGATCTCTTCCTGGAGCCTCAATTGGGCCCACTGGGCTCCCTCAATCCACTCAGCCGGGCACCCTGTGCTCAGCTTGCACCCTGGCATGGATCCCATGCCTATTGTGGGATCCATGCTTGTCTCATGGCTGAACTGGGCATCCCGAGTGGCTTCCTCATTGGGCTCCAGCATCTAGATGTGGGGAACACAGTGAGTGCTTCCCCAAAACTTGAAGATCCCAGCAACTGTGGAGCCCCAAGGGGTGTTCCAGCTCTTGCCCAGGAAATCCCAAGGTCTGAGCCCTCAAGAAATGTTACAGCTCTCTCTTCTTCCTCCCACGTGCAGCTCAGCAAACAGGGATGTGTCACAGCTCATTTATTCTCTCCACCTATATCTTAGTGAACCGGGGGCATGTTACAGCTCACTTGGCCCCACCACCCTCAGCTTGGTGAGTTCTGAGTTCATGTCCCATGACCAGGAGTAATAAGGTCCATGGCAACAGGAGAGTGAGTAGGGTAGAGAAGAATTTTACCGAGTGACATAAGGAAAGCTCTCAGCAGAGGGGACCCAAGAGCAGGTAGTCCTCTGTGTGAGAGGGGGCCTGGAAGTGGGTAGCCCTCTGTTTGGCTGAGTCCAAGGTTTTTATGGGCTCAGAATGAGAGAGTGTGTGCTGATTGGTCCATGAGTAGTATTGGAAAAAGCACCTTTTGATTGACTAAAAGGCATTGAGAAAGTTCTCACTCAAGTTGTGGACTCTATCTGGAACTGGCAGCTCAGTTTTCAGGCTTCAATCTGTCTTTGTCTTGAAAGTTGGGTTTCACTGGGGACCCACCTATCCCTGTCTGCCTAGGAATTTTACTGTCTCCTGCTGCTATCAATACTTTTAGCAAGTCTTTTTACATAAATTGACATGCTGATTCTGAAATTTAATGGAAATGAAAAAGTTATAGAATTGTCAATACAATTTTGAAATAGGTAAGTGTTAGAGAACAGATTCTTGAAGACTTTGAGATTTACAATAAAACTATAATATCCATGATAGTACTTTATTGGAATAAGAGTACAAAAAAAGGCCTATACAACAGGTCTAGGAACACAGAAATAGACCTCCACTTACTTAGTATTTTTTTACAAATATTCTCTAATGGTAAATAAAAGTATTTTTAGGAAATGGTTTTAGAACATGTGACTACACATATGAAAAGTGAATTTCTACTTACTTTGTACACAAAATATTAATTTGAGATATAAAGCAAGCCAAATGAAAATGTCACAATTATAAACCTCCTAGAAGAAAAATAGGAAAATACTTTTGCTCCTGGGAAGTAGAAAAGGATTTTTTGCATAGAACATAGAGTAGAATAATAATGACAATAATAATAATAATAAATCTTGATTTTTTTACTTCTATAAAAATTTAAATGCTTTATTATGCTAAATCACACCACAATTTTCAAATTGAATAGGCAAGACACAGTTTTGAAGAAAATATTTTGTGATATATATGTATATATTTGACAAGGAATTTATATCTAAAATAATTTAAGCATATTTAAAATTTAAAATAAACATTTGAGTATTACAAAAGAGGATATATAAATGGTGAATAAACACATAGAAATTGGTTAGTATGGTTTACCAGGATATTTTTTTAAAAACAAAATTAGATATACCTACTTACTATCATGGCTAAAATTAAAAAGATTTGCAGTACCAAATATGGGTAAGTGTGTGAAATAGTGGGATCTATCAAACATTGTTGGCACAAATGCGAAATGAAACAACTACTTAGTAAAATATTTGACAGTTTGTCATCAAATTAAACTCCATGATCCAATAATTCCACTCCCAGTTGTCTTATCCAAGAGTGAATAAAACATTTCTCTACAAAAATACTTTTATAAGAATGTTCACAGAAACTTTATTTATAACAGCAAAACCTGGAAACAATCTAAAACTATTTATCTGTAAAATATTAACTATGGTAAACTCATGTAATAGAATATTCTTTGACAACCACCATCAACAACAACAAAAACTGTTAGCATTCTAACGTTCATGAGCCCCACAGATTTCATGCTGTGTGATAAACCCAGACACATGTTATAAACATTTATAATTCTATTTATACAACTATTGGGAGATACGAATTTCATTAATAGTAATTTTAAAAACACGGTTGTCTATGGTGTATATTTACCTAAGAAAGTAATAAAGAAAAATTCTATATTTCTATAGACATATGACTTGCACAGGTCATCACATTGCCAAAGCTCAACATATTACACAATGTGCAACATATTGCACATTGAAGATCTGTGCCTTCCATATTATATAAAATCAACTTCAAAAACAAGCATAAATGACTATTAAAATCTAGTTATTATGTGCTTTTCATGGTGGTATGTATTGATGATTTTGAAGTGTGTGTGTGTATTCTGGGAAAGTACTTAAATATATTTGGAATATAACAGTCAGGGTTTTTTTCTGTTGGAAAAGGGAATTGTAAATATAATGATAAAGAGGAAAGGCCAGCATATATCCCATAGTAAAGTGTTAGGATGGGTGGTACCAGTATGCTCATCATTTTGAATAGATAAATGGGGATGTATATATAGATAGGTACAAAGATAGATCACAGATGACAGACATATGGAAACACAGGTATATATACAGAAGTACACATATGCGCATTTCTTAACTCTGCCACCCTGAAACTGATTGATGCAATAAGCACACACCTTGGACTCAGATCTTGGTCTCTAGATATGAGTATCTAGTCAAAAGAACAAGAGTTCTTTTGAAAAATAAAAAGATGATTCCAGGAATAAGACAGGGGAAGTATAAAGTGACCTGGTAACGTCTGCACCAGAAAGTAAGAAAGTGCTCGAAAAAATGACAGGGATACCCAAATGACACAAAAAAACAACTTTAAATGCTTTAAATGGGTCCCTCTGACCAAACCTGGGACATTTTGAGAATCAAAAATAAATAGTTATTGTAATGGTTTCTAGCCCGTTAGATAAAAAAGTCTGTCAGTTAATAATTACATAAAGTAAGTAAAGCAAGAGAAAAGAACTTTGTTTCAGTAGAATTCCTGTTATTAAACATAGGAGGAATATGGAGTTAGAAAAATCAGTGTGTGCTAAAATTAACATGGAAACTTTTGATGAGGAACAAAAGTTTACTTAGTCTCAAAGTATTGCATCAAAAGTTACTTATTAATTGCAAAGGAAAACATAATCAAGGTCATCACCACCAATATTGTTTTTCTTTATATGATGCACTGAGGACATATTATCACTTCTGTGATATATCTGCCAAATGTATAACTAAGTCTGATAATTAAGGGAGAACCTGGTAAACAAGCACTCAAACAAAACAAAACAAAACAAAAAAAGCAAGCAATCAAACAAACAAGAGCCTGGACTTGGTTTTCAAATAGGTCGAGGCTGAAAGGAAAGAGTAAGTGTATTAGGCTGCTCTTGCATTGCTACAAAGAACCATCTGAGATTGGGTCATTTATAAGAAAAGAGGTTTAATTGGCTCACAGTTCTACAGTCTGTTCAGGAAACACAGTGCTGGCATCTGCCTCTGGGGAGGCCTCAGGAAACTTAGAATCACGGCCCAAAGGAAAATGGGAGCAGGCACTTCATCTGGAGAAAGCAGGAGCGAGAGAGAGAGAGTGCAGGGGCGAGGTGCCACACATTTTTAAATAATTAGATCTCCATGAACTCAGAGCCGGGGCTCAGTTATCACCATAAGGGTGGCCCCCTTTGTTTGGATTTAGTTTTCTGTTCTTTTTTAAACTTTTTAGAATACATATCCAGGTTATCAGCTTTTTGTTTTTCTATCATCATAATAAATTTGTTTGTTTAAAAACTTTCCTCTAATTCTGATATACAGTATTTTTGTTATCAAGTTCATAATGTTTTCTAACATTGTGACTTTTTGCTTTGACATATTAGTTATTTAGAATGAATTGCTTACGTTTCAACAATGTAGACTTTCTAGTGATTTTTTAATTTTATCTTTAACTTAATTTAGGTGTAGTAAAGAGAACATATTCTGAATGGTTTCAATCATTTCAGATTCTTATAGTTCAAAATATGATTTATTTTGATAAATGTTTTCTGTGTACTTGAAAAGAACATGAAATCTTATTGCAAAAAAATGTCTCTTGCTTTTATTGTTTTTTTCTGGATGTTCTCTCTTTTGTTGAGAATTAAAATCACCCATTATAATTGCGAATTTTCACTTATTTTATTAGTTATTTATTATTATTTTATTAGGCTATTTTTGTATTTTAGAATAATTTTTATCTTCTTAGTGCGCTCAGCCTTTATAATTATGCAGTGTTAGTTTTCATGCTAACTAATGTTTCTTGCTTTAAAATCTATTTAGACAAATAGTACAGTTATATGAGGATTATTGTCATTAGTTTTTGCATACTAGATCTGTATTTTTCTCATTATTTTACTTTCAATTTTTCTATATCCTTTTATTTAAAGTGTGTCTCTTGTAAGAAACATATATATTTTTTTAATCCAATCTGACAATTTATGTCTTCTAATTGGAATACTTAGTTCATTTGCATTCATGTAATTACTGACACGTTTGCATTCAAATCTACAATGTTGTTATTTTCTATTTATCATTATGCTTCTCTAATTGTTCCTCTACTTTCTTGCTGTTTCAATTATCTACTGCAGTACAGGTAATTCTCCTACAAAACAATATTTTAAAGCAAGAACCTTTATATTTTTCCTTGTAATTTTCAAGGCCTGTGGACTAGGTATAGTAGGTGGTTCTTCTGTTCTTTGTGGTATCAACTGGAGCTTTGGGGCCAGTCATGTGAGGGCTTGTCTGGCCTGGAATATCTATGATGGTTCACACTCACATGGCTGACAGTTGATTTTCAGTGTCACCTGGGAACACAGCTGGGGCTTTTAAGTGGAACACTGTAGTTTTCTACAAATGGCTTATCCACATGGCTGGAGCTTATTGCAATATTGTCGCTAGGTTCTAGGGAAGGACATCAGAGTTGTGATTGATCCAAGAGGAATGGCAATGAAAGATGACAATCATCTTAAGGTCTGGGCTCAGATTTTTTTCTTTTTTCTTTTGTCTTTTCTTTTCCTTTGTTTTTTTTTTTTTTCTTTTTTATTTTTTTTGAGACGGAGTCTCAATCTGTAGCCCAAGCTGGAGTGCAGTGGTGTGCGATCTCAGCTCACTGCAGCCTCCACCTCCCAGGCTCAAGCAATTCTCCTCCCTCAGCCTCCCAAGTAGCTAGGACTACAGGTGTGTGCCAACACTCCCAGCTAATTTTTGTATTTTAGTGGAGATGTGGTTACACCATGTTGCCCAGGGTGGTCTCGAACACAAGACCTCAAGTGATCCACCCACCTCGGCTTCCCAAAGTGCTGGGATTATAGGCATCAGTCACTGCACCTGCAAGAATTTTCAACCTGTGGTCTCTAATATATTCTATTGGTGAAAGCAATTTCAGAGATAGCTTCAATTCATGGAGAAGGGAAATAACCTCCATCTCTTGGTTTTGAGGAACAGAGAAGGGAGGAATTGCTCAGAGTCATTTTTGGAAATTACCTATAACATCTGTCTTCTTTTTTCTTTTATTTATATCATTATCTCTATGTATTACCAAGATAGTTATGTGTTATTTTATTAGTCTTTTAAGAATAATACATTCTTGGATGGCAGTTATTTTTTAGCCTATTAAAGATATTATTACTTCGTCGCCTGACTTTTATTATTTATGGGGAAGAATTAGCTCTTGAGTTTTTCTTGTGCTTTAAAGGTAATATTTTTCTTTAATCTCTGGCTGCTTTTAAGATGTTATTCTATTGTTTAGTTGTCAGAGTTTTATTGTGATTAGGCTAGTTTTTGTTTTCATTTGTTTTGTTTAAACTGCTATTTACCTAACTTAAAATTTATAGTGCTTCTCTTATCTGTGACTTGATTTCATTTTTCAGTTTTGAAAAATCACCAGAAATTATCTCTTGAAAATTGAATTTCTGCTTCATTTTCTCATTCCTCTCTTTTTGAGCGACAGAATTTCCATGTATTCTTTTGACTATATCCTGGATTAATGCAGATTAATGGTTTATTCCAATTCATTTATTTTGATTTTATCTGTTTCTATTCAGCTACTAAATTCATTTATTGAGTTTTAAATTTCAGTCTAAGTTCCAGAGTTTCTATTTAATAATTTTTTCATAATTTTATATACTCTGTTGAATTTCTCCACTTTATCTTTAATTCACGTTAAACATATTGAACATTATTTTGAATTCATTATGTGATAAATTTATTTTTTGCATATGCTATGATTGTTGATTCTACTGCCTATTTTCTGGATTTTCTTTTGGCCAAATCTTTTGATTTAGAAAAGTGTTGCAACAACTTGAGGCTTTCTCCGTTTTATTTTATTTGAAAGAATCGGATAGAAATGACAGAATAGCAGAGACAAAATAGACTGAAAAAATTATCAGCAGAGTCTAAGGGATTTTGGGGATTGTATCTAAAGATTTGGCATGTATGTTATTGGATTCCCCAAAGACTAGGAGAGAGTAGGGATGAAAGCATATTCAAAGAAATAATCGTTTATCTTAACATCAGTTCCGATGGGAAAGCCTGGAGTTGTTATCAATGCGCCTAATTTTTATTTGGCTTTGAGCTTTATTTTTTTTAATGATCCTCCCTACCGCAGTTCTGTGTGTAGGTTGAGTTTGCTGAACTTCTGTGTATCTGTCTCATAGTTTTGAGATGGACAAATATTTAAAACAGGAATACAACACCAAACACCAGCCTTGCCCTCTGGAATTATTTTGCTCTTTGATTCAAATTCTAAAACTCTCCTTTCTTTGGAAATACCTGTTTCCTTGATAGTATTCGGAAATATTTGTAATCATTTCCTCAGCTTTTTAAATTGTTTTTCATGGAAGAATTGATCTGAAACACTCTATTCTCATTGTAGCAAGTGTGGTTTTCCCAGTGTGCTCTACTCCTGTGAATTTTATCTAAATTATTTTTCCCTTTGCTTTAAGTGACATTTAACTTACTGTACTATTACAATGCCAAGAGTTGGAAGATGAGAAAAGTTTGTATTCATTATTTTATCTGCTTTTTAGAAAGGGAATGGACCTCTCTCTCTTTTTTTAAGTGTTTTTAAAAATTGGTCTTTTCTTTCCAGTATGTGACCTCAGCCAGAACTTAAAAATAGAAGAAAAATTATCATTTATGATCCTACTAAAACTGCAATGATAAGCAATTCCCTATTTGTTGTTCGTTCCCACATGGTTTCTTCTCCATTTCTTTGATTACTCTTTAATATGTATAAAGTAGAGGATGGCAGGTTTGATATAATGCCTTTGATGTGAAAAATATTTTCCTCAAACTAGCCTAAAGCTATTAAAAATGTAGATATATGTATGTTTTGTACCTACCTTCTATACTCTTTCTTTCCAGAAAATAAGAGCACTCTTACTTTAGAAAATAAGAAATATCTAGTAATTTATATCTTTCTCATTATTATTAAATAATTATAAATATTTTAAAGCAAGACTATCCTCAATAGTAATGATTGTCTTTAAGACAGAATAACCAAACACAAAATAACAAGAAAATTAACACATAAGTATAATGATACCATTTAGTCTTTATGATACGCAATGTTAATCCCTTTATATACATTATCTAAAATAACTTGCTGAACTTATTTCAGTATTAAAAATCAGAAATCAGGGTTAGGAATCTGCAAAAGGTTACATAAATAGCAGTAGACACAAAAATACAACTTAAATTTGACTCTGAGAGTTCTCCTTAAGCACTGTATTAGTCAGGGGTCTTCAGAGAGACAGAACCAATAGCATGGATAGACAGATAGATAGATAGATAGATAGATAGATAGATAGATAGATAGATAGATAGATGTATAGATAGAGAGGGGATTTATTAGGGGAATTAATCATGTGATTATGGAGACTGAGAAGTTCCACTACAGGCCATCTGCAAGCCAGAGATCCTGGGACACCGGTAGCATGGCTCGGTTTAAGGCCAAATGCCTGAGAACCTGGCAGGGCACTGGTATAAGTCCTGGAGTCCAAAGGCCAGAGAGCCTAGAGTTCTGATGTTCAATGGTAGGAGAAGAGTGTACCCAAGCTCCAGGAGACAGAGAGAGCACAGTTCACCTTTCCTCCTTTTTGCTGCTTCTGGGTCTCCAGCCATTGAATGGTACCCACCCACATTGAGGGTAGATGGTCCCTACTTAGTCCACTCATACTTACACAAAATCTCTTCTGGAAGTGCCCTCACAGACACACCCCAAAATAATGCTTTACCAGGTCTCTGGATATTTCTTAATCTAGTCAGATTGACACCTAAAATTAACCATCACAAGCACTTTTTTTTTAACTTTCCCACAATTAAACACCATTATTTGAAAGCAAATGGCTAACAGTGAAGGTATTCTGAAGATCAGTGTTTGAAGATCAACACTGAGTGTCGAGTGAGAGAGAGTAGGAAGAACTAAGGAAAGAAATAAAAGTGTTTAGATGCTGGGAGCAGCATGTATGCAGAGTGGCTATGGTCTCTAATGAGTCACCTATTCTACCCCTACATTATGCTTTATCTGCTGTATAAAAATAATTACATATTTTGACTTAAAGAACTCTGAGTTCATCGTAACTGATACTTTCTTAAGATTGATGAGCTGGTATATCACAGCAATAGAACTGATCATATTGTTTATGAAATGCAGTGTGCTGGAGGAATCAAAGAGGGTCATTTTACCTCAGACCTAGAATTATTCTGAATAGTAAAAACCATTCAAGATAAATCTTCATGTGTGAAATATTATCAGTGTATGACCCTGCAAATAATAAATAGATACACAGCATTAAAAGAAATGAAGTTAACAGAAGAATATAACAAAGGTGCGAAATCTTTTGCAGCTTGTAAGTACATAAAACAAATAGGCATTTGATTATTTTTAATATATTATACATATATATATACATTTGTTTTGAATAGTCAAGGGATTCAGTAACACAAATTATAAACTAAAGTATAAAAATTATATCAGGAATTTTAAAGGCAATTTAATATAGAAAAACTATATAAATGTGTGTATGTACACCTATACATTTATAAATATATATTTCCATACTTCTATATAGGCATACATTTATATGTGTACATAATAATTAAGCACTATTTATATACATATATAATTTAATTTAATGTACTCAATAAATCTTGTTTTGCTACTCTATTTGGCCCTATTTGCTATATATACTATTTTCAGACTTTGCCTTATATGATATAACTATCCTCTTTAATGTTACTGATGGAAATTTATAGCGAATTCTCATAAATTCTGTTTGTTATTTATCTTCTCAATATCAGTGAATTTTTCAAGCTAAGGCACCACAAAAAGTGAACCAGTGTATGTGCATTGAATGTTTTCTCATACAGCTTCCTGAATAAATAGTCACCAAAAAACGTTATAAAAACAATCTGCCAAGCAAGGAACACTGTGCTTATTGCTTTTGGTTAATGATTTGTAACTGCTATTTGCTTAAAAGTATAAGTTATGTCTCTTCATAATATTAAAAAAGAAAAAGAACAGTAAGGTGGGAGTTAAGAAAGAGGAGAGAAAGAGAATGAGAAAATACTTAGATGATTCAGAGATTTCTTGAGATTTTATTTGGTGACTCTAATGACTAATGATGTTGAACTTCTTTTGTACATCACTTATCTTCTGTATGTCATCTTTAATGAAATGTCTATTCAGATGTTTTGCCCATTTTTTATGAGTTTCAAAAGTTTATATTTTCCTGGCATAAATCCAGGAAATTTGTAATTTCCAAATATATATATCTCAGTCTGTGGCTTGCCTTTTCATTCTATTAAGAGTGTCTTTGGCAAAGCACAATTTTTGATTTTGCTAAACTCGAATATATCAATATTTTTCTTTTCAGATTTGTGTTGTTTGTGTCATAGTTAAAAACTCTTGCTTAATCTAAGGTCACACAGGGTTTCTCCTATATTTTCTTCTATAAATATATCTCGTATTTTTATACTTTCTATTAGAGTCTATGACCCACTTTGAGTTTTGCGTTTTCTTTCCTTTAAGCTGTGAGGTATGTGTCAAGGTTCGTGTGATTTTACATGTGGACATCCATTTATTTCATTACCATTTCTTGAAGACTCTTCATTCTCTATTGAGCTGCCTTTGTACCTTTGTTAAAAGTCATTTACTGTATTTGTGTAGGCACACTCTGTTGACTACTATAGCTTTTTTGAAAATTATTTTGGCTCTTCTAGATCCTTTTATCTCCATATATGCTTAAAATTAACTTGATGATATCTGAAAGAAACCCTTCTGGGATTTTGACTGATTCATTTGGATTAAATTGTGGAGAATTGACATTTTAATAGTATTGATTGATCCAATCTCTATACGTAGAGTACCTCTTCATTTATTTGGCTCTTCTTTGATTTCATTCATCAGGACTTTTTTATTCTTTTCTTTTTTTTTTTTTTTAAGTTTACAGCATCCCAACCGAGTATGGATTTTTATTGAGATAAGTAGAAATTCACAGGCAGTAGTAAGAAGTAACACAAAGAGCTCCCATATACGTAGTTTCCCCAGTGGCACCATTTTGTAAAACTATAGTACAAAGTCACAATCAAAATATTAAGGGTAATAAAATCCACAGTTCTTATTCACACCATCCCAGTTTTACTATTTATTTATTTATTTATTTGTGTGTGTCTGTAGATTTGGTTCTGTAGTTGATCACTTGTGTATGTTTGTACAACCACCATTTTGATGAAGATTCTGAAAAGTTGCATCATCACAAGGATCTCTTGTGTTACTCTTTTATAACTACATCCCCTTTGGTGCTCCCACCCCTGTCCCTCACCCCAGCAACCACTCAGCTGTTCTCTATTTTAAAAATAATGCCATTTCAAAATGCCATATAGATGGAATCATAGTTTGTATACCACTGGGGTTTTAAAAATCATTCAGCATAATTTTCTGCAGTTTCATCCAAGTGTTACACATATTAGTCATATATTTATTTTTTATTACTGACATTTCATGGTATGTATGTACCACGGTTTGTTTAACCATTTACCCAATGAAGGATATTGGTCCATTCTCAGTTATTGGCTCTCACAAATTAATCTAGTATGAACATTTATTTACAAACTTTTTGAGCATAATTTTCTTTTGAAAATGCCAAAGAGTATAATTTCTGGTTATATGGAAGTTGCTTGTTTAGTTTATTAAGAAACTGTCCATTGTCAACTTTTAGTTAACTTATTTTTTGTATAAGGTATAAATAAGGTCTAGATTGATGTTCTTTTTTCTTTCTTTCTTATTTTTTGCATAGGTGTCTCATTGCTCCAGCTCTAGCCCCTATTGTTGAAAAGGCTCTTCTTCCTCTAATGAATTGAATTTCTTCTGCAAATTTGTGAAAAATCAGAGGAGCTTATTTGTGTACGTCTATTTTTAAGTACTCTATTCTGTTCCATTGATCTATATATCTATCTATGCATCTATCACCAGTCTTAGCTACTGTCACTGTATAGTAAGGCTTAATATTGAATAGTGTCATATACTTTATTTTTCTTTGTCAAGGCTGTTTCAGCAATGCTAGATACTATGATAAGCTTATCTATTTTACAATAAACCAGATGAGATCTTGATAGAAATAGTATTAAGCTTATAGATCACTTTGAGAAAAAATGACATCTGTACTTTGTTGAGTCTTCCAATATATGAACACAGTATGTCTCTTCATTTATTAAATCTTATTTGATTTATTTCATCTATATTTGTTAACATTCAGCATATAGAGTTTGTACAAACCTTTTTAAGTGTATACTTGAGATATTTCATTTATTTTGAAATATTATGAATGGCATTTAAAAAATTGTTTTTATATAATCATTTACACAAAATGCAATTAATGTTTGTTTGTGGCTTTTGTAATCTGCAGTCCTGATGAACTCACTTATTGGTTCTATTAGGTTTTTGTAGATGCATTCGGATTTTCTATATAGCAACCATGTTTGTTTCCAATCTTTATGCCTTTCTAATTATTTTTCTTGTCTTATTGCAGTGACTATAATCACTTTATGTTGTATAAGTACTATTTTGAATAATAGTGGTGAGAGCAAACATCCTTACATTGTTCTTGATTTGGGGGGACACACTCAATCTTTCACCATTAATTATGTTAATAGCTGTAGCTTTTCAAGATGTTACTTATCAAGTTGAAATAATTCCCTACTAATTCTAACTTAGAGAATTTTTGCTCAGAATGGATGTTGGATTTTTAAAAATGCTTTTCATGTATCAATTGATATTTTCATACATTTCTTTTCTAAACATTTGATATGGTGATTATACTGACTGATTTTTGAATTTTGAATCAGCCTGGCATCCTTGCAATAAACTATACTTTGTTCAGGGTTTAGAATTCCTTTTGTACATTGCTTGATTTGACTTTCCATTATTTTTGAGGATATTTACTTCTGTGTTTATGAGATATATTGTTCTATATTTTTTCTTAATTTTATTTTTTATGGTACTCTCTATGGTTTTAGAATCATGACAATACTGATCTCCTAAAATGAATTGGGAACTGTTCCTTTTCTTACATGTTTTGAAAAAGATTTACGTTTACCCAGTGAAGGATACCTAGTCTGTTCTACGGAACTAAATGTACATACACATACAAATGAGTAGTAGCTAAACTGTGAAAATGTGAATAAGATCTGTTGATTTTACTGCTGTCAATAATCTTGTTGTGACTTTGTACTACAGTATGTATATGAGATATGTATATGGGAGCTCTCTGTATTATTTCTTTCAGGGAATTGGTGTTAATACTGTTTTAAAAGTTTTTACACTTCTACACTGATAAAACAGGAAACTCTGGATTTCCTTTTAGAGTATTCTAATTAAAATTTAATTCTTTTAATGATTAGAGAACCAACTGGATTAGCTATTCCATCTTGATTGAGTTTTAGTAGTTTGTGGTTTTGAGTAATCAGTTAACTCCTAACTTAACACATAAGTATGTAAACATAAAGTTATCTATAGTATTCTCTTGACACCCTTTTAATAGCTGGAGTCAATTTGAAGGAATGTACTTTTAAGTGATGTACTATTGTATTTGTGTGTGCATGTATTTTATTACAATTTCTTTCTTTTGATTGGTATATTTAGACTATTTCCATTTAAGGTAATTATTGAAATGTCAGCACTGAAGTATCTTATATTATTTGCTGGCTGTTGGGTTCCTCTATTTCTAGCTCCTTTGTTTCTCTTGATTTATTTATAGTGTCTTTGAGTTTATCTCTTCATATAGTTTTAGTGGTACTTACTCCGGATATTATAATTAAAGTTGTGACACATCACAAACTGATAATATCAACTAATGAAAACCTCACATCCATTTAGGTCCCTTTTGGTTCAATTTACATCTCTAATCCCATTTAATATACCTTTCCCACTTTCAAATATTATTGTCTTGAGTATTAGATGGTGGTATAATTTTTGTTTCAATCATCAAACGTGATTTAAAATATTACGGGAAAAATAATCTATTTTATACACTCACATTTCTGCTTTTACCATTGTTTTTCTTTTCTGATGTTCTAAGAGTTTTTCTCTTGCCGTGTCCTGTCTTTATGAGGAACTTCCTTGAGCTAATCCTTAAAAGTAGGTTTGCTAGCTATACATATTTTTTTCTTCATATGTGAATGTCTATTTTACTTTTATTCATAAAGGAGAGTTTTTGAAGATGTAGAATTCATAATTGATAGGGGTTTTTAGCTCTTGAAAAATGTAGTGCCTCTTGTTCTGAACTCCCTGATTTTGGATAGGCAAACCACTGTCATTTGATTTAGCAGTCCTCTCTAGGTAATGCATTGTTTCTCCCTGGATACTGTCAAGATTTTTAATTTGTATTTGGTTTTCACAGGTTTATGTGGTTTGGCATGGTTTTCTTAGAATTTATGTCATTTGAAATTCTGCTTCTTGAATTTGTAGGTTTGCGTCTTTGGTCGAATTTGGGAATTTTTCAACTATTATTTCTTTGAATATGCTTTCATCCCTACTCTCTCCTTGTCTTTGGGGAATCCGATAATATACATGCCAAATTGTTAGATACAATCCCTCAAATCCCTTAGACTCTGGTAATAATTTTTTCAGTCTATTTGTTTCTGCTATCTGGGTCTTTCATATAACTTCTATCTATTTCTTTGCTGACATTTACTTTTTTATACTTTGAAGAAAATTTGTAATTGATTGTTGCAGTTTTTTTTTTTTTCATTTTATCAGGCATGACTTTTTAGATTTAGCATGCAGGTACAGGCGTACATTTGTGTCTGTGGTTCTGATAGAATTTTAATTTTTAGGGCCATTTCAGTGACATTGTGGCCTACTTTGTTTTACTGAGGCTCCTACTGGTCCCTGCTTGTGCTGCCTGACTTGGCAAAATGAGTTTCTATAGGATGGGCTGTCTGGTGTCTCTACGACAGGCAGAAGAGTCTCAACCTGACTGGAACGATGAGGTTCTTGTTTTAGCACGTTTCTATGTGGTGTTCCTTCACCACCCTGACAGCTTTGATCAGGGCAGGGGCTTCTTAGGCTCACAAAGACACAAAGAAGTTTCCCTTGTTGTCCTGCTTGTGATCTCTGTGTGATCTCTTTGCCAATGTCCTTCAGTCTCTCCAGTGTCTCTAGGCAAGGGAGGGAGTCTCAGGCTCATGTGGACAAAAAGACTTTCTGGGCCAAGTTGCCTATTGTGTCCGGGTCCTCTTTGCTGGTGCTATCCAGCCACCAGTGTCTCCTGGAGAGCCAGGGGAGTCACAAACCAATGGAACCAAAGAGACTGCCTGGGCCGGTGGTTAATTTTGGTGAAAGGCATATTATCTGTGTCTAGATTCACTTTTCTTAATGAGGAAGTCCAGTTGTTCCAAAAGCATCTGTTGAAATAACTATCATTTGTCCTTTGAAATGCCTTTACCCTTTGTCAGTAATTAGATGGGTTTGTATGGGTTGATGTCTGGAGTATGTATTGTGTTCTGTTCCATTGGTCTATATGTCTATTTTTTTCACTGCCAATACTATACTTTTTTATTTTCTTATTTGTGCCACCATTATATTTAACCTTTTCTTCTTTCTCATAATGTGTAAGGTGAAATCTTATATTATTTACTTCAGATCCTTCTTCTTTAATATAATAACTATATTATGTTTCTTTAAGAATTGCTTTAGATGCATCCCACACATTTTGATGCTGTATTTTCACCTTCATTTTGATAAAAATATTTTTAAGCCTTCCTTGAGACACCCTTTCTGATCCATGAGATTTTTAAATGTGTATGTAGCTTAGATTCCCAATAATTGGGGATTTTCCAGATATTTTTCGGCTACTTATTTCTAGTTCTATTATAGTCTCACAACATATTATAGTCACAAAACATACTTTGTGGCTATAATAGAACTAGAAATAAGTAGCCAAAAAATATCTACTTTAAAAAATATTGGCAGGCATGGTGATTCATGCCTATAATCCCAGCACTTTGGGAGGCCAAGGTGGGAGGATCACTTGAGGCCAGGAGTTTGAGACCAGCCTAGGCAACATAGCGAGACCCCATATGTACCAAAAAAAAAAAAAAAAGAAAAAAGAAAAAAATTAGCCAGGTATATTCGTGTGCACCTGGGTGATTGCTTGAGCCCTGGAGTTCAAGGTTACAGTGAGCTCTGATTGTACCACTACATTCTGCCTGGGTAACAGGAGACTTTGTCTCTGGGAAAAAAAAAATTGCTAAGGCTTTTTTAAAAAATAGCCACAATATGTTCTATTTTAGTGAATCTTTCACATGCGTTTGAGAAAAATGTTTTTCCTGCTTTTATTGGGTAGAGTCTTCCGTAAATATCAGTTGGTTCAAGTAAGTTGAGTCTTTTCAGAACTTCTGTATTCTTATTTATCTTCTAAATATTTATTATGTTAATTAACAAGAGAAGATGATGAATATTCTATTTATTTATTGGGGTACATATTTTTTTATCTTTTTTTTTTTTTGAGACAGTGTCTTGGTCTGTCACCCAGGCTGGAGTGCAGTGGCACAATCTTGGCTCAGCAGGCAATTCTCCTGTCTCAGCCTCCCAAGTAGCTGAAATTACAGGTGTGCACCACCATGCCTGGCTAATTTTTGTATTTTTTGTAGAGACAGGGTTTCACCATGTTGGCCAGGCTGGTCTTGAACTCTTGACCTCAGGTGATCTGCCTGCCTCAGCTTCCCAAAGTGCTGGGATTACAGGCATGAGCCATGGTGCCCAGCCTGGAGTTTGCATCTTATCTCTTCACCAGTACTGCTGTCTTAGGGGAAAATTGCTTCTATTTTATCTTGTATCCTTAAGTCTCAGCCAGTGTCTTCTACATTGGCACAGAGTACATTTTTATTCAATGCACTTTGTATGAAAAGTATCTTAACTTATGACCACAGAGATCCTGACTGACAAAGAAGCAGTTTTATCCAACGACATTATGATTTTATGCAAGCATGTGAAATGGATTCGACAAAGTGGTAAATTAGAAATTTACCTCAAACATTTTTTAGAAATATAATAAAATCAAGTTTCATCATACAATATATTTTGCAACCCATAGTAACCATACGACCATTTTTTAATTACTTAAGCCTCTCCAGAAAACTCAGAGGACTATCCAAATTTTCATCTGAAATGAAAGAATAAATACCTCACTAAATGCATTTGTATTTTAAGGAGGCAATGTAATACATATTTTTTTCTCTACAATTACACTACCTCCATCTTGCTTATCCAAATTACACAAATATATTTAAATGCATATTTATTTTTGTCCTTTAACTTAGTGGATGTACTGAATTGTATAGTATAAAATAGAAAGCAAATGTAGAATATTAGCTCTGATTAGAATGTGCTCATCAATTTGTCCATCCCCTTCCATTGGGCTGTATAGAAAAACATTATAATTACAAAATCTATGTTTCAGTAGAGTAGTTACCTAACGATTGTATTAATAGTAACTGGTTCTCAACAGCTAATGCAGCAAATGTCCTCTCTTTCATGTTGCCACTGGGAGTTTATATCTGGATTTTAGGCATTTGAATGCTATAAGAAATCACATTTGGTAGTACCTGAATCAGCAGCGGGCTTTAACATAACCACACGTAAAATTGCTTTAATTTGCCATCTTACATATTAACAGAGGTCAAACCAGCTGGTAATATTTCACAGAACAGTATATTTTGCAGTCAACTCATTATTAGAAGTGTCTCATTTAAGATTCTTACAGTAGCTTGGCTTTTTTCTAGGCTGTTACTCTTTGCTGTTTCACCGTCTTTAATTATTTCTCCCCCTGCATGTATTGAAATGGAATGCCTCAAGGACACCGTGATGGCAACACTGAGCGACACTGTTTTCTACATCTTGGGGAGGATGTTGTTAGACCACTAGGCAAAATAGAAAGGTGGATTTAATTTGCCTCAAATAAATATATTAAAGTTAAATGAATCAAAGATGCAAATATGTATTAACATCCAGCTAAGAATGCTTAGGAATTGTTTTACTTCTAAGTGTTCAATCCCATCACCTCTACAGAAAGAAGTGTGGCAATCTCTTCTCCAGCAGAGCATGTGTCCTGTCAAAACATTGTTACTTTGGATACAAGGTCAGAATGTAAAACACATGTCAAGGCCATTGCTTCCTGCTCCTCTGTGTAGTGTAGCAAGTTGTAAGCATAATATTTTCCTGATTCAACTTCCTTAGACAAAATAAGTACTCCTTGGTTTCTATGATTTAAGCAAAGGGAAAATAAGAAAGAAAAATATTGCTTTGAAGGGAAGCTTTTTAAAAAAGTAATTAAATAAAATGTTTCCTTATAAATTTCAATGTGCCATTGATTTTTTTATGCTAGAGACCCAAAAATATTTCCATTAACTGAATATTTACTACGTTTGGAAATTAAATCATTTTTCTGCAAGCATTATATGCACAGGCTTAAAGATCAAGTCCTTTTTCTAAAAACTGCATTAGATAATTTAAATTACCAATTCTGCAACAACCAAAAATCATGCAGTTAGTAACACTATTTAGACTTATAAGTAATCTGTATGATAAATCTAACCAATTAACATTTCCGTTATCAGTAGTGATTTTCCAAGATTAATACCAGTATTTGCTCATCTTTTCAAGCTCTCTTATTGAAGTAAGACATTTATTTCTGTAATATGATTTTTTTTGCAATGATATAAACTGAAGTTTGAGTAAACCTCCTAGATTATATTTGAGAGACGTGTATTTGAAAGAAGCCTTCATATGTAAATTATTTGGGATTTATTGTTCTGAATAGCAAGAAAATCATGTTTTCTATGACTCATACAATTGTGCCTCCATATTCAGGGGCTTTGCATTTGTGGATTCAACCAATCACAGACTAAAAATATTTTTAAATAAATTGCACTTGTACTGAACATGTACAGGCATTTTCTTGTCATTATTCCCTGAACAATTCAGTATAACAACTATATATTTAGCATTAAATTTTATAGGTAATCAAGATAATTTAGAGCATATGGGAGGATGTGTGTAGGTTTTATGCAGATGCTGTCATTTTGTATCAATGACTTGGATATTCACAGATTTTGGTATCCAAGTGGCATACTGGAACCAATTTTCCATGGATACCAAGGGATGACTGCAATTATATTTCTTCAAGTATGTGAACACATTCTATTTTTTGATTTTTAATTCAAATTGATTATTGCAAATCAATTGCCTACATATACATCACTAGGTAACTACAAATGGGATGGGGTTTATCTTTCATATCAGGGAATATATCTATCATTAATAAATATTTTGTTACATAATTCATTGGCAGACTTTATTAGCTAACTACTGTGTCAAGGTACCAGGATATTGAGAACCAAATTAATTTTACATTTAATTATTGTAATCTAACATCTATTGATTTTCATCATTCACTCATTCATTATGAAATTATTTTGCAAATAAATAAATTAATGAACCATTTTCCTTCTCAAGAACTTCCATATCCTTCAATATTGATATTAGAGAAAAACTAAATGAAAATAGATAATGCTGAACAGTATGTGACCTGAAGCTAAATGATCTAGTGCTGAATTTGAAGGTCTTAACAGCAAATTTTCAATTTACAAAGATTAGAGGGAGCTTAAAATATTTTTGAAAATCATAGATTTATTCCATAAAGATAATTGAACATAAAATTTAGAAGAGGGGAAAAAGTCTATGAAGTAAAATCACCATGTAATAAAATAGACAACAAAACAGGAAAAAATGTACAAACTAGATGTGACACAAAGATGTTATGGTAAATAGGCAGAACATAATATGGGTATTAAACACGTATTTACAAATAATGAAATAGCTATAACCATTAAATATTAGAAATACATTTGCCCTTACTATTAATAAAAGAGTGGACATTAAAATCACAATAATAAACCATTTTACCTGTGAGATTGGAAAGTATCAACTGAAATGTCAGTACCCATTTAGGAAATGGAGAATGAGGGAGTGAACAATCTGTATAATTTAGATTGTAAATTAGAAAAACTTTATGTCATATAAATTTATCATATCTTATCAAAAGCTTTTAAATTGCCTTTATTGTCTACCCAAATGCCCATGAGTGATAGACTGGATAAATAAAATGTGGACATATACATCATGGAATATTATGCAACCATAAAAAGGAATGAGATCATGTCCTTTGCAGGGACATGGATGGAGCTGGAAGCCGTTATCCTCTGCACACTAATGCAGGAACATAAAACCAAACACTGCATGTTGAATAATGAGAACACATGGACACAGGGAGGGGAAAAACACACACTGGGGCATGTTAGGGGGTGGGATTTGGGGAGGGAGAGCATTAGGAAAAATAGCTAATACGTGCTGAGCTTAATACCTAGGTGATGGATTGATAGGTGCAGCAAACCACCATGGCACACATTTACCTAGCTAACAAACCTGCACATCCTGAACATGTACCCTGGAACTTAAAATAAAAGTAAAAATAAATAAAAATTAAAAAGTTTAATAAATAAAGATGGAGGAAAATATGAAGAAAGCTGAATACAGAGCTAACTTACTAGGGAAAGTAGGATAAAGAGTTATTGATGATAGTTGAAATTTATTTTTAAATGAATGTTTTATAACTTGGTATTCGTGTAGGTTGAAAGATTGTGCTATAGTGTATATTTTCTTAAACTATATAAAACATTGCAGTAAATATTAACATTAAATAATTCCAGCAGATAATTTTAATTAGTTCTTAATTAACCAGGAAATTACAATTGATTAAAGCTACGCTAAAGATGCCTAGGCACTTACAACCACTGATAAGCATCATTATTAAATAAAATAAAATAAAATAAAATAAAATGCCTTCATTTACCTCCAGTTTTCATTGTTTGTGATATCACTTTTGTAATCAGAAAATGCTATATAACAATGGTCATGTATTTTTATTAAATAGATAAACAATGAGATATCACTTGTAAAATAAGTTATTTCTCTGCTATGCTGTTAGAACCAGAAGTTTATACTAAAGGATTTCTTCTCTCTCTTTCTATTCTCGACTATGATCACAGCTGTCACTAGCATTAACATTGTGTATATCATCACTTTCCTGCTTTAAAAAAATAGATAATGGAAACAATAAATGATCAATTATGGCTTATTATTGTTTGAATGACAAATTAGTTTTCTCCTGGTTATGAGATGGGAATAATACACACACACATGCACATGCATAGTCATTAACATAATATATATGGCCTTTATAATCTTTTAATACAAATTGCCTCTCAAATTTCTGTTACATGCTCAGTGTGGCAGGGACAGCTATTGGTTATGTAATATTCATTTTCTCTTTCTTTTATAATAGTAAAGTCCTAACATTACCTGGACATATGGTCATCCAGAATAAAAATTGAACTTCCCTGATGGCTTTCCTCTGAAGGTTCCAGGTTGGATTTACATTCCAACTAGACCTACTGCCATAAGTTTTGTAAGACACAAGGGAGCAGAGCTTTGCATCTGTTTCTTGTATCATGATTGGTTTGAGCTTTAAGGTTTATCTATGGCCATAGAACCGAATTCTTGTTAACTAGTCAGCAGCATTATAAGCATAAAAGAGTAAAAATCAAGGTAACCCCGTCCTTCCTTTTTATTTGAGTCTAATAGGCCTTAAATAGATCTGGAGTCAAAATCTTGGTTTCAGTGAGGCTTCCAGATTCCCTACTATCTTAGCCAGCTTGGGTGGCTATAACAGAATAGCAGAGACTAGGTGGTTAATAAAACACACATTTTTTCTCATAGTGCTGGAGGCCAGGAAATCCAAGATCAAGGCAGATTCTATGTCTGGTGAGGGTGCTTTTCTTGATTTGCTGACAGTCATCTTCTCGTCTCTTCACATTTTCTGTGATTTGAGTGATGGTGTCCCCTCAGAAATTCATGTTGAAACCTAATCTTCATTGCAACTAGGTGCACCTTTGGGAGGTGACTACTTCATGAGGGCTCTACTCCCATGAATGGAATTAGAGCCCTTATATAACGGCTGACGTTTAAGGGGAGGTCTTCCTTGCCTTTCCATCTCTTTCACTGTATGAGGACACAGGATATCTTCTCTCCATAAGATGTAGCAACAAGATGCCATCTTGGGAGCATGAAGCAACACTCACCAGACACCAATCCTGTCACCTTCTTGACCTTGTACTTTCTAGCCTCCAGAAACATGAGAAATAGATTTGTTTTATTTATACATTACCCATTCCCAAATATTTTGTCATAGCAGCACAAAGGTACTAACACAGCTTGGCTAGGAAAAGGAAAAAGAGGAGACATAAAAACAGAGAGAGAGAGAAGCGAGATAAAAGGAAAATTAAGCTATCCTATCTCTTCCTTATAAGAGCATTAATTTCATCATAAAGTCTCCACAATAATGATGTAATTATAGTCTTGCATCACATGATGACATTTCAGTTTACAAAAGACCACAGACATAATTGTCCCATAAGATTTTAATCCCATATTTTTACTGTCCTTTTCTATGTCTAGATATGTTTATATATACAAATTATATATAGTGTTGCAAAATAATTACATTGTGTTGCAGTCACTGACAGAATTCAGTACAGTAACATAATGTACAGGTTTGTAGCCTAGGCGCAATAGGCTACATCATATGTAGGCTTTACCAGCTAGGTTTGTGGAGGTGCACCATGATGTTTACCTAATTACAAAATCACCTAACAATGCATTTCTCAGAACATATCCCCATTATTATTAGATTCTTGACTATTTTATTCAATCAGCAATTAGAGATATAAAAGTAAATCGTTCTTAACTTACCAAAGTATAATTGAAATAAGAACTCCTATTTCTTTCCGTGTAATGAAAAGACTATAAATTATTTTAAGTACTAGTACCTCCTTCTTAAATTACTTGCTATTTGTTTGCTATGTATTTTGATTCTATATATTTCTAAATCTCACAAGACATTATTATTGTCATTGTTCTTGCTGTTGTTGGATTGTTGTTTTATGTAGTCAGTATCTGTAAAGTCACGCTTTTTTTCCCCCTGAAATTGCCTTTACTTCACCTTTCCTCTTGCAAGATATTTATGACAGCTACAGAATTCATGGTTGACGATGGTTTGTTTTTACTACTTCACGATACCACTTCACTGTCTTTAGGGTTGTTTTGTTTTTTTTTTTTTGGAGATGGAGTTTTGCTCTTGTTGCATAGACTGGAGTGCAATGGCGTGATCTCGGCTTACCCCAACCTCCACCTCCTGGGTTCAAGCTATTCTTCTGCCTCAGCCTTCCGAGAAGCTGGGATTACAGGTATGCACCACCACTCCCAGCTAATTTTTTTTTTGTATTTTTAATAGAGACAGAGTTTGTCCATGTTGGTCAGTCTACCTTTTAATTTTTATTTACCTGCTATTTTAAATCTCTTCTTACGTTAGACTGTATTGTCTCACCTTCAACTGTAACTTTTTAAATTACACCAGGGTTTGTAAATGTCCTAGGTTAGTGGTAATCAATTTTTTTAAAACAAGCATTTTAAAAACAATATTATCTTGAAACAAATTAAATAGATAACATAACCTACAAATATAATTTTAGTAATAACCAACATAATGTCCTAAATATAATCTAAAGCATATGCAATATAAAATTAATTTGTAATAAATATAAAATCATCAATATGTAAATACATGGAACCAAAATAAAGATAAATTTAGGCATATATATGTGTATATGTATACACGTATAATATATATCATATATATATCATATAAATCATATATATATATCATATAAATCATAATAAGTAAAACAGCCACAAACCTACAGTGATACAAGTGTGTTGTGCTGGGATTACAGGCATGAGCCACCGCGCCCAGGCTAGTTTATTTTGTGTATGTGTAAAAAGTTAGTTGATTATTGTAGTCTTCTGCTTTAGCTGCAATCAGTAGGGCTTTATTTAAAAAGAAAAATATCACTTAGAGTAGATTGTAAAAACTTTAACTGGGGAATTTTATTCAATTTTTCAAATACAGGAAAGAATACATTTAATTCACATTAACATAATTGCCTTTTATTATGTATTAATGACTTTAAAATCCTAACATATATAATAGCTGGCATTTACACTAAAAGGAATGCATCTTTCAGTATTATTCTCATATTAAATATGTTAATTAATAAGAAATAGCTGAGAAGAAGTATATGAAGGACTAGGATGGAATTTATCTGAATCATACTTCATCCCGAAAGCTCTCAGACCTCATAAATCACGGTTTTCAGGAAGGAGAGCTCTATTGATAGTACTGTAATTCTTTATAAGTAATTTTTCCATTTTGTTCTTTATTATCACTTTTGTTAAGCTCTTAAAATGAATCAAGCAGAAATATAGAAAACGTACATTTATTACCCTGTATCCATCATATATTCACCAGTAGCCAAAAGGATAACTTCAATTTCCCTAGAAATTTGATATCATAATGGCCTGCAACCACTTAGAATTTTGTCTAAGTGTTTTAGAAAATTGATATCTTTGCAGTTTGTGTTGAGTGGGTGTTGCAATAATAATTGCAGTAATAGTACAGCTTGAGTTAGATATATGTATTGTATTTTAAGTCTTGGCTTAGCCACTTATTGTGTGGCAAATAATATAAATTCTTGGAAGCTTTGTTTTGTCATTTGTAAAAAAAAAAATTTTAAAGAGAAATAATAAAATGAGAATTGTGTTGAATATATGTGATAACTCATACGAAATGTAAAACGTATACTCAACTTTTGCTAAAATGTGAAGATCATAATCATTTTGAATCCACTAACCTATATCTGGCTCCATTTTAACAAATTTATGGCTCAACGAGGTTCAGAAGTGACAACTCACAACTGGGAGTTAAGTTCATCAGTTAGATTAATTAGATTCTTTCGATATTAACATTTTGTGATTCACTAATCCTATCAGTATGCTGCTAGACTTAATTCTCAAAGGCTCTTTGAATCCTCCCTTATTGGAAAAGGGTAACTGATCTGATGCTGAAAATTTCCAAGCCTTCACTTGAGATTTTTAGCTAGGGTTCATGCTAACCTCCAGGGCAGTGTGATGTAATAATGTAATGGGACAGTAGTAGTGGAGACCTCAGCCGATCTTGGCTTTAACCATTGCTATGCTACTTTCCAGCCCTGGGGCCATGGATGAGTCACTGGGGCTTTATGGAATTTAATAGCATTTTATGTAAACTGTAATACAAATCTTCCTTTGTCTCCATTTTATAATAATTTACTTATGTGTATGTTTATATTTTATTTTTAAAGAAGTATGTAACTATATTTATAATTTATATATTACTATTATTTGGAATTGTGAATATGAAGTACCAAATGGCAGAGAATATTACTTATTTTAAAAAAATATATTGACAGGTATGCCTCAAAGAACACAATATTTCATTGGTAAAAGGAATAAAAAACAACAGCTAATAGCCAAAAAATTGAAACCTAAAACTCCACAAATTTACTGAGCATGAATCAAATCATATTGAGTGATAGCTCTTGAAAATTTTCCAAAAAGTTATTTAAATCATACTCAGTGGGGTTATAGCTAGTACACTGTATTTTTAACTCAGTCATCCTTGATTAAAAAAAGATTCTATTTAGTCAACTGGCAGGTTTTTTTTCCTTTTTGTCTGTAATAAATTGATATATATTTGGAAAATACCTTAGACTTTTTATGTAGACAAGTACAATTTTGAAGCTAGGATACTGTTGATTATGTATTATATGTATTATGAGTAAAATAAAAGTACCATATAGAAAAAAATAAAAAAAATTTAAGTCAGCCATGTCCCGGGTCTCTTTTAGGGGAATAGACTGAATGTTAACATATATTTATTGACTTTTTAATAAAAGCCATCCTGACTTGTGTGAGATAATATCTCATTATGGTTTTGATTTGCATTTCTCCAATAATCAGTGATATGGAGCCTTTTTTACATATACTTTTTGGTCGCATATATTTCTTCTTTTGAAAAGTGTCAGTGCAGAGTAAAAAAGAAATGCTTATACACTGTTAATAGGAAGGTAAATTAGTTGAACCTTGTGGAAAGCAGTGTGACAATTCCTCAAAGAGCTAAAAACGGAACTACCATGTGACCCAGCAATCCCATTTCTGGGTATATACCCAAAAGAACATAAATTTTCTACCATAAATACACATGCACGTGAATGTTCATTGTAGCACTATTCACTATAGCAAACACATGGATGCAACCTAAATGCCCATCAGCGGTAGAGTGGATAAAGAAAAGGTGTGACATATGACACACACACCATGGAATACTGTGTAGCCAAAAAAAAAAAAAAAAAAAGGAGATCCTGTCCTTTGCAGCAGCATGGATGGAGCTGGAGGCCATTATCTTTAGCAAACTAACCCAGGAACAGAAAACCAAATACCATATGCTGTCACTTGTAAGTGGGAGCTAAATGATGACAACACATGGATACATAGAGGGGAACAACACACACTGGGGCCTACCTGAGGGTACAGGGTGGAAGGAAGGAGAGGGTTAGGAAAAATAACTGATGACTTCTAGGCTTATTACATGGGTGACGAAATAATCTGTACAACAAACCCCACAACATATGTTTTTCTATGTAATAAACCTGCACATATACTCCTGAACTTAAAATACATGTCTATATATATTTTAATATTGACCTCCAGTTCTCTAACACATGCTTGAATATTTTAAATTGTATCATGTACCTTGTGATTGCCCAAGTGTTCACAACTGCTCGTTTCCCCTTTGCTGTGTTGACTAAACTTTAGTCAAGCTACTCTCTTTCTCAAAGTTCAAAGTTCCTTGAACTTTGACTTGCTCCAAAGCCTGAGCAAGATGCAGAAAATGCTTCCGCTGTCAGCTAATTCTGAGGTAAAAGACGCATTTTCTGTCAAACTGCACTGATCATACTGTCTACTCACTTCTTCTTGCTTCCTGAACTTCTCTTTACCAGTTTCTGCTAAGTTCTACTCACTTGTTATTATCAAATAATTTACCATCACATAGTACAATTTATAAGCATTTTTAGTAGTGCTAATTGTTTTTAGAAAGAAAATCCTCGGTTAAATGTATTTAAACTTGGTTCCACACTTGTCAAAGCCTGTTGATGCTATCACTTTAATGTATGCGTTAGGGGATGAGGTTCTTCTTGACACAAGTTGTTATTTTTTAGAAAATTTCACATTTAAAAAAATACTATAGCTTGACTCTTGCATATATTTACTGCCCTTCCTTGGCAACTGGCTTTCAGAAAAATCTTATATAGAATGATTTAAATGTCACGATTTTTTGCTATAGACTTTGTCACATCTAACACAATGAGAAAATTTGACAATTCAGTGTGGGGTGAAAAAAATGAGGAGATAAAATCAATAGTAAAGAAGAGGAGTGGATACTTTTCTTGCATGTTTCACAACTAAATCTGGACTTAAGGACAGTTAGATATATTGGATTTATTATCTGAATCTTATCTCATTGCATTAGGTAATAAAAAGGCCAGTTGTAGAACAAAGAATCAGTAAATATGTCACAGAGCACAAAGCTTAACCTGAAAGGAGTCTATTTTTTTTTTTCTATTCAGCACGTCTCAGTTTGCAAAAAACATTTCAATAAAGTTTCTGTGCAACAGAGGGTAATTAGGAGAAAATGACCTTGAGGTTTATACTGCTTTTAAAACAGCCACTTGGTAAATCTTTGCAGGCATGAATGTCAGCTTAAGATAGATGTTTATAAGAAAACTGTGAAATGCAATATACGAATGGAAACTTCATCTTCATTGCAAATCTTAGGCCTAAAGCTCACTCTTTATCCTCTGATACCGATAAGCATACAACAGCTTTCCTAAGAATTAGTATATGAGTCTGTTAAAATAACTAGTTTAAAGCTCCCATTTTCAAAATAGGTTCTGCTTTTTTAGAAAAATCATATTCTTAAGTCTAAATTTTGTATCAAAGAGATTAGTACCCTGAAAATTAATATGTATGTCAATTTTCATATACACTGACATTTTATAATGTGCCTTAAACCTCAGCTTTTCTAAACAGCATAGCTCCTTCAAATGCAACAATTTTTATGACATAATATTTTCATTTTAAGCCAGTATTTTTGAAAACGAAGAATGGTGATTTCTGTCTAAAACAATAACACTTTCTTGACGATCATAGTTTTCATCTCACATTATTGGTGTAACATATGTATTGTAGGGAGAAATGTTGAAAGTGTTTCTATCACATTTAGTTTTCCCAATCCAATTAGAGTGTCAAGAAACAATTTCTACTGAAACCAAAATGCTCAAACATCTGGTAATTAGACCCGGATCTCTATTATCTATAGAGAGTAACATGAATCGAGATATGATTACTATCACCTATATCAGACTTCTTATTTGTGATTTTAAAAAAATGTACCCCTGAAACATGATACATTTAGTGAATGTATTTCAACTGTAAAGAAGCATGAAACAACCCTCTGGTTGGTATGCATTGGAGTACAAGTAATGACATGGCCTAGTAGTATGATAAAGCGGGAGTTCAGAAAGAATTCTAATAGAGGAATCAGAAAGCTGTAATTTCAGTCTTACACTTCAATCACTAGTTGCGGGACTGGTAATGTTACCTACTTTCCACACCCTTGCTATGAGGATGAATGAAAACAATTTGAGTTAACGTGATTTAAAACCAAGGTATATACCATTGAAATGGGGAAGTTCCCTAATCCCCATTCTAGGACCTGCCACAGGGGTGTGGCTCACCTGCTTGGTTGCCCTGCTGACTGCTCAAACCTTTATGGGAGGGGGAGCATGCAGATAGGCAGGTGAAAAGGCCAGGACGAGTGCTTTGGGCTCCAGCCCCGTGGTAGTGTCTAGGAGTGGGTGCCTGCAAACCCAGTGTTACAAAGCTTTTTCAGCTTTGCTGCCTGCAGAAGGCTTGAGTGTTAACCAGCTCAATCAACCCTCTGACTTTTCACAAGGGCAGAGGGCCAGTGTGACAGCTTTCTATATCCCAAGCTGTTGTCCAGCGTCCGGGAAAAATTGGGTCACACACGGACTGGAAGGATGAATGTAAGGATTTATTGAGAGGTGGAGGTGGCTTTCAGTGGGTTGGATGGGGAGCCGGAATAGGGGGATGGAGTGGGAAAGTGATCTTCTCCTGGAGTCCGGCCGCCCAGCAGCCGGACTCCTTTCCCACTGACCCCAGCCGAACTCCCCTGGGCATTCCAGTGTTCCTCTTTTCTCTTTCTCTACCCATCATTCCACTGTGCTGGTGCTGGTCGGCTTCTGGAAGTTGGGGTTTGGGGTTTATATGGGTGCAGGATAGGGGACATGGCGGGCCAAAAGGCAACTTTTTGGGTGTGAAAACAGGAATGCCTGTCCTCATTTAGGGCAGTAGGTCTTCAGGCTTGAGGTTGGGGCCTTTGCTGGGGAACCGCCCTCTTCTACCCAGGATTTCCCAGTCTCCCAGCCACATCACCATCAAAGTAGAGCCTTATCAATATTTGACAGATCTTAAGAGAAACTATAATTCTTCAATAATAAATTTTGTAAAGACAGTTCCTTACATCACTCCAATGATTTCACTTCAGTTACAAAGCTAGCGTCAGTCACTATGAAGATAAAGAACACCCACATAGAATTTTGTATAGAATTTGACCCCAACATCTATAGTTATACCCAGATTTATGGGGTAGGTGGATAAATCCTTGTAAGAAAACTCTGTAATGCAACATATGAGAACTTTGTCTTCTGGGAATAACTTATAAAATAGGTCACTGAATCCAGATAAAATATTTGTCTTGTGCAATGTAATATTATTAAATGAACAGTATTTAATAAAGAAATTAATAATGAACTAATTCCTAAATAAAAGTGAACAAACCATAAATGTTCACCTTGACGAATCTGCATAAAATAAACACGATGGAATCCCACCTGCAGCAAAAAATAAAATATTACCAACAAATCCAAAGGTCCTCTTCTGCCCTGTCATTGTCCCTCTTTTATCCTGTACAAGTTAATCTCTATTTTGATTTATAAATTTATAAATTAGCATCATGCAGTACGTCCTTTTGATGTCTAGATTCTTACACTCAACATTATATGTAGGAGATACATCCACGTTCATTTGGTAGACAAAGACTAATATTCTTTCTGCCACTATTGATGAGTTTCTATTTCTATGACTTCAAATAACCGGTTTCATATAGTTTGAGATCTTTTGTGTCTGGCTTCATTTTAACAGGATAATGTTTGCTGAGACTATTCAAGATTTTTGCAGTTTATTTGAGACTCATCAAGGTTGTTGCAGTTTCTTTCTTTTTGTTGCTGACAAAAAAAAAAACATTTCAGGTATTTCCACTTCTTGGATAAATACTTAAAAGGAGAATCAATAGGTCATAGAAGTCTGTTGCTTAACTTACAAGAAACTGTGAAAGTATTACCTGAAAGGATCATACTATTATAGTTCCTCCAGCAGTGGATGAGGGTTTATCTACTTCCTCTGCAATATTTGGTACTTGATTTTAGTCATTTTAGTGGATGTGAATTTGTATCATATTATTTATTGCATTTCTCTGATGCCAAATGATGTTGAGGGTCTTTGCTTGTGCTTATCAACCATTCTTAAATTTTCCTTTCTGCAATGTCTTTTCAAGTCTTTTGCTATTTTATGACTTGTTTTGCTATTTCCAAGTCTTTTGCTATTTTGCTGTGTTTCATTTTATTATTGGTTCTAACAAATTATTTATCTATACAGTTATAAGCTTTTTATCAAATACGTATCTTAAAGTAGTTTATTCTAGGTTGTAGCTACAATTTTTGTTCTTTTTAGAAATGTCTTTAATACAACAGATAATTTAATTTTGATAGAGGTAAATATTTCATTTCTAATAATTTATACTTATTGTGTACTATTTTAATCATCTTTGGCTATTCCAAATCTCTAAAACATTTGTTATATATTTTGAATTAATAATTGTATAGCGCAGTGGTCTCCAACTTTTTTGGCAATATCCATAGAAAAAGGATTAAAGAGAATATAATGAAGAATGCATGCCAATAAATATGAAACAGGTAAAGTGGAAAAATTTATAGAAAATTATGTACTACAAAAGATCATTCAAGAAGAAGTAGGTCATCTGAGTAGCCTTACAGTAAAGAAATATATTGTATTCATGTTTGAAAATTCAGACCATAAACAATTCAAATCTAGGCACAGACGGCTTCATTAAAAAGTCAATCAAATGTTTAAGAAAGAAATAATCCCAATTATACAACGTTTTCCAAAAAAGCAGAACAAACACTTCTCAACATTGATGTCCTTCATGAGACTGAAGAGGTTTAATTTGAATAGGTGTTAATTTTTCTTTGCAAATTTTCTTTCTATATCTATTGAGAGGATCATTTGTTGATTCTGTTTTATTCTCTTAACAGAGATAAACATACTTTTATTTTTTAATATTAATTTCCATTTCAATTGTAACTTCAATTTCAATATAAAAAATCAACATGACATTTTATGCTGTGTTATACTCATACTTAAATTTGAACCAATAATAATTGCTATATCCTGAAAAGAATAGTTTTTAAAAATCAATAATAAATAAAATGAATTAAATGGACTTGCAAATAAAAGATAATTAAAAACTAATTACATATTTATTATGCGGAGTGTGAATACTCTGTACAAATATAATTTTTTTTCCTTTGAAGAAATTTTAGTGTGTAATGGCCTATGTTTTAAAGATTGTATTGTCTGACCAAACCACACTCAGGGTGGTAAAAGGAAAGAAAGTTATATTGGGGGTTAAATTATCTTAGTATTAGAAACCAGGCCGGGCGCGGTGGCTTACGCCTGTAATCCCAGCACTTTGGGAGGCCAAGGCGGGTGGATCACGAGGTCCGGAGATCGAGACCATCTTGGCTAACACAGTGAAACCCCGTCTCTACTAAAAATAGAAAAAAATTAGCCGGGCGTGGTGGCGGGCGCCTGTAGTCCCAGCTACTTGGGGGCTGAGGCAGGAGAATGGCGTGAACCCGGGAGGCGGAGCTTGCAGTGAGCTGAGATTGTGCCACTGCACTCCAGCCTGGGCGACAGAGTGAGACTCCATCTCAAAAAAAAAAAAAAAAAAAAAAAAAAAAAGAGAGAGAGAAACCAGACAATAGCTAACAGGTTTTAATTTTTAGATGAATCATACAAACACATGGGCTATTTGGAAATATAGCTTTTCAAATTACATTCTACCTTGATTTTGAAGAATGATGTCTGACATTTGTTAATTCAGTTGTTTATATATTTATCTCATAATTATTTATTGAAAGACTACTAATGTTCTGGCCTTGGGATAAACTTTGGAGATATAACAGTAAATACGAAAGATGTAATTACCACCTTTCTACAGACTAATTTAGAGAGATGGGGAAGATTATAAGAAGAGATAAAATATGAACAGTGTCACTTATGCTATTAAAAACAGGCAGATAGGCTGGGCATGACCGTTCATGCCTCTAATCCCAGCTCTTTAGGAGGCAGAGGGTGGTGGATTGCTTCAACCCAGGAGTTTGAGACCAGCCTGGGCAACATAGTGAGACCCTGTTTCTACTAAGAATACAAAAATTAGCTGGGTGTGGTGGCTCATGCCTCTGGTTTTAGCTGCTCAGGAGGTTGAGGTGGGAGGATCACTTGAGCCCAGGAGGTTGAGGCTGCAGTGAGCCTAGATCACAGCACTGCACTGGGCAACAGAGTGAGATCTTGTGTGTGCGTGTGTGTGTGTGTGTGTGTGTGTGTGTGTTTGTGTGTGTATATATATATATTTATATATACAGCTATAGAAGCACATGATAGGGACATTTAATTCAAACAACAAGTTTGATGAAGAAACTGCATTTTGACTTAGTTTTGAAGGATGACTCAAATTAGCCTGGTTGGTGGAGCTTGTACATGGAAGGAAGAACATTCAGGCAGAAAAACAGCAAGTTCTAAATGAGACAGAGAGCATTTGAGGAAATACAAATCACAAAATTAAAAAAAAAGTTTTTATGGACGTAGCGTGGACTAAGAAATCTTAGGAGGCTGTTGGAGGAAACTTAAGGTATGTGGAATGTAGTAGGAGCAGAAATGGTTAAAAAATGGTATTTGACAAATGTGACTAATTGGATATGAGTGTATATGAGGATGACTTTCACTGCTTTAGCCTTAGAAGCTGAGTTGATTAGAGATAGTATCTTTGAAAGCTGAACTTATGAAGAAGAAGAGTTTCATTTTGGGCATAGTGACTTTGAGGAGCTTGTAATACACCAACGGTTGGTGGTTGGATATATGAGTCTGAGTGGAAGAGGAGACTGAGCAGGACATAAAGATCTGACATCATCAACAGTTAGGTACACAATGGAATTGTGAAAATGAATAAGTTCACTAGAAGAAAATACAGAGAAAGAAAAATCTTGAATGTCTACATTTTAGGGCATCAGAACTTGATTATTATTTCAAGGTATGTTAGTTACTAGCCACAAGATTTAGAGTAAATTATATGACTTGTTAGGACCTCAGTGTTATTCTCTGTAAAATGCAGGGTCTGAGCAATATAATAGAACATATAGCTCTAAAATACAATGAATCCAAGACTCTCTGTTTTAGCCCATTGTTTTAGATAGTCAACACAAAAGTTATATATGCAATTATCCTTTGTTATCCACAGAGGAATTGGTTCCAGGACCCTGTTTTACACATGGATATCAAAATCCATTGATGCTTGTAAAATGGCATAGTATTTGCATGTGACCTTCACACATCCTTCCATATACTTTAAATAATAGATAACATATAACACTTAATACAATGTAAATGCTATTTAAATAGTTGTTATAATGATTGTTTTATATTTGTATTACTTTTTATTGTTGTGTTGCTATTTTCATAGTTTTTTTTTTTTTTGGGATGTGTTCAATTCATGGTTGGTTGAACCCACAGATATGGAACCCTCAGATATGGAGAGCTAAATGTGTAGCCACAGTGGCTAAATGTATATCCACAGCAGCTAAATGTATATCCACAGCGGCTTGGATTGGCTACATCTAGACTGAGAATTTCATAGTCCTAATGCCAGTATATATTTAATAATATTGCATTGATATCTAAGGAACACTGAAAGAATTGTTTACTATTCTCTATGACTGGTACAAATATCTTTGTTATTTTCCAAAGGTGGTTGAGAGAGCATGCATTTATCCATTACCTGCTTTATGCTGGACACTATTAAGAGAACTTTTACTTACCAGAAGGATTGGTCAGTTTAAGAGAGCTACAAAACTTTTTAATTTCTTTATTGATATATTATTTGCCTTTTCCTAGATTTAGCACTTGAGGTTTGTAAAAACAGTAATTTTAATGACAAACAAATATCATATTTTCAAAATGTATCTCATATTATTCACATTAGAATTAATGGTTATCAATAAAATTCAGTTAGTTAAAAGTAGTAAGGGTTAAATTTAAGCTGGTTCCACAGGAGTGAAGTCCTGGTAATCAACTTTCAAACCCATTGCTTTTTCAACTGCTATATTCTCTGAAAAGAAGAGAACCAAAGAAAACTCCACACTATTCACAAAGTTTAGTAGCTTTTGTAAATGCCATCTGCTTCATCTGTTCAGAAAAATCACTTTCATTATATTTCAAGTCCAAAGTCTCTTTTCTTTGTCTGTGACACTTTTTTTTCTTTATCCAGTGAAAGAATCCACACCAATTTTATGGTGTTTTTCTCCTCTTCTCCCTTATAGAATTCTTCATTTTGCCTGGTGAGAAGGGGCGCAAGAACTACTGTTCAATTGACAATTCATTCAATTTTACAAGGCATATTTATTTCTTCCTTCACAATTTCAAAGAGTTTTGGGGGAGGAGAAAAACCTACTTCTATTCACAATTAGGATGGCTCTGTTTGAGTTAAAAATTCCACCCCGTGAAATACCTTTGCTGAGACGTAATGAATAGTGTTAGTAATGTGGAAGAGGCTCAAGTGGATAGAAAATTGTCAAAACTTTCAGTAATCAATAGGCAAATTGTGCTTTAGCCTGAATGACTATTACCAAATAGGCAATTCATCATTTGTTAGCATGTTATAGCTTTTGTAAGAAAATTATTGTAAAACTGGAGCTCTCCCATTTCAAACGTCGCTGTTATTTATTAATGGTTAATTATGAATAGTATTGAGGTAATAGAAAACAGCAATACCTGTTATCTATCTATGTCACTATGCATATTTATCTGTATCTATCTATGTATATGTCATTTTGGAAAAGGCAAGCCTATAGTAAGTTCTGTAATTTTTATTAAAAATAACATAATACTACAAACATGCAAACACACAAATAAAATAATGATATGATATCTAAAGCTGATAATTCCTATTTATTTTGACCTCCTCTTTCTCGTTTGACATGCATTTGAGAAGAGATTAGTGGATTGCAACGGTTATATTAAAATTATAAAAAAGAGTATTAGGGCTCTATAGAGTAACCAACCACAGTTAGGAAGACAGACAAACAGCAAGTTACTCAGAAAATTAGCTTTTGTATGTCTGATAAGAGTGTGTACCTCATGTGAATTCATAGATACATGTTTATTTTGTTTCTATAAGCATTTTTAAAATGATTGCCAATTGCATATTTCAATGTTTTTTCACTGAACAAGAATTACTGATTATAAATAAAAGAAATACAAACTTAAACATCAGAGTAGAGTGATCATCATTAAGGCTGTATCAAGAGTATTTTAATTTTGGTGGATACAAAAATAGAAATTTGGATTACATATTACTACTTTGACAAGGTGTGAAATTTGTTTATTGCATACTTTACTGTTTTAGAAATAATAATGAACTTATGCATGGAAAAGAAGGTATAGTGTTACTTTGTTCCAAAAAAAAAAAAAAAAAGCCTGTATGACACACTCCCTGGATGTAACATGATAGGAACAATATTAGTGCATTGAAAGATATAGATCAAAATAGGTAGGACTTTAAAAGCAATGGAATCAAACACCTGTAATCCCAGCACTTTGGGAGGCCGTGCTTGGTGGAACACTTGAGGCCAGGAGTTCAAGACCAGCCTTGCCAACATGGCAAAACCTCATCTCTACTAAAAACACACAAAAAAGAATTAGGTGGCATGCACCTGTAATCACAGCTACTCAGGAGGCTGAGGCAGGAGAATCGCTTGAACCCGAGAGGTGGAGGTTGCAGTAAGCCAAGGTCACGCCACTGCCCTCCAGCCGGGACAACAGAGCGTGACTCTGTCTCAAAAAAAAAAAAAAAAGAAAGAAAGAAAAAGAAAGAAAGAAAAGAAAAGAAAGCAACAGAATAAAGAACACAGTATCATGCCAGAGTTCTTTTTAACTCTTTTTGGGCAGCAACTGTCATTCCACTCTATTTTTATCTTACTCTCATTAACTTTTCCTACTATGTTGATTTTTTTAAAAAAGAAAATTTGTAAAAATCAATGAAAAAAACTTGCAATGAAGAGACTCAACAAACTAAAATAATTTAAAATGATTACTAAAATAATCTTGTAATAAATGTATTTCCCCAGAAAACTTTTCCCTATCATCAAAATTTCTTATACAAAGGAAATGTACATATAGAGCCAAGAGAAAATATATGTATTTAGATACTTAGGAAAACAAATAATATTAGAGAGAAAAATTATTTTGAAAAGAAAAATAATAAAATGCACAAAATACAGACAAATATAACCTGATAATTGTGGTAACAGAAACATTTTGACTAAACTATCAAAATTATTTTTTAACATTTTAGTAATTTTATGATATCGATAGACCCAAATTGGTGTTACTTCATCAACATTCTTTTTCTCATGCATAGACATTCTTTTGTTATTACTCACAACTGAATGAAGAAACAGGAAACAGATGGAGAAAACTCACTTAAGTTCAATGAATATGCGTTAAATATTTATCCTACAGAGAAAACTGTGAAAATAACTCAATAAATACATACTAAACTTCACTAACCTAAAGATTAGTGATTTGTTGATACAAAAAGGAATGAAAGAAAGAAACAGTTATGAGAGAGACAGACAAACAATTGCAGAATATACTGAGACTTACTTCCTTTTATCTCCTTCTAAATTATTTTTTCATCAGGTTAAACTAATGTACAGTGTCTTAGGAAATTAAAGACTATTTTTGAGTGATTTAGAAAATTAGTTTCTCTGAGTGATTTTACTACATTATGAATCTTCAAGTAACATTTTATTAATTTAATGTAGCTTAAGATATTGGAAATAACTGAGGCATAAATAAGAAACAGCACAAGGACCCTCTGCAGAAGAAGTCAGTAAGTACTGCAGTACCAAAGAATGGAAAGGCCAAGCATCAGCAGAAAAAATTGACCATGTAACACATGGAAGGAAAGAGTTTAATTTAAGCCATCCATCCATCTAGTGTTTAGAATGAAATTTGAGGTTCAATGGACACCTGTTAAGATATAAACCATATTCTAGTTTGTGATTAAAAGATGCTGGTCTTAGGCTTCCACCCTATTTTATTGGAACCTTGACTTAATAGTGCAGTTGCCAAATTGTGCCACAATTAACAAGAGTAGTACTTCACTTGACAAGTTACAGGGAAATTATCAATATTACACTTCCTCCATATAGCAGCCTTGCAAACAATTGCACAATGCAAATAGACCACAAATTATCTTTTGGACTTTTCAAATAGGCATTGCTCTTCAAAATTTATTTCTCTTCTACCATTCGAATCTCATAGTTCTTTTAACTAGTATGGAGTAATCTTGAAATTGAAGAACCCTTTAAGTTTTCCTGCGATTAATTTTTTTCCATCAAGTTTAAAACTGTAATTTCTAGGAATGAAAAATAAATTCTCATGATCTGAGCTCGAAAATAATTCAATACGGTCCCTATGATAGGCAGAATTAAGATTCCTGATCCTTGGTATACATGCTGTATATAATCCCCTACCTTTCAATGTGGTTGGGACTCAGGAATATGATGGAATATTATTGTCATGTTTAGACTACTTATCAGTTGACTTTGAGTCAATCGAAAGGAATATTACAATGAGTCAGCCTTACATATTCAAGTGAGCCCTTCACAAGACAGTGAAGTATTAAAGAAATGCTCTCCCCATGTTCTAGAAGAAAGCAAATGGCAATATTTATTATTATTATTATTATTATTATTATTATTATTATTGAGTTAGAGTCTCTCTTTGTAGCCCAGGCTGGAGTGCAGTGGTGCAATCTCGGCTCACTGCAACCTCCACCTCCAGGTTCAAGTGATTCTCCTGCCTCAGCCTCCCAAGTAGCTGGGATTACAGGTGCACGCCACCATGCCCGGCCGATTTTTGTATTTTTAGTAGAGACGGGGTTTCACCATATTGGCCAGGCTGGTCTCAGACTCCTGCCCACACTCTTGACCTCACTTGATTCGTCTGCTTCTACCTCCCAAATGCTGGGATTACAGGCATGAGCCACAGTGCCTGGCCAGCTGCACATGGCAATGTTTAGAACTCCTTATGAAGAGGGTTTACCTCTAAGATTTGGGCACTTTATCCTAAAACTATATTGAACTGTATTCTGCCGGCAATCTTAGGGAGCTTGGAAGAAGATCCTAAGCTCCGAATGAAATCCTAGCCTTCCTGACATACTGGCTATAGTTTAGTAAGACCTTGAGCAGAGCATTCAGCTAAGCCAGGTCCAGTTTCCTAACCCACAGAAATTGTGAGATAATAAATGTAAGTTGTCCAAAGCTGTTAATTTTGCAGTATTTTTTTACAGCCATTGAAAACTAAAATAGCCCATTTTCTGCATCTACATGAATTAAATTATGATTTGTTACAACATACCCACAACCATATACAAAAAATGTGAAACAACTGTCTACCTTATAGTTGTTTCTTGGCCAGTATTAATCTCTCTCACATTTTCTTTGTCTTCTTTTCTGAGCTTAGAATTTTCACAAAGTGACTACCAACCAATGAGAAGTGAGCCAGTCATGAACCTTTAGGCAGGACTCTTTAAACTGCTGGTTACAAAGTGCTGCTTACAGTTGTCCAGGATTCTTGGAAATCATGCAAATGTTACAGTAGAGGCGTGGTTATCTGGAGTGCTGTGGGCTGAATTGTGTCTTTCCAAACTACCAGTGCCTCAGAATATGCCTACATTTTGGGAAAGGGCCTACAGGGGTAATTAAGGTAAAAATGAGGTCCTATGGGTGGGCCTTAATCCAATACAACTGATGTCCTTATGAAAAACATTCGGGCACAGACAACACAAAGATCGAGGGATGACCATGGGAAGACACAGTGAGAATGTGGCTTGTGGATACAAGCCAAGGAGAGAGTCCTCAGAGAATCCAAATCAACTGACACTTTAATCTCAGACTTCTACTCTTAACACTGTGAGAAAATGAATTTCTGCCATGTAAGCCAGGTACTCTGTACTATTAATATTTTGTTGTCTCAGCCCTAGCAAACAAATACATGGAGTAGTAGAACTGTGCTTGAAAAATGATTTGTTTTGGGAGATTAAGTATTTACATCAATAAGTATTGTCTTTTATAGGAAAAAATACCCCTGTTTTACATGCATATGATAAAAATGCCTAGTCCCTTACTACAGGTTTTTCAACAGCACAAACATACAAATTACAGAGGAAATTACCTGGCTTACTGAAGGCTTTAATTCTCCTCTGACTTACATGAGGCTGTTGAGATAATGGTCTATTAATGTAAATTTGTAAAAAATAAGTTTGATTTTTGCCTATTTGAGATTTATGACAGGATGTTATGGGATACATATAGATAATAAAATGGTTGCTATAATGAAGCAAATTAACAGATCTATCATCTCACATGGTTATTCTTTTTTTACAAGAGGAGCTAAAATCTACTTATTTAACAAAAAACTTTAGTCCAACATGATTTTATTTACTATAGTCTTCATTTTGTATATTAGCACTCTATTAATGTAAATTTACACTGAACAGCTTCTTATTGAAGATGTAAGAAGAATATTCCATTGTCTTTTCGGTGTGCAGCAAAAGGCTCACAGAAAAATACTTCACACATTTTTAGGAGACTATATTAGGATTGGAATAGAACTCTATTTATTCAAGAATTCTAATTCTTATTTTCTAATATGTAAGAAAAATGTGTGCAATATCTAGTGTCTTAAAATTAAATTCAATTTAAACAATAATTTTTAAATTAATTTTTGTGTATATGCGTTTAATCATCTTTCTGTTTTTATTTGCCTTAATGTTTGTTTCTTCATGCTTTTAAAGAATGAAAATTTTAATCTATTTATCAATCCTATCATTTTATGATTTCTAAACTATATATCTTATACTTAAATTTTAATTTTCCTGCTGTCCTTAGTTGAATATTGATATTGTGATAATTTCTCCAACATTTTTCACTATATATAATTTATTTAACTTGTTTTTTAATGAATGGATATTGCTAACAGCTAGAAATAAAGACTTAAGCTTATTAATTTCTGATATTATCCTTATAATTAATGGAGGAAAGTTGCTAATTGATTTAGGTAATCATGCAATTTTCCTTAGTTAATATTCACAATCATGACTTTTTTTTTTTTTTTTTTTTTGAGACAGAGTCTTGCTCTGTTGCCCAGGCTGAAGTGCAGTGGTGCTATCTCAGCTCACTGCAACCTCTGCCTCCGAGTTCAAGTGATTCTCCTGCCTCAGCCTCCTCAAGTAGTTGGGACTACAGGCACACACCACCACACCTGGCTAATTTTTGTATTTTTAGTAGAGATGGGGTTTTGCCATGTTGGCCAGGCTGGTCTCGAACTCCTGACCTCAGGGGATCCACACGCCTCGGCCTCCCAAAGTGCTGGGATTACAGGCATGAGCCACTGTGCCTTGCCAATCATGACTTTTTAATGAATGAAATAATGCAGGCATATTTAGTCATGTTTTCATGGCATGTTTTAACATCTCTAATTTGTATTTACTTGGGTTTTCTTCTTATAATCTTCATGGTTTTATGTCTTTGCAGCATTTTAAAATAAATATTTTGTTTGTATTAATTTTACAGTTACCAAAAAAATGGCAAAGATAGGACAGAGAGCTCTAATATACACCATACACTGTTTTTCCTATTATTAACATGTTATCTTTTTATGGTGCATTTATTACAAGTAATGAGCAAATATTGATACGTAAGTCAACATTTTATTCAGATTAGTGTTCGATATGTACCTTTTTCTGTCCCAGGACTCTATTCAGCATACCATAATACATGCCATTGTCATGTAGGGTCATTTCAGCTATAACATTTTCTCATACTTTGCTTGCTATTGATGACTTTGCCAGTTTTGAAAAGTACTAATCAGATATTTTGTAGAATGTCCCTTAATTTGTACTTGTCAGATGTTTTTCTTAGGGTCGAAGTTGAGTTTTATAGTTATATATATATATATGTATGTTATATATGTGTATATATTAAAATAATATATATATATTTAGTTCTATGAACTTTTTATAGTTCTTCTATAAGGGATAGTTGGACTGAACCAAGTTCATCAACTTTTCTGGAAGTGGATATCCTAGAACCAAATGAGTATGCTAACCAGGATTAGACACTGAAATCTCTTCGGGGGCCAGGTTGATGCAGTAAATATTAAAAGTAAAAGCTTATAAAATAATAGTAAGTGAAGTTAATGCAAGATTTTTTCTTGGTCCCTTCATCATACTCATGACAGGGGCAAATGTTTACTTGGCCGGCCATGTTCAACCCATTGCAAGAGGGAGCCCATGAGAGAGCAAGTGAGGACTTGGCTGGCTGCTCTGGGCACCAGGAGCAAGTTCCTGCCCCATCAGGCGCAATCGAGTGAGTGCAGGATCCAGGCACCCCACTCCAGGCGCCAGCAGGAGCAAGTTATGTGGGGGACCTGTGGTGGTGCCCAGGTGGGGGTGCCCGTGAACCTGAAGCCCCAGAGAGGCTGTTACAGGGCTCATGTAGTTTCACTGTCCACAGACGGCTGTGTGTTAACAGCACAGTTGGCCCCTTGCCTCATCGTGTGGGGTGGCGGCCCTCCATCGGTGAGGAGAAGAGCTAGTGTGATAGCCTTTTTGGGTACCTGCACTCAGTGGGTACCGAGCTCTTGTCCAGCATCCAGGAAGAATGAAGTCATATGGACACTTCAAGGATGGTGAGGGTGGAGAAATTTATTGAGCAGTGGGAATGGCTCTCAGTAGAGAAGGGAGCTGGAGAGGGGATGGGAGGGTCAGGTAGTTCTCCCCAAAGTCAAGCCATCTCTCTTACTGACTGAGTCTGTGTTCTTTATAGGCACAGGATGGAGGGTACAGGATAGGCTATAAGCAGTTTTGGAAAAGGCAACATTGGATTGGTAAAAAGACATTCAGAAAGAAACAAACTGGAGAGAGGGGACACACAGGAATAGAAGTTCTCACTTTGGGCCGTGGGTTTCAGGCTACTTTGGCTTGAAAGTGGGGTTTCACCAGGAACCTTCCCCTGTCTGCCTAGAATTTCTCTTCCTCCTGCCTCTATCAAATGGTCTTAAGAAAACTAGAGTTTAATCCAACCTAAAGATACTAAATAGCACACAAACAAATGAAGTATCCTCTGTACTGGCCATATAAAATGCATTAACAAGATACCCTATCCATGATTTTCAAATTCAGACCATTCAAATCATGCATGTGAATAACATAGAAATTTAGAATGTGTTACATTTGCATTAGTTATTTTCTGTTTTTCTGCTAGTTTGTAATAGCAAACTACTTTAATGGTGAATCACACTTTTATGTCCAAATGACTTCTCCTAACCCCCTTTTCTCCTTATGAGAGTATAAACATTCCAGAGGTATTTATTTTAGCATGCCTGGAAACTAAATTTGGACATATGAATATTAGTGTGTTTTCTTTTACTAACTACAAAAGATTATGTAGCAAAATTATTATATGAATGTCTATAATGTGAAAATATATAGTGACAAAATGTGGAGAGATCAAACTCAATTTGAACTGTATATAACATCATTTGCAGTAGCATGGTCACATACATTATACAATTACAAAAAGATAAGGATTTGGATTAAAACTTCCAAAATTAAATTCCAGAGTTTTATTTTTATAATTTTGTTAATGGTGAAACTGTTTATTTTGCAATGTGAATTTGATTATGAAGAGAGGAGCCTGCATCATATGCTATGAAAGAAGATGTTATAGTAAGGACCTCATGAATTCTTTAAATACTTTCATTCAACATTATTAGATTTAAATTTTTCATGTTACAGTTCCCATGGTGACAAATGAGCTTATAATGTTCATAAATCAGATTGATCTTTGCTTTACTTACATTTTTTATAGGTTCCAGGAACTTCTTGGGGACTCTATTTTAAGAAAATTACTATTCATAATGATTTGGCAAACTTCTTGCTAAAGGTATTATTAGTTTACTATTATTTTTTGTTACTATTGTGAGATAACATAATTTTCCTTGTAATTTTCAATGTTCTATTACTGATAATAAAGATGAATAATGATTTTATCTGTACTTAATTCCCTTGAGTTTTCCAGCAAGACATATCCCCTGAAAATCTGCACAGTAAATGATTTAAAATAGAGTATAAATTTAAAAATGTTGCCCCTTTATTTTTCTGAGATAAGAAATTAAAATGAAAAAATACAGCAACTGAATATCAGTCAAATGATCTTATTTAATATATCTGTTTTACTCAGTGAGAGCTTATGCTCACTGAGGAAAATAAGCATTCCATTTATTTTGTTAGTTTTTTTGCTTTATTTTGTTTGGTTTTGTTTAGAATATGTATCCTGGCTGGAAATGGTGGCTCACACACGTAATCCCAGCACATTTTAGGAGGCCAAGGTGGGTTGATCACTTGAGGTTAGAAGTTTGAGACCAGCCTGGCCAAAATGGTGAAACCCCGTGTCTACTAAAAATACAAAAATTAGCCACGCATGGTTGTGGGTGTCTTTAGTCCGTATTACTCGGGAGGCGGAGGCAGGAGAATCACTTGAACCCAGGAGGCAGAGATTGCAGTGAGCCAAGATTGTGCCACTGCACTCCAGCCTGAGCAAAAGAGCAAGAATCCATCTCAAAAAACAAACAAACAAAAAAGAATATGTTTCTGGCCTAACAAACAACCAAACACATAAATGAAGATAATGCTTTAGAGCAAAGGCACATGGTTTGGTGTGTATTGAGACAGAAAAGAAAAATCAGCTTCCATCACTTCTCTGTACAGATTGTGTCCTGCTACACAATATACTGTCATTATAGCGCATTGTTTGTGGTCAAGCACTACATTTGAACCTTCCTCAGAAAAGTGCATGCAGAAGGGATTACTTTTTGTCAATTTCCATAAATATCACAAGTTAAGTGACAGTGTTTAGGTCTGAAAATGTTGCAGCTTTCAAAAATCCCTTACGTAAACTCAAAGGAAAAACTATACCTTGAGAACATTGCCGGTCAACAGTAATTGAGGATTAGTTAAAGGGTGGCTGAGAGTAGGGATTTGTTGGAATTTAACTTGGGAGGCGTGCTAACATTAAGAGGATTGGTAATGGATGCTATGGAGAGCATTGGTAGAAGGAGCAAGAGGTGTTTATTGCTATCTGGTAGTTACTCATCCCTGAGTTTTCAAAATATCTGTCCCATATTTGGCTATTATGTATCTTTATTTCAAGGTGGGCAGAAGGGAAACTAATGAGAAAATTATCTTTGCCTTCCTTTGCACTGAATATTGCAGGCTTTGATGGTGTTCCTATATTTATTAAATATATAGGTATCAAAATAAACATTTACAACAGTCTTTAGATGCTAAACTTCAGGAAACTTATTGAAATAATTTTTCTGACTTCAAACCAGATTATAGAAAGCTTCCACTGAGGCAAACACCAACCAGATGGTGGTATGAAGAATAACTAAGCTTTTGCATCAGGGAACTTCCACATTCAGAATAATGCACACCTAAAATACACATCAAATGGTTATTATATAACACTCTGTTCCTTTGCAACACTAACAAATGAGTTGTGAAACTAAAAATGGCAACAGTACCACATTTGCTTTGGTGTCCTGATTAAAGTGTTGTCAGATGTGTGAAACCTTGTTTTCTGTGAGGACCAAAATAATCTTGCACCTTTTCTTTCTGCACTTGATAGCGAAACTCACTTATGAGCATTTTAGCTTGGTAGCTCAGCAGTGACATATTGCAGGGGTTTTGAGTTATCAGAAAACTTAACAATTTTTATGTGATTGAGTTCCAGTGTGCTTTCCATTACATGGAATTGCCTCTACTTGTTGCAAGTATATTGGTTTGGTATTTTTACACATAATATATTTAAAATGAGCATTTGAAATAAATTCATCTACTGATGGCATTTAAAAAGAAAGAACACCTTTCGTTTTCAATGACACATTGTTCTGCTCTTCTTCCGCTATTTTTTTGTGAGACTTTCCTGAAGTTTCACTATCATTACCAGATAATAAATAATAGGAGCAGAGAAACATTTAGCTCAATTCATATCTGATTTTACTTTATAAATTATATAAATGTCTTCAAAGTCAAATAACACATAGTATGAACAGTTTAGAAAACAACCATACTTAGGGGAACTTTTATTTTTTTCAAGCCATTCTCATTCAGTTTTTTTGTTGTTGTTGTTAGATGCTCTGATGTATTTGTCATCCAAGAAAGCTCATCAGCCATTTTCTCCAAAAAAACTATTCAATAAAAGGAATCAAATACAACTTTCCACTGAATGAATGTGCCTAGTTTTATGATTCAGTATTTTTATTCTCCTGATTCAAGAAGAAGTTGTTATCAGCCCATATGAAACTGGTTTTGACTTTATATTGTGTCAGGATTTCTATTGAAAAATCAAGATCCAAACATTTCTGACTTACTGGTGTGTGACAATGGATGCATGGCAAATTTCTTTCCAGAATGATTATTAAATGTGAAACAACTACCCAGAAACTGTAACACATTTAACCTTGTGTGGCATTTTTTGGGAGCCCTGAATGTAGGTGGCTCCAATAGCAGTTGAAAAAAGACCATTTTATAAAGTGATTCAGATATGTGACCAACTCTTCATTTCCATGTCTCTTTTCCAATTACAACCCAGGCTCAAAACACCTGTAAAAACGCATTTCCTACAAGGTTGCTACTTACCTTAACTGACGAACTTCTCCCTTGGAGCTAAGGTTTTCTCATCTCTGTGTATTTTATAAGAAAGGGGGATATAAAATCAGAATAAAGTGTTATCTGGATGAAATGGAAATAATGTGGAGACTTCTTTAGCCATGTGGAATGGAAATACACTTTGTTTTAAAATGTGGGAAGCAGTGCTTGCTGATGCAATTACTTGGGCATTATATGAAAAGATAAACCTAGTGGAGAGCTCATCTGAGTAGATGCTAATGAACATCCATCACTAAAGTACTTAGAGCTGTGACAGGAAATAAAATTTCACAAGAAAAGAATGCACGCATTCAAAAATATGTTTAAGGGAAAACTTTCAGGAGCACTCCATGAACAATTATAAGGATGGAAGTGAATAAGGAAAGAGAGAAAGAACAAAATGAGAGAAAAAAATGAGAACAGAGTGATATTTTATACCTCAAAAGTAAAATATGAATAAAAAAGCAAAAAGAGCAAATAGTGTAATTTGTCATGCAAAGACAAAATGGCAGAGAGAATGTGAAGAGGCTACTGGATTTGGAGATTATCTAATTGCAAATTTAAAAAAATTTAGTATATTTCAGCAGAATAAGGAGACAAGAGAGAAGTTTAGTAGGTCAAAGAGTGAATAAGGTGAAGAGCCAGAAGGAAGCATATATATTTTACCATTAAAAGAAGAAGATAATAAGGAGAGATTAGTGATGCCTCTAGAAGGGAGAAACGTAAGGAAGAATTGAGACTGTATGAAGAAACATGAAAAGGCTGAGAAAGTTTATACTGAAAATAAAGTGGAAGAGAGGTATATATATTGTGTGTGAAACATATACATATATATGTATATATATAGTGTGTGTGTTTCACACACAATATATATGCCTCTCTTCCACTTTATTTTCAGTATAAACTTTCTCAGCCTTTTCATGTTTCTTCATACAGTCTCAATTCTTCCTTACGTCTCTTACATATACATACCTATATGTATATACGTATATATGTATATATACGTATGTATATGGTATTTAGGCGCAGCATACAGCAATGTAAAAGAAAACAACCAGAAATCCTTACCTAATATGACCTTTGAAAGAATTTAAGTTTTAGGTAAAAAGAAGGGAGTGGGGGCCACAAAAGCACAGGAAGAGTTATTTACCTTGAACCCAAAGTAGATTCTTCTGAATTTGAAACAGACGTAATTAAGAGTAAAAACAGGGAGTTGAAAGTGGGAGATATGATACATAAGGGAAATCATACATAATATACTCAGGTTCTTCATATGTGGACCCCATATATTTGCTGACAGTAATGAACAAGCTTTGAAAAAGGAGGAAAGTTTGAAATTTCTGTGATGGAAAATGCTCGAAAGACTAGAAAATGATATCTTTCAGACTATATTTTCTGCATTGCAATTTCTGTGACCCAAGTTACTGAATATCAGTGCAACTCTGTACTCACAGTACAGGCATTAATTGGATTTTATCCCCATCTCTCCTGCTTGTTGCAGGCTATTAATTTAGACGGAGATAAGAAATAGGCAACCTATCTGGTTATAGACTTGTATTAACTATGATTTTTGGTCCACTTGGGTGAGGAGATGAGAAACTGAAGATACATTCATTTAAGGTTTATTTGATTGTTTCATGCTTATGTTTTAAATATTTGAATGTTGCTTCTTGAAATCCGTATGTGTTAAACAAATGTAATCTTAGAAACCAAAAACTGTATTTTGTCTATTTCTGTATTTTCTCTATCTTTGACAATGTTGTTTAACCAACTGAGATATAAGCCTCTTGCTCATAGGAGTAAATATTATTTAACTAAATGTTTTGGCAGTTAAGCAGTTCTATATATCCTATCTATGCTTTTTCAGGAGCCTGCTTTTTCCATTCATGAGTTAAATGGACTCTGTGTTATTCATAATACCATCATTATTTATTTGCTTTTTTTGTGAAATATGTAGTAATACTAATAAAACTGACTCTTGCTTTGTAAAACTCAATATTACCTTTAAAATTGAATTCTGCTCTATTCAAAATGGTTTAGGAAACTACAATATGGTATCTAAAATTTGAAATAAACATTTATTGCAAATGTAATTATTTTACACTAAACATTATACAATAAATAATGACCCTGAAATTTCTGCATTGTATGAAGCCAATATTGTTGGTTGCTTTCTTATATTTCCAGAAAGATCTTATAATAAAAATATATTTTAAAATATAGCAAAGCCAAGGCGGGCGGATCACAAGGTCAGGAGATCGAGATCATCCTGGCTAACACAGTGAAACCCCGTCTCTACTAAAAATACAAAAAAAAATTAGCTGGGCATGGTGGCGGGCACCTGTAGTCCCAGCTATTTGGGAGGCTGAGGCAGGAGAATGGCATGAACCCAGGAGGCAGAGCTTGCAGTAAGCCAAGATCGTGCCACTGCACTCCAGCCTGGGTGGCAGAGCACAACTCCGTCTCAAAAAAAAAAAAAAAAAAAAAAAAAAAAAATATATATATATATATATATATATATATATATATATATATATATATAGCAAAGAGTTAGAATCTAGGCAATAAATTAAACACAATAGTATAAAAAGTTATACTGTCTTATTTCAGTAGCAGTTGGGTTATATTACTTTGAAACTTCTGATGAGTCGGGGCAAGGTTTCAAACTTCAGTCAGCATTTAGATGTTGTAAATGAAACTAAGTATATAATCTTCTAAACATGCACAATGTGAATGTACTTGACTGAACTGTACATCTAAAAATGGTTAAAATGGAAGTAGTTTCAAAATGGCTGACTAGAGTCATCTGGTACACGTCTCCTCCGCAAAGAAGAACTGAAATAGCAAGTAGATAACTACTCTTCCAGTAGATCACTTAAGAGAGAATGCTGGAATTCAACAAATAAATTACAGGAAAAATTAAGGTAAGGAAGGAGAAGGAAGTAAGACAACTGGCTTGGTGAGATCAGCTGGAAGTCTGGAGAGGCTCCCCAATGTGAGGAAAAGGTAAGTGAGTGACACTCGGTGGTCCACATTTTTACTGTGGACTCCTGCAAACCTAGCCACGAGAGAATACCTCAACCTACAGGGGTCTTGAGGTTAAAATAAGGAGTTGCCTAGAGACTGTGCAAGGCTACGACTCCCTAGAGGAAGCTCATGCAGGGTCCCACATCACCACTTGAGTCCTAAGCAGCTATAACAAAGTTCCATTTTGAGAGCTTAGCCTCTATCGTACTGGATCTTGTTCTGGGGCCCAGCAATACTTACATCTTCACATCCCTGAAGCACCATTAACATCCTCTACTTGCAGCCAAGTGCCTCTTCGGGCTGCTGCTACGAAGTTAAAGCATGAGCCAATGGCAGTGACCCTGCTACCCCCAGTAGCAGGGCCATGATATATTGAAAAGCACACCAAGGAAGGGGTACCTCACTTATAGCCACCACCTGGGGCTGATGCATGTACTCCCCAGCCACCTGTTTATAGTTGCTGCCACTGAAAGCAGCCCTCCCTCCCAGCAGCAGGGTCGCTGCCCCCATCCAAATATTGTGCTGGGAAACTGGGAATCAACTCACTTCTCCTACCACAGCCAGCACCAATACACACTGGTGGAGGGCCTGAGGATAGGCCCACCTGGCCAGGCTCCACCACCCCTAGTACCCGAGTATATCAAGTAGAAGCCTGGGGATTGCCCTGCCCTATCCACCACCATTATTAGCACTTGAGTAATCCTCAAAGTGGCCTGAGTAAGCACCCACCCAACCTGACATTACCACCATAGCTGGCACCCACCTGCATGCCACTCATGGGCCTGGGGACTAGTTTACCCAGCCCATTGCAGCCACCGCCAACACGAGTGTGGACTGCTTGAAACTTGTCCTGCCATTGCTATTGCCATTGCCATGCCACACTGACTGCCCAGGGGCTCATGGACCCACTCACCAACCCCACCTTCCATTATCACTGCCAGCAACCAAACAAAACACCTGAAAACCCCAAAAATGCTTTATCTGGACTCACTGACACTGTTGCCAGCATACACCACCCTGGGGCTCAGGGATAAGGAAGCTTGGCCTGCCACTGCCACCAGTGGAGCCTGAGGACTGGCCAACTTGATGTCCCCATCTACAGGAAGACTTCATCAGAGCCTTCACTAACAACTACACCCTAAGGCAGTGAGGAAATCACAGACACTACTGATACTGTTTACAGCCCAAAAATCATATAGAGACTGTGCAGAATCAAAGCCCAGGTGTCCTATACAACTAACACCACAGATATATCAAGAAAAAGTCCTCACCCAGTAAAGCAAATTCGAATGATTGGATGAAGGGACTATTACCCCAGGTGCACAGATATCAACATAAAGACGCAAGAAAAAAAAAAAAGAAATATGACACCTCCAAAGAAACACAATAATTACCCACCAAAAGATTCCAATGAAAAAAATCTTTTTATGAAATCCCAGAAAAGGAATTCAAAATAATGATATTAAAGAAGCTTAGTGAGATATGAGAGAACTTGGAAAAAATAAAATGAAAAACAGAAAAATAATTCATCATGTGAATAAGAAATGTTCAAAAGAGGTAGAGATCATAACAAAGAACCACACAGAAATTATTTAACCAAAAGATTCATTGAATAAAACATAAAATACATTTGAAAGCTTCAACAATACACCAGATCAAGCAAATGAAAGAATTTCAGAACTAGAAAACCGTCATTTGAAATAATCCAACTAGGTACATTTAAGTGAACCACCTTAAGATTAACAGCAGATTTCTCAGCAGAAACTACAAGGCCAGGACAGAATTGAACAATATATTTAAAGTGCTGAAAGAAAAAAAAAAACTTACCAGCTAAGGATATGGTACGCTGCAAAGTCATTCTTCATAAATGAGAGAAATAGTCTTTCTGAGACAAGCAAAGTTGTGGGAATTCATCACCACTAGACTGGACCTACAAGAAATGCTTAAGGGAGTCTGACACTTGGAAGTGAATGGATGATATGTACCATCATGAAAACACATGAAAGTATAAAAGTCAGTGGTAAAGCAAACACACAAATGAGGAAGAGAGAGACCTCAGATGTTACCACTACAGAAAACCACCCAACCACAGTGATAAACAATAACAGATAAAGAAAGTGATGAAAGATATACAAAACAATAAAAAATCAATTAATAAAATGACAGAAGTAAACACTCATATATCAAGAATAACCTTGAATGTATACAGATTGAACTTTTCACATATAATATATAGGCTGACTGAATGGATTGAAAAACATGATTAAACTATATGCTGCCTACACGAACTTCATCTCACCTGTAAAGACACATATGGTGGACTAAAAGTAAAGAGACAGAAAAAGATATTCCATGCAAACAGAAACCAAAAAGGAGCAGGAGTAGCTATACTTATATAAGATAAACAGTAAAAAGAGTAAAAAAAAAAAGTCATTACATAATTATAAAGGATCAATCCCTTGACATCCAATGACATTACATCCAATGACATTACATCCAATGAGAAATTACATCCAATGACAAAGTCATTACATAATCACAGAGGGATTAATCCATCAAGAGGATGTAACAATTCTAAACATATATACACTCAACACCTGAGCACCCACATAATAGAGCAAACACTATTAGATCTCAAGGGAGATATGGACTCTAATACAATAATAGTTGGGGACTTCAACATCTTTCATGATTAAAACTCTCAACAAATGAGGCATGGAACATACCTCAATGTAGTAAATAACACATGGGTCAAATACCGACAGCTAACATATATATGTGTCATTTACCTTAAATGTGAATGGGTAAAAGCTACAAGCTTGCTTCTAAGGATTAAGACATGACAAGGATGCCCATTTTCACTACTCCTATTTAATAGTACTCAAGTCCTAGCCAAAGAAAACAAGCAAGAGAATGAAACAATGTCCAAATTAAAAAAGAGGAATTCAAATTATCTCTCTTTGCAGATGACATGATCTTATGTAGAGAAAAATCTAAAGCCTCCATCGAAAACTCTTATATCTGATAAATAAATTCACTATTGTTGCGGAATACAAAACCAGTCTACAAAAATGAGTTGTATTTCTTTACACCACTAATTAACTTAATGAGAAAGAAATCAAGAAAGTAATCCCCTTTATAATGGCTACCAAAATATAAAATACCCAGAAATAAATTTAACCAAGGATATTTAAAGACCACCACAAGGAAAACTATAAACCCCTGATGAAAAAAATTTAAGAAGACACAAGAAAATGTAAAGACATTCTATGCTGATAGATGGGAAGAATTAACATATTTAATTCTTCAAAATGACCATACTATCTCAAACAATCTACCAATTCAATACAATCTCTATTGAAATGCCTATGTCATTTTTTACAAAGAAATAGAAAAAATTCTAAAATTTACATGGAATAATAAAAAGAGAAATTCTGAGCAAAACAAACAACAACAAAAATTTAAAAACCTGGAGGTATCATATTACCTGACCTCAAAATATATTACAAGGATATATAACCAAAACATTATGGGATTTATTTAAAAACAGACAGAGAGACAAACAGAACAGAACAGAAAACTCAGAAATAAATCCACTTGTTTATAGCAAACCAGTTTGTAACGAAGTTGCCAAGATCATACATTGGGGAAAGGATACCCTCTTCAATAAATATCGAGGGGCAAATTAGTTATCTATATGCACAAGAATTAAACAGTACCCCTATCTCTCAACATATACAAAAATCAATTCAAGATGGATTAAGTATATAAATTTAAGAACCAAAATTGTAAAATGTCTAGAAGTAAACCTAAAGAAAACACTTCAGGACATTGATCTAGGTAAAGATTATATGGCTTAGACCTCAAAGTCACAGGCAACAAAACCAAAAATAGACAAATGGGAATATGTTGAACTAAAACAGCTTCTGCACAGTAAAAGAATCAATCAATAGAGTCGAGAAAACCTGTTGAATGGGAGTAAGTACTTGCAATCTATTTATTCAAGGAACTAATATCCTCAGTAAAAAAGAAACCCAAACAATTCAACAGAAAAAAAAATATATCCTATTAAAAAGTGGGCAAAGGATATATATATGGGTATACACATATACATTTCTCAAAGAAAACATACGTGGCTATCTGGTGTATGAAGTATGCTCAACATCACTAATCATCAGGGAAATGCAAATCGAAATCACAAAGAGAGATTATCTTATACCTATTAGAAAAGCTATTATTAAAAAGACAAAAAGTACATTGCTGGCATGGATGCAGAGAAAAGGGAACTCTCATACAATCCTGGTGGGAATGTAAATTAATGCAGCTACTATAGGAATAAGTATGGTGATTTCTCAAAAAACTAAAAGCAGCACTACCATATGATATAGCAATTCTACTACTGCATGTTTACCCACAGGAGAAAAATCAATATATCAAAGGAATACCTGTATTTGCATGTGTATTGCAGCACTATTCGCAATAGTAAAGAAATGGAATCAAACTAAGTACCCATCATCAGATAAATGGATAAAGAAAATGTGATCTATATACACAGTGGAATACTACTCAGCCATATAAAAGAATAAAATCATATCATTTGCAGCAACATGGATAGAACTGGAAGTCATCATGTTAAGTGATACAAGCAGAGCACAGATTAACAAATATTACGTGTTCTCACTCATATGTGGGAGCTAAAACTGTTGATCCCATGAAGGTAGAGAGTAGAATGATAGATATCAGAAGCTGAGAATGGTGTGTGTGAGGGATGGGAGATAATGATAGAGCTTGATTAATGGGTACAAACATCAATTTAGATAAAAGAAATAAGTTTGATAACAGGGTTGGGTGACTATAGTTAACAAGAAGGTATTGCGTATTTCAAAATAGCTAGAAGAGAGGACTTGAAATGTTTCTTACACGTAGAATGATAGATACTGAGGTGATGGATACTCTAAATATCCTGACTTAATCATTACACATTCTATGCATCCAACAAGATATCACATATACCCCCTAAATATGTTACAGATATTATGTATCAATAAAAAATAATGAGAGTGAAAAAATGGTTAAAATGGTAAATTCCATGTCATATATATTTTAGCACCATAAAAACTTCTAAATTTAAAAACTATTTAAGAATATAAACAATTTATATTTATGATTTAGAAAATTATATCAGATGTTGACAAGGTAAATTGAGCACTCAGTATTTGAAATGTAGTATTTTGAAATGTAGTAATAGTAATTATTTATTATTATTTGGTTTCTATTTTCTAGTGAAATATCGTGTCTTTGCTATAAAAATAGTCTTGCCATCTCCATTTTTACTAGGATTATGATGATGAAAGCATATATACAAGCTGTGTGATTCTAAATTATGGTTATGATTAGCAAATATATTGATACCACGAACAGTCCCATCATGTTTGTTCAGAAATATTTCGACAAATATAATAATATCAATATGTGATCATTTAATCATTATTTAATTAAAAATATAAAATTATTCTTAGTTCAAGAAGTAATAAAAATAAAATTAAAAATGAATTTTCAAATTAATATATAAATATATGTACATCTGTGCTTAATTAAAATAAATTATTTAATACCTATTGTGTATCTTCAGTATATAAGAAATAGAAAAATGTGACATCATCACATCAATAAGAAGTCCAAGGCATGATAAAATGTAGAACATTTGTGAATATTATTTGTGAATAAGCTTTTTCTATATCCTTTGTGTTGACAGAAATGACGACTCATGTAGCATATATGTTTTCTCAATTTGCATAGTACATATATAAATTTTCCAAATACATAAAAAACATACTGAAGACTGGGGGAAAATAATTTAGTCGTACTACAAGTGTATGCCATAACCTCATTGAAGGAGGTGAGCAGTAAAAAGGAACTAATAGGAGTAACCTTGTAAAATATTGTTTTGACTGAAAACTATAAGGCTAAAGAGAAAGGGAACTTTATATAAACACTGTATTCCAGTTGGTCTTTTCTCATGGGGTTTCAGGTTAACAATTCTGAAACTGCTTTACATATACATCAGGGTTGAACAAATGGAAGGTAAAGGTCAACAGTGAGTTTTCTCACTGTCTGGGAGGGAAGTTACTGGTAAACAAAGGATGAAGCCTAGAATGAATCATATGGTGCTAAGTTAGCATGGGAGATATCAGTATAAATTCATGTTTTGCTTAGTATAAGTACATATGGATTTACAGACAGTATAGGTATAGATGAGCATAGACAAATGTGTGGATGCAGAGGTTAGTATTCATACATATATTCTCTAGCTCTGTCTCCTGAGGAGTCCTAGGTTGGTTGTTGGCACCCAACCAACACTGAGCAAAGACCTGGGTTTTTAAATTTTATTCTCAAATATAAAGATCTAAGGTCTTTGTAAAAATGACTGATTCTAAAAATAGAGCTAGAAAAAAAAAAACAAGATAAGTCTGTAGCATCTTGTAGTATCTGAAAGGAAGGAAAAGCTCCCAAGCAAAAAGATGAGAGATGACAAAGGATCAGAGAAGCCAAAATAAAACAGCTCCTAATGGATAAATTTGGAATGACTTGAGAAAAACATTAATAATCTAGTGTTGGATTATAATAAAAATAAAATAATGATGTGATAGCTCATATGTATATAAATAAATGACTGAATAAAAAACAAATGAGGAAAGAGAAATAGAACATTTTGTGAATTTGGGCAGTGTACCTATATAAGGCTTTATATGATGTGGTATTACTTCTCACATTTTAAAATATATTTTACAAACCATATTGTGGGAGTGAGTATTTCACCACTCACAATTCTTCCCAATGATACTTTTAAAAAAAAAATGCGTTACCAGTTTCTACGTCTCTTAGCACTGGTGTTTTGCTAGTTTCAGTATTCCAAGGAGTAGTTCTTCCTTCAGGGGAATAAGCAAAAACAGACAAATAACATAATCAACAACAAAATAATTGCCCCATTTAACTGGAAGCTAGGATTTCCACATGGATGTCTCCATACTGTTTGATGGATGATCTTGACTGAAGTTGCTTAAATAGTGAGAAAACTATAAATTACAAAACTGAATTTCTTCAAGCTTCTCTTAATAAACAGTCAACTCTAGTTTTAGTAACATATTTTTGTCTTTCTACCCAACTCTTTTGCTTTTTCTTCATTATAGATTATAATAATGCTTAGAGAATTAATAAAATGAGGGCATGTAAAAACCAAAAAGAGATCAAAACATGAAAACTAATATTTTCAAAGGAAAGCAAATAAGAGAGAGTAACTGTAACAACAGTGTATTAATATGTAGTAATTTGGTGGTTGTATTAATCCATTCTCACACTGCTATGAAGAAGTATCTGAGACTGGATAATTTACAATACAAGATTTTAATTGGCTTATGGTTCCACAGGCTGTACAGAAAGCACAGTGTCTTCTGCTTCTGGGGTTGCATCACTTCACATGACCAGATCAGGAGGAAGAGAGCAAAGTGGGGAGGTGCAATGCACTTTTAAACAAACAGATTTCATGAGCACTCATTCACTATTGCAAGGAGATTATCAAGGCAGAAATCCACTGCAATAATTCAATCTCCTCCCACCAAGCCCCACCTCCAACATTGGGGATTATAATTTGACATGAGATTTGGGTAGGGACACGGGTCCAAAGAACATCATTCCACCCCCAATCCTTCCCAAATCTCATATCCTTCTCACATTTCAAAATACAATCATGCCTTCCAAACAGTCCCCCAAAGTCTTAATTCATTCCAGCATTAACTCAAAAATCCACAGTCCTAAGTCTCATCTGAGACAAGGCAAATCCCTTCTACTTATGAGCCTGTAAAATAAAAAGCAGATTAGTTACTTCCAAGATATAATGAGTGTATAGGCATTGGGTAAATACTCTCATTCCAAAAGGTAGAAACTGGCTAAAAGAAAGGGGCAACAAGACCCAGGCAAGTTCAAAACCCAGCAGGGCAGTCATTACATCTTAAAGCTTCAAAATGGTCTCCTTTTACTCCACAAATGACATCCAGAGAATGCCTGTGTGAAGGATATGCTCCCAAGGCCTTGGGAAGCTCCACCCCTGTAGCTTTGCAAGGTCCAGCCCCTACAGCTGCTCTCATGGCTTGTGTTGAATGCCTGCAACTTATAAAGGCACAGAGTGCAAGCTGCAGGTGGATCTGCCATTCTGGAGTATGGAGTATGGAGTATGGTGGGGCCCTCTTTTCTCAGTTCCTCTAGGCAGTGCCCCAGTGGGAATTCCAACCCCACATTTCCCCTCTGCACTGACCTAGTATAGGTTCTCCATGAGGCCTCTGTCCCTGCATCAGGCTTCTGCCTGAACATCCAGACTATTCCATACATCCTCTGAATTCTAGATGAAGGTCCCAAGCCTCAACTCTTGCCCTCTGTGCACACCCCCCATGCTTAATACCACATGGAGCCACCAAGGCTTACAGCTTGGACCCTCTGAAGCAGCAGCTTGAGCTGTACCTGGGCCCCTTTGAGCCATGGCAGGAGCTGGAGTGACTGGTATATGGGGATCAGTTTCCTGAAGCTGAAGGGGGCAGCAGAGCCCTGGGCCTGGCTCATGAAAACATTCTTCCCCACTAGGGCTCTGGCCTGTGATGGGAGCCACTGTTGCAAAGTCTCTGAAATGCCTTTGGGGTCTTCTCTCCATTATCCTGACTATTAGCACTTGACTTCTCTTTACTTGTGCAGATTTCTGAAGCCTACTTGAATTCCTCCCCTGAGCATGGGTCTTTCTTTTCTATAACATGGCCAGGCTGCAAATCTTCCAAACTTTTTTTTTTTTTTAAGATGAATTCTCCCTCTGTTGCCAGGCTGGAGTGCAGTGGCACCATGTTGGCTCACTGCAACCTCCACCTCCCGGGTTCAAGTGATTCTCATGACTCAGCTTCCCAAGTAGCTGGGATTACAGGCACACACCGCCACACCTGGCTATTTTTTTTGTATTTTAGTAGAGATGGGGTTTTACTGACTTACCCAGGCTGGTCTCGAAATCCTGAGCTCAGGCATCCACCCACCTCGGCCTCCCAAAATGCTGGGATTACAGGTGTGAGTCACCACACCATGCCCTTTCCAAACTTTTATGCTCTGCTTCCTTTTGAAATATCTAGTTTTACATCATGTTTTTGCTCATGCATATAAGCATAGGCTGTTAGAAGCAGCCAGGTCACATCTTAAGCTCTATGTTGCTTAGAAAATTTCTTTCACCAAATATCCTAAATTACCACTCTCAGGTTCAAATGTTCAACAATTCTAAAGAGCAAGGGCACAATGCAGGCAGGGTCTTCACTAAGGCATAGAAAAAGTGACTTTTACACCAGTTCCCAATAAGTTCCTCATTTCCATCTGAGACCTCCTCAGCCTGGACTTCATTGTCCTTATCCCTATCAGCATTTTGGTCACAACCATTCAACAAATCTGTAGGAAGTTCCAAATTTTCCCTCATTTTCGTGTCTTCTTCTAAACACTCCACACTCTTCCAATCTCTGCCTGTTATCCAGTTCTAAAGTGGCTTCCACATTTTCAGAAACTTTTTTATCAACACCCCACTCCTGGTATCAACTTTCCATATTAGTCTGTTCTCACACTGCTATAAAGAAATACCTGAGACTGGGCAATTTATAAAGAAAATAGCTTAATTGGATACAGTTCTACATGCTGTATAGAAAGCGTGATGGCTAATGTTTCTGGGGAGGCCTCAGGAAGCTTCCAATCACGTCAAAAGGCAAAGGAGGAGTCAGTACTTCACAAAGTCTGAGCAGGAGGAAAAGAGTGGGAAGGTGCTACACACTTTTAAACAAACAGATCTTATGGAACTCACTATCTCAAGTACAGTACTAAGGAGAAAATCTGCACCCATGATTCAATCACCTCCCACCAGGCGCCACCTCCAACATTAGAGATTACAATTTGACATGAGACTTGAATGGGACACAGATCCAAATAATACAGGGGTCAAGAGTTATTGAAGCAGAATTCTTTCTGCTTCAAGAAAACCCAGACTTTGCTCTACAGCCTTCAACTGATTGTTTGAAGCCCACCCACATTAGGGAGTATAATCTGCTTTAATTTAGTTCAGCTGATTGTAAATACTTATCATGTAAAAATACATTAATAGCAATATCAAGACTATTGTTTGAACAAACAACAGGGCACCATACTCTAGCCAAGATGACCCAAGAAATTAACTGTCACCTGTGGTCTTGCAAACTCCTTCATTCATGTGATTCTATGAAATTTATATAAAGTGCATATTTATTTGAAGATCTTGTGTCACATGCCATACACAAGTATTCCTGGTGTCTTCCTTTCCTAGCGTTTGAGATCTGTATTTCATCTTTGTTATGAGAAAAACTGTCACACTCAAATGTTTTAATCTGTAATAAATGATTAATATTGAAAATAGGAAAATCATCTATAATCTATAAGGGCTCAACAATCTACATAAACTAGCATGTTTAGTACTATTATTTTTTTTTAATTCATAAAAGCAAGAATAATTTATTTGTATCCTGTAGACAAGTATTTAAGTTTGGCTTAATGACAGTGCTTATAACCAATTACAGCTCTGTAATCTACCTAAATCAGTTGATAGTTTCAATGTCATTCCTAGAAATCATTTCTAAGTCATCATCACATCAAGTATTTTAACAGAATAATTAATAATTCAATAAATATCATAAAGATATATTTTCACAGAAAAATGGTGTATATATATATATATATATATATATATATATGTATACGTCTGCCTCCCTTATCTCTATCTTCTATATACCTATTTATCCACTATGATTAAAATGTCTGTATTCACTAAAAAATCATACATTGGAATCCTAACCACCAAGGTGATGGTATTAGGAGATGGGGAACATGAGAGGTGATTAGATCATGAGAGCAGAGCCTTGATAGTGAGATTAGTGTCCTTATAAAAGAAGCTCCAGTGAGTTTCCTTGCCACTTCCGTCATCAAGAAGATACCATTTATGAGGTAAAGTGAGGCCCTCACCAGATGTGAGACACTGAATATGCCAGTGCCTCGATTTTGAAGTTCCAAGACTCCAAAATAAACATGTGTTATTTATAAGCCAACTAGTTTATGGTACTTCTGTTAAAGCTACCCAAAGAAACAGATTCTCTCTCTCTCTCTCTCTCTTTCTCTCTCTCTCCCTCTCTCTCTTTCTCTCTCCCTCTACTTATATCAGTCATCTGAGACCATTATACATGAAGCACTTAATTTACTTATAATTCCAGAGAAATATTTTTACTTTGAAAATATGAAATTTGAAATCATGTCCTTCGTGAACACTTTAGTTGCAGACAACTTTTAATTAAAGTAAACATTACGCAGCATAGGCTTCTGATTACAAATATGTTTACAGTTAAATTAATGAAATACAGCTACCACAACTCAGAAAAATTTCAAGCTTTTTTTGTTATAAAATGGCAAAATTACACCAATCTTTTTAAAACGTGGGCTGTGACTACTTACTCCAGGTATCTAAATTGTGCACTTTTAAATAAAATAATAAAGTATCCATTTGCAACTTACCAGTAGAGCCTGGAAGGTGAAGAATTGTATTGATGTTTGTCTTTACATATAATATATTATCAGGATGCTAATATTATTTTAAAACAAATATTTAAATTAAATTATTTTTCTCTACTACAAAAAGCTGTGATGAAATACTCATCTTCAATATATTAACTTTTATGTAGTTAGATAGCAAAAGTATTAAAAGAATCATTGCTGTTGATTTTAATATTATTCTCTTCTTTGAAAGTAAAGCTTTAATTTATACTTTAGATCTTGCTTATTTTTTGCAGAAAGAATAAGGGTGGATTTATTTACAATTAATTAATTAATTAATTCTTTTTTGAGACAGAGTCTTGTTCTGATGCCCAGGCTGAAGGGCAGTGGTGCTATTTTGGCTCACTGCAACCTCTGCCTTTGGGGTTCAAATGATTCTCGTACCTCAGCCTCCCAAGTAGCTGGGATTACTGGCATGCACCACCATACCTGGTTAATGTTTTGTATTTTGAATATAGATGGGGTTTCACCAAGTTGGTCAGGCTGGTCTAGAACTCTTGACCTCAAATAATCTGCTCGCCTTGGCCTCCCAAAATGGAGGGATTACAGGCGTCAGCCACCGTGCCTGGCTGAATTTATTTTTTAAGTGTTGTGAAAAGCAGAAAAAAAAAATCACTCATTAATTAGGACGGTAGATTTTTGGGCAGGAGGGGCTAGAGGTTCTTTCTAATAGTTCAAATTGTTTCTATAACTTTAATATACATATTTTTGAAAACATATTTCATTTATGTGTAAAATAGGACAGGCTTTCTCCTGTCTTTTGCCAATCAGTGGTTTTTCCACTCAAGCAAACTTGTATTTATTCTGTGAGCAAATATCTATTCATGTGAAAAAAAGTCTAGTTCTCCCAGTTTTTATTTAATTTACATTGGTATCTTGAAGTTACTACAGAATCTGTTTTTCTTCCTCACTGTAAATGTCATTTATTTTCTTGCTGCTTGAGTTGCAATTAATGTTAGAAGCATGATGTACATAGAATAAGAAGACGTAAAAATATTTCTTTTGTCTATGAATTTAAGTTCAGAAGAAAAGGGCATATCAGCTAAGCAAAAGAGTAAACTTTGATAGGGAAAGAAATGGAGAGAAGTGGAAGGATAAGTATTTCTACATACTACATTAAAAGAGAAACTAAGGAATTAACTGAAGCCTGAAATGCTAGTCTAGGTTCAATTTTCTTGAAGCATTTCTTAATTCTAATTCACTGTGAAAGAACAAGCAACTCAATATTAAACATCATGATGAAAGTCATAACAACCAATATTCTATTGAAATTGTGTTACTGGCTACATACTGCAGAGTCAAAGCTTGCATATTTCTGCACGAATAACAAGTGACATTAAGGGGGTAATATAGCAAATCAAACTTCATTATTATCCATTTTTACTTAAGATCAAATACAGTTCTCTTTCCTACCGGGAGGTTATTGTTATAAGACAAAACAACTAAAATTATGTCAGTTTCATAACTGTGCTTTTATTCACTTCATGTTTTATTTATGGATGATTTACAACCATAGGTTCTATTAACTTTGGACCATAGGTTAGCACTAAGTTTTTCTGCTCTGCGGTAGCAAAAATTATAGTGAGAGAGAAAGACAGAGGAAGAAAGAAAAGAGGTAGGAATAGTGGGGGATGGAAGGGCAGAGAAAGAAAGAGAGAAAGGAGAGAGAGAGAATCTAAAAAGTAAACTGGAAATATTACTAACTCGTATATATAAATAATATCATTTAAGGTCATGCTGAATATGCATTATATTCAACAAATATTTATTAAAAATCTTAACATAAAACAATAGCTCGTGGAAGGTGAAAGTAATATGTCTGCCCCACCAGGTCTGCTTCAGTTCTCTTCCCCAGCACATAGACAGAGACACAAACCCCCAAAATAATCTAATAGTTGATTTTTATTTATTTAAATGTCTCGGGGGTGAGGGGGAACTTAGAACACAGCGCCAAAATAAATTTCTCATTGTTCACAGATAATACATGAGATATTTTTGGTCATATACTGAACAACTGGTGGAATTAATAAGTCTTTTCACTTTTTAAGAAATCTAGGAGGCCAGGTGCGGTGCCTCATACCTGTAATCCCAGCAGTTTGGGAGGCCGAGGCAGGTGGATCACCTGAGGTCAGGAGTTCAAGACCAGCCTGGCAAACATAGTGAAACCCCATCTCTAATAGAAATACAAAAATTAGCTGGGTGTGGTGGTGCAGGTCTATAGTCCCAGGTACCTGGAGGGTTGAGGCAGGAGAATTGCTTGAACCTGGGAGGCAGAGGCTGCAATGAGCCAAGATCATGCCATTGCACTCTAGCCTGGGTAACAGAGTGAGACTCCATCTCAAAAAATGAAATCTGGGAATCACTTTTTATTACTTCATTTCTATTATTACTTTATATTTTTAGTGTAGTAATAATTTTAGTGTGATAAAATATACATTGTATAAAATGTACCATTTAATCATTTATAAGTGTACAGTTCAGTGGTATTAGGTATGTTCTCACGGTTGTGCAGCCAATCTCCAGAACACTTTTCATATCTAAGCTCTATATCCATTAAACTCATTATATCTATCTGTGCCAACTACACAGTAATACCCCATTTCCCCACTATAGCTCTTAGCTGTATTCTTCCTTTATCTGTGGCTTTACTTCCTGTTTGCCTTTTCATTTATTTATTTAATAACTTACTTACATCATTTGCACTGGTGGATGATTATTTTATAATTTGAGTTGTTATTCATTTACAGTATTTATTTTGTTGCTGAAAGTGTTTCAGTTTTGGCATTGAGGGCTCTTTCAGATGTCCCCTTTGCTCCTTCTATATAGCCTCATTATTGTGGAGTTTTTGTGGGTTTTGTGTTTGTTAACACTTCCTTATAATTTTGTTACTATTAAGATGCTCCAGGCTCAGCTTGTGTGTTGTCTGTCTCAGTTCTAGAACGGCACTTCTCCAATAAGTGGTTTCTTTTATTGGAGAATGTTATTAGAAACCAATGGCTGGACCCTAAGTGTGCTAGTTGCTATTTTGGTGCAGTTGCTTTTAGGCCTTCAGCTGAAAGAGGAAGGAAATATATGTGAGTATACTTAGCAGTGTATATACATGTATCTACAAATATTTCCATATGTAATTATTTGTATCTATCTTAAGCTAAACATGAATTTATACTGGTGCTGCCAACTTTACTGCATTATCATGTAGATAATTATAGCCTCCTCTTTTTGCTTGTCTGTAAATTCCCTTTCCAACAGTGAGAAATCTGGCTCTCACCATCATTCTTTCATGTGCTTCATTGTTCCATTTTTAGCATATATTATATTTATATTTATCAACAATTTTGAGATATATATAAATATATATATACACAATTATTGACCCTTACTCCTCTATGAAGCAACTTTAGCAAGTAGAGTGCAGTGATTTCATGTTCCTCTTTTGTCCTTAATCTTGCAGACTCATTTCCAAAATCACTTCAATCAGCACATTTTCCCCCATCTCCTTCACTGAGGTTGTATCACCTATTTATATTATAGTTAGATTTTCTTGTCACACATTGCATTCCATTTTGGGATTCTTCAGGTTGTCTATTTTACAGATATATATACATTAAAGTTCACTCTTTGTGCTGTGGAGTTCAATTAGCTTTGACAAGTACAAAACTATATCTACAATTACAATGTAATACAAATAGGTTAACATCCTAAAATCCGCTTATGTTTGCCTACTCGACCAGCACATTTCACACCCAAACCTCTGGCAATCACTAATTTTTTAATTGCCTTTACAGTTTTGATTTTTTCAGAATGTCATATAACTGTAATCATATGCCATGTAACATTTTTACATCAGCTTCTCTCACTTAGCAATATACATGTAAAATTTACTTGTGACACTTTGCATTTCAATAACCTGTTTCTTTTTATCACTAAGTGCTATTTCATTGTATGGCAGTACCATTGTTTATTTATACCTACGGAAGTGCAGTTTGGTTGCTTTTAGTTTTTGGCAATGGGAATAAATTATGAACATTCAGTTATAATATGAATATCTGTAATATTTATAATACTCATAAATATTCAAATTAGATATACATGTAAATTAAGAATAAAGCTGCTATTCACATTTATATGCAAGTTTTTATGTGGAGAAATTTTTCATATCAATTGAGTAACAACCTAGGAGTGTAATTGCTGGATCATACGGTAAGACTATTTTCAGTTATGTAAAAAACTTCCTGCTATGATCTGAATGTTTGTGTTCTTCTAAAATGTATATGTTAAAAACCTAGCCCTCAAGGCAATAACGTTAAGAGGTGGGTCTTTGGGAGGTGATTACATCAGGAAAAACTCTACCCTCGTGAATGGGATTAGTGCCCTTATAAAAAGACTTGAGGAAACTTGTTTGCTCCTTCCTCCATGTGAAGAAACAGCAAAAAGGCACCATCCATGAAGAACAGGCCCTTACCAAGCACCAAATCTGCTGTCACTTAGATCTGGAACTTACCCGTCTCCAGAATGGTAAGCAATACATTTATGATGTTTTTAAATTACCCAGTCTAGGGTATTTTGTTATAGCAGTCCAAATGAACTAAGATAGACTGGTAGCAGGAAGTAGGGTGCTGCCATAAAAAATGCCTAGAAATGTGAAAACGGCTTTAGAATTGGGTAATGGGCAGAGACTGGAACAGTCTGGAGGTGCATGTGAGGAAACACCTAGATTCCTTGAACTCAGTGTTAAAGGCAATTCTGGCAAGTGCTCAGAAGAGGGGAACTGTAGAGGGAGCCTCAAACTTCTTAGAGATTATCTAACGGGGCTGTGAATGGAATGTTGACAGACATATAAATAATAAAGGCCATTCTGATGAGATCTTAAATGGGAGTAAAAAGATGAATTATTAGAAACAGACAAAAAGGTCATCGTCTTTGTTATATTGTGGCAAATAATTTGTCTTAATTGTGTTCCTGTCCTAGTGTTTTGTGGAAGGAGAAAATTAAGAGTGATGAAATTGGATATTTGGTGGAAGAAATGGCTAAGCAAGGTGTTGAGGATGCCACATGGCTTCTCTTGACTGCTTATAGGGAAATGCAAGATAAGATCAATGAATTAAAGATGGAACTTGTAATCAAGATGGAATCAAAACTTAAATATTTGGAAAATTCTTAGCCTTAACATATTGTAAAGAATAAAAAAACAAGATTAGGAGAGAACACCAATGGTGTTGTCAGGTGAACAATTTGATAAGGAGATTAGTATGGGTGGAAAACAATAGAGTTACCCCAAAGGCATTTTGAAGATTTTCACACTGCCAAGCCAATCATGGCCCCAGAACACCAGGGCTTTGGTGAAGAAATGATTTCAAGGTTCCTCTCCCTACATTCTGTTACAGTGCGTTTTAGCTCTCCCAGCTTTGGCTCAAGTGGGTCCAGGTTTGGCTCAGGCTGTCTCTCAGGAGAGCACAAGTTGTAAACTTTGGTAGCACCCATATGGTGCCAACTCTACAGGTGGACAGAGTACAAGAGCTATGAGGACATGGCTGCTGATATGGTTTGGCTGTGTCCCCACACAAGTCTCATCTTGAATTGTAGCTCCCATAATCTCCACAGGTCATGGGAGGGACCTAGTGGGAAGTAATTGAATAACAGGGGCGGGTTTTCCAGTGCTGTTCTGGTGATAGTGAATGAGTCTTACACGATCTGATGGTTTTATAAAGGGCAGTTCCCCTGCACATGCTCTCTTGCTTGCCACCATGTAAGATGTGCCTTTGCTCCTCCTTCACTTTCCACCATGATTGTGAGGCCTCCCCAGCCATGTGGAACTGTGAGTCCATTAAACCTCTTTTTCTTTAGAAATTACCCAGTCTCAGGTATTTCTTCGTAACAGTATGAAAATAGACTAATACAACTGCTTTCATCTACGTTTTAAAGGATGCCCTGGAGAGTTTTGGGATCCAGGTAGAGAATTGCTGCAAGTGTGGGGCCACTGCAGAGAATATTCACTTGGGCATTGCCCATTAGATACATGGAGTTGGGGGGCACTCCTGAGACAATAGATTGGTAGAGGCACTGGCATGTGGCTCAATTCTGGGAAAGTGGCAGTCACTCCTGTTATGAGAACTATAGCATGAGCTATTCCTACCAAAGCCATGGGGGTAGGGGCACTCAGACTGTTAGGAGCTCGACCCCTCTCCAGGTATATCCAAAAGGTGGTGCTTAAAGTCAAATAAGATTATTCTGGAAACTTTAGATTTAATGTTTGCATTGTTGGGTTTTGGACTAACTTGTGCCAATTACCCCTTTCTTCTTTCCTATTTTTTTTTTTCCATGATGGGAATGTTTATTCTATGCTTGTCACACAATTGTATTTTGGAAGCACGTAATTGGTTTAATTTCATGGGTTCACAGCTGGAGGAAAATTTGTCTTGGGATGAATCATACCTTGCATCTCACTCACATGTGATTTAGATAATATTTAAATGAGACTTTGGAATTTAGACTTTCGGGTTGATTATAGAATGACTTCAGAATTTTGAAACTATTGGGATGAAATAAATGTGTTTTCCATGTGAGAAGAACATAAATTTTGGGGGATCAGGAATAAAATGTTACACCTGGAATGCTTTTGTTCCTTTAAAATGTTGAAAATCTAATGCCCATGGTGATAGTGTTAAGAGGTAGAGCCTTTGGGAGGTGATTTGGTCATGAGGGCTCTGCTGTCATAGACAGAATTAATACCCTTGTAAAAAAGCTTGAGAGTGTCTGGCTTTTCTGCCATGGGAGGATGCAGCAACAAAGATACCATCTATGAGGAACAAGCCCCCACTGAACACTAAATTTGCTGGTGTCTTAATCTAAGACTTTCCAGTATCCAGAACTGTGAGCAATAAATTTATTTATAAATTCTCAAGTCTGCAGTATTTTTTATAGCAGTCCAAGACACTAGTTTCCAAAGTGACTGTAACATTTTGCATTCCTTCCAGAAATAAGTGAGAATTCCTCTTGCTCCACAACCTCACAAGCATTTGGTATCATCAGGTTTTTATTTTATTTTGGCCATTCTAACAAGTATAAAATGGTATTGAAGTACTATTTTAATCTGCAATTCCTTAACGACAAATGAGATTGATTTTTCTATTAGACTGGGTCATATGTTTTCTTATTGTTAGATTTAATAGTTCTTTGTTTATTTATGGATGTAAGTATCAAATATATGTTTAGAAAATATTTTTCTCCCATTCTGTATCTGGTCTTTTTATTCTCTTACCAGTGTCATTCACAAAGCAGAAATCTTTTAATTTTAATAAAGGCTGACTAATAAATTTTTTTCTCTCATGGATTAAGCTTTTGGTGTTTTATCTAAAAACTCATTGCCAAACCCATAGTCATTTAGATTTTCTCCTATGTTTTCTTCTAAAATGTTTACAGTTTTGTGTTTTATAGTAAGCTCTGTGATCCATTTTGAATTTATTTCTCTAAAAGATGTAGAGTCGATACATAGATGCATTTTTTTAACATATAAATATCCAAATGTTTCAGCACCAGATGTTGAAAAGACTATTCTTTCTTTGTTTAATTGCCTTTGCTCCTTTATCAAAGATCACTTGATTATATTTGTATGGATCTCTTTATGGGCTGTCTGTTCTGTTCTATTGATCTATGTGTCTATTTTTTACTGATGCAGTGTTGTATTGACATTTGTATCTTTATAGTAAGTCTTAAATTCATATAGAGTCAGTCCTCCAACTTTGTTCATTTGTAATATTGTATACGCTATTCTGGATCCTATGATTTTCCATATCTACCTAAAAATTATTTCGTTGATATCTATAAAATGATTTTCTGGAAATTCACCTGGGCTTGTGTTGAGTCTTTATATCATGTTGAGAAGAATTGCAGAATCTTTGATTAGAGCCTCTATATATTTTTTAGATTTGTACCTGTTTTTAATGTTTTTAAACTGTTATTATAGTATTGCCATTTTAATTTAAATTTCCCGTTTTCCATTGATGGTTTATAAGAAAGCAATAGAGTTTTGTATCTTAACCTTATATTCTGCAACCTTGCTATACTAATATATTAGATCCAGTATATAGTTTTTATCAGTTCTTTGGGATTTTCTACATGGACAATTTTATTATCAGCAAACAAAGGCAATTATATTTCTTTCTTCCCAATATGTATCTCATTTTTTTCTGTTTTATTTTAACAGCTAACACTTCCACTACACTGTTGACTCGAAGTTTTGGGAGATGACATTCTTGCTTTGTTTCCAATATTAGGGGGAAGATGACCATTTTTCTACAATTAAGTATGATATTAGTTTTGGATATGCCTTTTGTTGGTAAATGTTTTCTGTTGAGGAGTAAAATGTTTCTAGGTTGCTGCGCTATCCAACACCATGAATGAGTGTTGGATTTTGTTAACTGCTTTTTCTGCATCAATTTGCACAATTGTATGATTGTTCTACTTTGGCCTTTTAATGTAATTGGCTACATTAATTGATTTTTGAACATTGAATCAGCCTTAAATACCTGAAGTAATTATTTTCCCAGCTCATGTATTTCTTTTTTCAGGCAATGTTATATAGGATTTCCTTATATATTGTTGAGCATATTTTTATCTATATTCATGTTAGATATAAGCCTGTAGTTTTTCTTTCCTTTGATGCTTTACATGCTCACTTCTGTTTCTGTGTCCTGGAAGACCGTTTGAAGAATTTGTATCATTTAATTCTTAATTATCTCATAGCATTAACCAGCGAAACCATCTGGCCTAGTGCTTTCTTTCTTTGGGAACTTATTAATTTTGATTCAATTCTTTAATAGATATAGACATCCAGATTATATATTTCTCTTTGTATAAACGTTGGTCATGTGTATCTTTCAAGGAATTCATCCGTTTTATCTAAGTTACCAAATTTAGGGGCAAAGATTTGCTCATTATATTTCTTTATTATCCTTTTAATGTCACATCTTTGGAAGTTTTTCTCTTTGTCTTTAGTTTCTTGTAGTTTGAATATTATTTTCCTGGTGTAGATTTTTTTTTTTTTTGGCATTTATCCTGTTGGTTTCTCTGAGCTTCTCTGAGCTATAGTGTACTGGTTGTCATTAATTTTGAGAAATTGTCTGCTATTGTTACTTCAAATATTTTTTCCACTCTAGTCTCAATTTCTCTCCTTCTGGTATCCCAAAAACATGTATGTTATTAAACCTTTAAAATTGTTCCAAAGTTCTTGGAGGTTCTCTTCTATTATCATCATCATTATCATTTACTTTGCAGTTTAGTTTGTCAAGATTCTATTAACTAATCATTAAGCTTACTAATTCTTTCCTTAGTTGCATACAGTATGGTGATTAACATATCAAAGAAAGGCTTAATTTCTATTACAGTGTGTCTGTTTCCTAGCATTTTAAAAATTCTTTTTTAGAGTAATTGTCTATCAGCTTCATGAACCATTTGTTCTTATAGTTTTTCTATGATTTTATTGGAACCCTTAACATACTAATCATAGTCATTTTAAATTCCTGGTTTGAGGAGAATTTTGTTCTCAGCATCATATTGGAGTCTAGTTCTGGTGATTTTTTTTTTTTAAACAAAGATTGCTTTTTTTTTTTTTCTTTTTGGCATGCTTTGTAAAATTCTGTTGAAAGCTGAATACCATGTTTTGGGTAACAGAAACTGAGGTAACTAAACCTTTAATGTTAGGATTTATGTTCATCTGGCTGCATTAGGCTACATTTAATATTTACTGTAACTGAGGCAGGAGAATAGGGTCTGGAGGCAGGGAACCTAAGGCCATTTCACGCCGACTTCCTAAAACTAAACTGAAAGGAAAACCCTAACTTTCCATGCCTAAGTAGCAAAAGGACTAGAGGCTACTCCTTTTGACCTTTCCTGCGTGGCAGATGGCAGACGGCTGTCCGCAACAAATCACACTGAGTGCGGGTCCAGTCTTCTTTTCCAACTTCGTAACTTCACTCCAGCCTCTGAATGGTTGCTGCTGGCAGCCAATCAGACTGATTGAGGGCTAACATTTCAGTTACAAGAGGTGAGCATGAAGTGGCCAATGGCAAACTTCTAGGGGATATTTGGACCAAATAAGATTCTGTATCCAGGCCCTTGAGCAGCTGCTCGGTCCGCTCCCACACTGTGGAGTGTACTTTCCTTTTCAATAAATGTCTGCTTTCATTCTTTTGTTGCTTTTTTCTTTGCTTTGCTGGGCGTTTTGTCCAATTATTTGTTCAAAACACCAAGAACCTAGACAACTTGCAGTTACGACCCTCTGCCGGTGACATAACTACTGCCAAAGGTTTCAGATTCATCTAACATTCTTGTAGTTTTCTTCCGAGGTTTCTCTGTGTATCCCTAAAAACTACTCCTCAGAATCTGCATCATGTGGCTCTGTCAGCTACAACCCATGGCTATTATACTGAAGCTCTGTTGATTTGGTGGGAACCTGTGGGGAGAGATGCATTCTGTCATCTTTCTACTTATCCAAGTGTAAAATTGGTATGTGTTCATTAGCTGTTACCTTCACAATGGTTTCTTAACTTTTATTTCTCTCTACACGTAAAATATCAAGGTAGAGATACCTGGAATTGGCCAAATGCCAGTGCCCAGATAGGATGAGCTTAGTCTCTTTCTTTGGAGACCTTTGTCCTTTGTCATGGAGAATTGAGACACCCAAGCACAAAGGGGTCACCGGAGAACCTCCAACCAGCCTGCACACTGGGAGGAGTGCACACAGGGGTGGACCCTCAGGAAGTTTGTGCCCTTTGCAGCGGGGAGGAGCCTGGCCTCTCCTGTTCCGGAGTGTTCCGGGGATTCAATCTGTGAGGCGGGAAACCGGCTAGCAGGACTCTCGCTTTGCTGAGAGAGTTCCTATTTTCCTTTTGGTTTTTCCTTTTCACAACAAAAATTCCGTTTTTCTCACCCTTCAAAGTGTCTGTGAGCCTAATATTTCATGGCCGTGTGACAAGAACCCAGCTTTTAGCTGAACTAAAGAGAAAGACCTGCAACAGAATGACCTGGGAGGATTTCACAGTGATTACTTTTCCCCTCCACTGGACAAAACCAGAGAAGGACATTTCTTGGATCTTTGCTATGAGAATCTAGAGGTATCCCTATATATATACAGCTCATAAACATATGGGGGCTTTTACTGGTGGCAGAGAAATTCACTTGGAAGAGATCCAAGAGGGTGCCTGAAGGTCAAAAAGAGAAAAGAGCTTTTAACCTTGATTCTAGGACTTTGTAGAGTTGCCTCTTTCCCATGATTCTTCTCTTAGGGTGAGCTTCCCCCATGTGCAGTGCCCTCCTTACCCTTGGGAATTGAGCACAGGCAGTGTGTTTAGGAAGTTGTATGCATGCCCAGGAAGTTTATTGTCCCAAGCACCTGCATTCAATTAACACTTTAATGTTAATAACTGTGGATCATCAGGAAATGGCCTCTCCCTGGAGCCTTGGGTGGGCTGCCAAATTATCATTTCTAGAGAGGCAGTGTGATAATTGTCAAACCATCACCTGACATTCCTGGTGGGTAAGGGGAGACCCCTCTCCTGCCCTGCTCATGCCTATCTAACTACCTGTAACAGGGCCAACTAAGAATGTGGCACCCAGGAATTTTAGTTTACATTCAGCTTCTAGTAATTCATCAGAATTACCTTTAAGTGTTCAAACACATTTATGGCTTCAGCAGCTTCTGCTCCACATAAGCAGATCTCAGCTGTGACTCTGGATTCACCTATCTCTCCAGGTTTCCCTGTTACTTCAGTTTTATGATGGGTTCAAGAAAAGATGTTGATTTGCCATTTGTTCAGCTTTTGTTGTTGTTGTGAGGATAAGAGTGATTGGTTCTTTAGTTGTTTCATTTGTGCAAGTAATTCCTGTTTCTGTTTGGGTGGCAGTAGAAGATGTGTGTGTGTGTGTGTGTGTGTGTGTGTGTGCTTTGTTGTGATTCTTTTGCTTGCTTTTAAGCCAGGGATATAACTACTAGTAAAGTAATTGTAGATCAGTTATTAGACAGTTAACAAAACCTTGGAATTTTCGGGATAGCATCCACTAAATATCTCAGGCATAAATAGTTATTATTTTTTTGCCTGGTTCCTCCTTTTCTATGTAACTTGTTTAATTCTGCAGTTTCATTTATTCTTGAGTACTTTTTTTCCCCATCATCAAATCTTCTTTTGTCTTTTTTACTTGCTTTTACCTCTGACTCCAGTCTTTCAATATCTGGCTTATTCTCTTGTTCAATTATTGCCTCTGCTTGTATTCGGCTTTTGATACATCAAGTAAGTACCTCCTTTGTCTCTTCGAAGAAAACCTATTGCATATGTTTGTTATAGTAACTATCATAATAGTTTATAACCACTGGTTTTATTTTTCTGTTTCCTATTAGAATATGAGTCTTCTAGGCATGACAGTGTACAATGTGTCAGAATCCTGACAAGCAGATGCTTCTAGGATTTCAATATGTGGTCTAGGTAGTGCTACTCAATGTGTACTTCTCAGACTGACCATCTGTCCCCAAAGTGTTTGTTACTGGTTGATGCAGATGTAAGGTAATTAGACAAAGTGTAAATCAACTGTTATTTGAATCATGTTTGTTGGTTCAGATGAAAATTATTTTAGGCAAACTTTCTTAAGGAAGGAAGCAGTGTCTTATATTTTATTCTTGGATAAGCATTTTAATTTCTTGAAAAATAGCTCTTTGAGCCAGTTGCGGTGGCTCACCCCTATAATCCCAGCACTTTTGGAGGCTGAGGTCAGGAGTTAGAGACCAGCCTGGCCAAATCACTTCAGTAAAATAAACGTCCTGCATGTTCTACAGTAATTAGCTGAGCATGGTGGTGCATGCCTGTAATCCCAGCTACTTGGGAGGCTGAGGCATGCGAATCTCTTGAACCTGGGAGGCAGACGTTAAGGTGAGCCAAGATTATGCCATTGCACTCCAACCTGGGAGACAGAGTGAGACTCCATCTCAAAAAAAGAAAAAAAAGAAGAAGAAAAGAGAAAAGAAAGGAAAGGAAAGAAGGGAAAGAAGGGAAGGAAGGAAGGAAGGAGAAGGGAAGGAAGGAAAGAAGGAGAAGGGAAGGAAGGAAGGAAGGAAAAAAAGAAAAGAAAAAAGAAAAGAAAAGAGAAAGAAAAGAAAGAGGGAAGGAGGAAAGAAGGGAAGGAATGAAGGAGAAGGGAAGGAAGGAAGGAAGGAAAAAAGAAAAAAGAAAAGAAAAGAGAAAAGAAAAGAAAGAGGGAAGGAGGGAGGAAGGAAGGAAGGAAAAAAGAAAAGAAAAGATAAAAGAAAGAAGGAGGGAGGAAGGAAGGAAGGAAGCTCTTTGAATGGTGCTGGTCTAGAGTGAGACATTTTACTGGAAACCATAAAGATTATACAGCCAGAGTCTCATGGCTCAAAGCTCCTAGTAAGTTTCTAAGAGTTGCTACTTATATAGTGGAGCATCCCCCAGTTATTTTCCCGATTGTCTAGGCAAGTCAGTATTTCTACCAAGATATTTTAAAAAGAACAACAACAAAACCAAAATTAAACAAATTTAAACAAAAGTAAAATGAACTGTCCTTTGGTACCACTAATCTTACAAGGACATAAAATCGTATTCTAAGTATCATTTGCCTTTCCCATTATTTCTCTTTTTCTCATATTCTTGCAGAAAATATCAGATTGAGAAATACAATTTCAAATAGCAAGATGAGAGAATAAAGATATTTTAAAGCACTTAGAAAATTGCTAAATTTATCTAATTTAATTTTTAGGCGCAGCAAGGTAAAAAATAGGTCTTATAAAGTGTCATTATGGAAGTGTTACATTCTGATTAGTTAACAGCTCTTGTAGTATTCTAGATTACAATGAATTTAGGCAATTGAGCCTTTTCGATAATATCAGAGAATTTTACTAGGTTTAGTAAGAAAAATTTCCCCAGACTTATCTTAAGGGATTTAAAAGTCACTTCATATTATTTATTTTCTGCACTGTAGAGCACGTGCAGTCTTCACTAACACTGACAGCAGCCCTTTCTTTCATCTCTCTCATTCTGCCTTGACTTTCAGTTCCTCCCTAAGTATTGACTCCACCCTGATTCTTAAACCCTCCTTTGGTTTATAGTTTACTGTACCTGGCTCATCAAGCACATGATACATTTCTCTCCATGTATGTTACTTATTCAATCATCATTCTTTACTTGGTGAACAATAAAAATTTAGTTACCAAGTAAGAAAATACATATAAGAATGTTGTTTGAAATTGTAAGAGAAAGGCAAAATACTTTTGATGTTAATGTTTATTATGGTAATGTTTTAATAGGTTTCTAACTTGGAAACAATAGAAATTTAACAGAAGTCAACAACAGAGATGTAAGACTGCAATTTATAATCTATAAGGTTTTATAGTTATTACATTTCTGGGAAGACATTATAAATCCTTTAAATTATTTTAATGCAGTGTGGTAAGAAAATCTGATTTTAGAGCCATTTCAAAAGTTTATGAGTAGCTTTGTCATTTCTCATAAGTCATATTTTCCTTTCTTTTAAGTTAAGGAAGTTTCTTGGTTTCTGCTTAACAAGTGGCTCAAATTGGAAAAGTTTATATCTGTGAAAATATGTAGATATCTTATAAAAGAATGTTTAAGATGTGTGACTGAATTATAACATGTCGGACCTTAGTAATAGTCACTCAGTTTATTTGCTTTGATTAATATAAGGCCTAGAGAAGATATTAGATTGATTTATACAATTTTATAATACCTATCTCACGTTTCTTCTAAATGAAAATTTGAGATATCAAAGAAGTAAGTAGACGAAATCATAATAATTAAGCATAACTCCATAAGGAAACCTGAATATGAGAGAGAAATATACTTACCATGTTTTAATAGTTGTCTAAGGTTGTTTATTTCTCTACATAGAGGACTGCCTGGAAGATACATAGCCTATCTCTTCCTTTAAATACTTAGAAACCTATCTATATGGAGGTTCTCAGGAACAAAATTCCGTAGAATCAGATGACATTTTTAACCTATTTGTTTCAATATTGGCTTAATGAAATAAGCAAATATGAAAGGACTTTATAAAAAAGTATAACTAAACCAATCATTGCTGCGTTTAAGGCAACACTTCTAAAATGTATTCCACATGTGCCAAACAGATTTCTTTTTATAATTAACCATCTTTTTTTGTTTCCACACCCACCTCAAATTTTGTGTTACTTTTTAAAACTTTTTTTCTCTTCCCATTTAATTCTTTAGGTCATTAGGTCTTTAGATCCTACAAACTGAGGATATGAGTTAGAATAAAGTAAATGGAAGTTCTTCTGATTTTTGTGGTCAAAGCCTTAGCCAAATGGGAAATATTTAGTTAAAGAAGTAAAGTAATATTTTATCAAATCTTATTTTATAAGATTAGGACAAAAACACCATGCCACAATTTCTGTGCATTTGCTGGACATGGATACATAGTTAGATTATGTTATCCAAGGCACATATGAAATGCAATACCAAGATTGTTAGCATCACTGCTAATATTTCAATCGGGGAGAAATTTTCTCTTCAGGTCTTCATAAAGAAAAGTTTGTAAAAAATGTTTAGTGAAGAATGTTTTTAATGTAACACTTTCGAGGGCAGAGAGACAATCTGGGTTTAGCTAAGAGGGTATGACGATTAAATATGTAGAGGGGGAAATTCCTCCTGCTCCTTCCTTTCTTTTTCTCCCTCCACAATTTGAAGGAGTTTTCTGGACTGAAGGTAAAGAAAGAGAGGCAGTTGATTTAACAGAACCAGACAGCGTATGTGCTGAGAATAAATCCGATCTGAAGGGACCAAAGGCAAGTGGGTAGAGCTTGTGGTATCAGATTCAGATTCCTAGAGCAAGCCCCTGACGAAGCCCCCACAGTGTCTTTGTCTTCCCAGGCTCTTGCTGTGGGAAGGCTTTTTTTTTTTTTTTCTGGAGACAGAGTCTTACTCCGTTGCCCAGGCTGGAGTGGCAATGGAGCAATCTCTGCTCACTGCAACCTCGGTTTCCTGGGATCAAGCAATTCTCTTGCTTCAGCCTTCCCAGTAGCTGGGATTACAGGTGGATGCCACCACACCCAGCTATTTTTTTGTATTTTTAGTAGAGACCACGTTGGCCAGGTTGGTCATGAACTTCTGACCTCAAATGATCCACCTGCCTCGACCTCCCAAAGTTCTGGGATTACAGGCTTGAGTCACCATGCCCAACCTGGAAAGGCTTCTTTATAACGGCAACCATGATTCAATCCTTTCACTGTTCATGGCCCTGATTCCTATTTGTGCCTTGAGCTTTGCCTATGGCCAAGGCCCCATTATCTATGTGGATATCTCTTTGATCCTATCCATGCCCTAAACCTTGGCTACAGTTAGGTTAGCATTAGTTCTCTGGACACCTTTAAGGTGCCCCTGATTCCCAGAGGAAATGGGTAGAATTCCGCAAACCTGCAGCTGATTATGGTGAAGAAGAACACACTCTGAAAATCTTTTTAGATGTGGTCGTATAAAATGGGTTTTTGCTTTCCTTTATACACAGTCTATAGGAATCAGCTCCACACTCTTTCTAAACCATGTTACACACCGACACTAATATCCAAGAAAAACTGTCAGATGTAGAGAAAATGAAGGGTGTTTGGGAAAATCCAGTTTTTAAAAATTAGGTTAATTGGAAATAAATATGTTTTAATATGCTGATATCTGCCATGAATCTAAGAAAGTTTGAGGATGGAGTGAGGTGCTATATATGTAGAATTTTCAAAATGCATTTTATCAGAAACCCTTTTGTCTGTGTGTTTGTGTGAAGCATCTAAAAAAAATGTTACTGGGAACATTAGAAAATGCCACCCAAAAAACATGGTTTTCTCTTATTTCTGAAGACATACAGAGAAAATTTCTCTCTGATGGAAGCATTAGTAGTGTTGGTGATGGTCCTGTTACTGTGTTTTACACTTGCTCTGGAAAGCCTGAATCTCAATGCCTATCCATGTCTGGCAACTGCACAGAATTTGTGACATGGTGCTTCTGTTCTGACCTTGCATTTGCCAAAACTGTGTTTTATTTTCCTACAATTCTTTCCCATTGGGCTAATTTGTCTTTTTTTACTTTTAAATTATTTTATTTTGTTTAATTTTGTGGTATCTTTGGGAGCTAATAAATAGTTATTTGGGGAAAAGAACCTAAAAAATAAAAAGGAGCAATATGTAAGTAATAAGTGAATAAAAAGATAAATGTTTATGCTATGGTGTATTTTATCAGGATTTCATTTTAGTTATAAGATAGTCCTTCTTTGTATTCAGACTTTAAGATTAAACCAGTGTATCTGTTCAGTTCATATAAATGAGAGGAAATGACTGGGTGTGAAGAATCATTCCTGTCTTCCTAAAAGTTTTAGTATCAGAGCTACTTGGTTTCTTAGCATTTCACTTTGTTTCTTTATATTTCTTTATGATTGCTGTGCATATATGAAGGCCAAATAACATTTTGTAGCGATACATTTGTACCTTAACATTTCTGATGAATTGTGCATTATTCTCTTTTTTACTTTGATATTATATAAAATGTAATAATTTCATTGCTATGTTTAAAACACTTTAAAATATGAATAAAGTTATTAGTTATAGTGACTCATGTAAAACGAAAACTTGTACTTATCTGAAAAAGTGAGTTTATTTTCACATGATGCACATTGTATCAAGAATGTTGTTTAAAAACAGAAAATTACTCTAAAGCTTAATTTTTACATCACATTAAACTTTTCTTAGATGGTTTTTTTCTGAATAGAGTTAATATAGCATAATCACTTGATAAGAACAAAAATATTTGAATATTTACTTAGAGAACTGTTGAAAGACATAGTATTAGTGTATATTTTCTAGCATTTATTTGTAAATTAGCTTTCTCACAAAAAGCGTTGGTTCCATTTATCACGAATTCTGATGTATATCTATTGTGAATGGCTATTAGCACAAGCCTATCTGTGTTCCATCATCTAAAGTACCTTGCAGGAACTCACATGTTACTATACAGTACTGTCTTACTGACATTTCATTTTCTCTTTATTTGTAATATATTGCCATTTAAATAGATGAATGATAGGCTATAAAATTAAATGTTGAACCATATGCACATTTTGTTTTTCAGATACAGCCAGATTATTGCTTCTTTAAACAGCATATTTTGTTCTGTGTGAATATAGGTAAATAGATTTGAAATTGGTATTTTTAATAACTTCTGTATCTGATATTTAAAGGTCAGAATTTATAAATGTATTAGCTAAATATAAGATGCAGTATTAACTAGTATTTCTTTTCTGTTCTCATTAGAAACACCAAATGAGAAATATTTTACGAATCTATTCGGATAGGGTCCCTTTTATCTTATACCACAGAATAGCCATATAAACCTAGATCCATTTGTTCATAACTGATTTACAGAGAATGTCATATTTCAACAACTATATCTCCTTGACTTCATAATGCTTTTGAGTAGCTTAAAAGGTTTTGCTCTAAAACTGATGTTATCATCTTAAAAATGTGAATGGTTTGAAATATTTCTGCTAGGTAAATCTGAAGACCCATAAAGACTGCTACATAACTTGATAAACACTTATTTTAAAATCCTTTGAAGTTCATGTTTATAATTTCAGTAGGAAGCCACATATTATGCATTTGAGTGATGATAATATACCTGGGCATTTATTTTGGGTTAAATATGTACCAGGCAAGTTCATAGGTATTTAACGTAAGTAACTCATTTAAATATTTATATGAGGTTGAAACATTTCCATTTTGATGTTATAAAAAAGAAAACTGAAGCCCAGAGAGATAAAATATTGCCAAGTCCTCACTATTGTGTGTAAAGGAGTTGACATTTATTCCCAGAAATGCTGATGTCAGAACCTAAACTTTTAATTCTTCTGTTTGCCAGTAAACAAATGCATATTATAGGAAAGAACTATAATAATGTGTTTCAGCAAAATCACCATAAAAATATTATTAGCATTAAGAATAACATTTACATAGAAATTTTGCAATCAATATCACCATCTTTTGTTATTATGTGTATGTTTGTGTCCCAAAATATTATATATACTTCTGATTATCATAAAAATATAATAAATTATAAAAATGTATATTATAGACAAAGATCAAGACCATTACTTGCTAAATTTGTACATATTAAAACATGTTAAGTGAATGACTTCTGGTATTGAGATTTATAAACAAGTAAAATAGAGTAAGTAAAGTATCTCAAACAATTGACAAATTAATTGGAAATAAAAATATCTGAGTAATATAAGGAAAAATAAAATTAAATGATTCAAATTAAATTCTAAATTCATTGTTTTCATAAGATAAAATCTCAAATTTTATCTCAATAGACTCAACAATAATTATGCATATCTTAATGAAACCTATAATACTATGGATACAATTTTGACAATATTTCTGATGAGTTGTTGATTTCAAATAAAACTTTTTTAAATCCTATTTTTCATTGAGGGAAAGTATACATAACATGAGCTACCATTTTAACCATTTTCATGCGTGCAGTTCTGTGATAGTAAGTATAGTCACGTTGTTGTACAAATACCATTATCATTCATCTCCAAACCTTTCTCATCTTCCCCAACTACAACTCCGTACCCATTAAACCTTAACTTTCCATTCCTTAATTCGTTTAAACCTTGGTGACTGTCATTCTACTTTCTTGTCTTTATAAATTTACTTCTCTGAGTACCTTATATAAATGCAATCATACACTATTTGTTGTTTCATGATGGGTTTATTTCACTTAGCTTAATATATTTCAGGTTAATCTATGTTCTAGCACGTGTCAGAATTTCTTTCCTCCTTAAGGCTGAATAATATCACAGTGTGTGTGTGTGTGTGTGTGTGTGTGTGTAGATAGATAGATACACAGATATATATATATATACACACAAACACCGTAGTTTGTTTTATCTGCTGATTTATAGGTGGATTAAATTAAACTCTCAAGATAGGATGGAAATATTTTTTTCCCAGTAGGTAAACGCTTGGAGAATTTTATGCATTTGGTTTAATGGTATATTTCTTATTTAGTTGATTTGTTCACAGCTAATTTATTATATGAAAGACAGTAATGAATTTCTGATCAAAGTTAAAAATACTTGGAAGACTTAAGAAAGCATCTATTTGAGATTTACTTTCCAAAAAGAATAGTGCCCTTAGATATCTCTCTTGCAGTCTCATAACTTACTGCCAAGTTAAAAAGCACAGTGAAAGATCAGCAGACAAATGACACCATTAAAATTTGCAACTTCTTTTTGAAAATAATTTGTCTTTTGCAAAGTTTTAGGAATTGCTTATAATTTTTTTTTTCTGTTTAGTTTCCCTTTTCCTGAGTATTCAACTTGGAATCCTTTGAAAGTACTTATTGAATACTTCTAATGTGTCAGGCATAGTATTCTACCTGAAAATACAATTTAGCAAATGATTAGACATTATTATGCACATATTTTTACGAACAATTACAATCAAGCACAGTGTCATAAAGGCAAAACCGGACTCCTGTGAGGATTTGAATAGTAGGGGATATCCTGGTGTGGGCTCAGGTAGGGCTGACTTCTTTTGCCACACAACGCCTGTGCTCACTCTCCTGACCATGTTTTCTGATCTTGCCCCCAAGTTTATGGCTCTGTTGGTGTAATATTGGCATAGTTTTCTCACTTTTTTTTTTTTTTTTTTTTTTTTTTTTTTTTTTTTTTTGAGACGGAGTCTCGCTCTGGCGCCCAGGCTGGAGTGCAGTGGCGGGATCTCGGCTCACTGCAAGCTCCGCCTCCCGGGTTCACGCCATTCTCCTGCCTCAGCCTCCCAAGTAGCTGGGACTACAGGCGCCCGCCACTACGCCCGGCTAATTTTTTGTATTTTTAGTAGAGACGGGGTTTCACCGTTTTAGCCGGGATGGTCTCGATCTCCTGACCTCGTGATCCGCCCGCCTCGGCCTCCCAAAGTGCTGGGATTACAGGCGTGAGCCACCGCGCCCGGCCTCTCACTTTTGATATTCTTATTTTCATATACTGAACAAAATTGTCTCCAATCTGGCATAACATAGGCGTATGTAGGTTGCAAGAGTGTATATGGTGACCAAGACTACTTTTCTTAGAGGGTGTAGTGACAGAGTGTTAAGAGTATGGACTGCCGGTTCTCAAATGTTCATTATTTAATAAACTATCTGTGTGACGCTTAGGTAAGTCACACTAACTTTGTGAGTTTTATCACCAATAAAATGTGAATAATAATAACACCTTTTTCATCAGTTGGCAAAGATTGAAAAAAGTGATATGTGTAAAGCAATTAAAAGAGTGCCTGATGAATAATAATTACTATGTATTTGTTATCTATTACTAGACAATTTTTCAATCTCTATACTGGCTACAATTAAGCTACAAGTAGAAAGTATAGGATAGCCTTTAATGACAAAAACAGCTTTGCTAATACTTAAGTTTTTTACTCCTTTAATGTTTGCAGCAAGTGAATATCATCTTTGTCCTTTGCTAGTCAACATATTCAAGAAGCAACAAATGCACGTTTGTTTTGTTTTGTTTTGTTTTCTTTGAAATGCTGCCATGGTTTTATCATCTTGTTCTTTGCTCACTGCAGATAATTTGTGATCACTGCTTAAGTGATGTTAAGTAAGTTCCACTGGCTGGGTGTGGTAGCTCATGCCTGTAATCCCAACACTTTAGGAGGACGAGGTGGGTAGATCATGAGGTCAGGAGTTTGAGACCAGTCTGGCCAACAAAGTGAAACCTCGTCTTTACTAAAAATACAAAAAATTAGCTGGGCGTGGTGGGCACCTGTAATCCCAGCTACTCAGGAGGCTGAGGCAGAATAGCTTGAACCTGGGAGGCTGAGGTTGCAGTGAGCCGAGATCGTGCCATTGCACTCCACCCTGGGTGACAGTGCAAGACTCCCTCTCAGAACAAAAAAAAAAAAAAAAAAAAAAAAAAAAAAAAATTCCACGTCTTTTCTGGCCAAAAAACAAAACAAAACAAAAAGAACTGAGTGGTATGCCACATGAGGAGTCCTCTTTGTGTGATTGTCTATGGGACTCAGTGAAGATGTTTAGGTATTCCATCTGTGAACAGAGAGAAAATGCAGACTTCCGTCGATATACACTAGTCTCTTATAGTATTGATTTTGAGAACCAAAGAATTTAAACATTAACATGACAAAAAATTTAATGGGTATAGTTTGATCAAAAGCCAAAGTACAGTAAATTGATATCATAGACATGCAGTCTTCAAAAATGAATGTATTCCAGCCAGAAAATTGAATAATCTGTCTCTAAACAAGCCATTTCTAGGAATCATAATATCCATCCCATTTTAATAACAGACAGATGGAATATTTCTTTTGTAATTACTTACTTCTTTTTAAACTGAGTTACTGACTGTAAGATTCTAGCTGGCATCAAAATAAAATCTTCTAAAAAGGTGTATCTTCCCTTGTGGTTGATACCTCACAGAAAATAGATGTTTCATCCTTTCCCAGCTATATGATTTCTTTGATTTTACCCAAATAAGACATCAGTGTCAGCGTGTTAGCTTACAGTTGCAGTGTGCTTAGAAGTTATTTCATGCCAAGTCTTAAAGATTTTGAGGTACTATAGTGTACAATAGTGAACTCCCACAGACACATTCTGTTAAGTGTCTGAGGTCTTCCTGTCTCAATACAGCAGTTCAACATATATCCTACAATTCCATCTTGTGAGCTAACAACGTCCTCTAGGAACTGCCATTACTAGAAAACAGTTTATTGCACTCACTACTAGTTTATAGGATCAGGGAAAAATACAAGTATTGCTTATACCTCTTTAGAAAAGAAATCATATGAACAGCACATACCAATTAATGATTAATGAAAGATTTGTGCGTCACATATTGAGAACAATATTTAACTGTATGTTAGTAGAAAATCATTTCAATAAACGGATATCTATATTGCCCTGGTTCTATTGAGTGCTGGAAAAGAATGTGAGATGCCTTTTTTGTCTTCTTTTAGAAAAATGGAGAATCAATTTGTATTAATACCACTGTATAAAAATAATATACTATATAAATATATTCAGATCATTTCTCATTTTGTCATACTCTTCACTGAGGTTTATAGTTTTATTATTTGGTTTCAGAAGTTACTTGATATAAAAACTAAATTTTTTTACTTAGTGACCATGGCAATGTGACGTCTAGGACATACAGAAACCATCAGTCAAATCAAATGTTAAGAATTTGAAAAATGATGAAAAACACCAGGTTGGGACTGTGCTGAGCTAGCTTATTTGGGTTTCGCTTGGTTAGGAAGCGGAACTAGATAAACTCTAAAGCATTTGCTTCCTTTGATCACTTCCAAGCATTAAAACAGACTGCAAGCATCACTGAATAATAAACTAAATTGTATGTACTGAGTATTTAAGGTTCATGAATAACAGACACCATTACACAGGACTGAAAAATACACATTATATTATTTTTATTGGGTTAAATGTGGAAATAATTGAAAAACAGTATTGTTGAGCTAAACAGTGCCTAAAATGCATACAATTATGCCTATTTCCAGATATGCTTTATTTTTTATAAACACTAGTGCCTTAAACCTGAGCAAAACTGAGCCTCATGTTATAATTTGCTGTTTTTTCAAGTGGCTGAGTAAGAATGTATCACATTTCTGAAATTCTTTCACTGTAAGTAAATATTTAGAAAAAAAAATGAGAGAAATCTAAACATTTTTTGAATATGGTTACAAAAAGTTGTGATAACTTCTTTGTTTTCTTTGTCAGTTATTACATGAAGTTATTACAACTTTATATAATAAAATACATTTTCAGCATTAGATTTTATATAGAGATTATACTTCTTAATCAATTTTTAACAACGAGCCAATGTTCTTCATAGAATGGTGACTTAATATCAATTCTAGCTAGTACCAGAGTTTGTAATTTATTAACATTTTCAAAATCACTCTATTTATCCACTTGCAAATCTCATTCACAAGTTATCAAAATATGCTGAATGAACTGCATTATATATTCAAGTATATATCAATTATACATATGTAAGTCCTTATTAGTATATTTAAGTACTTATTTATATACTTAAATACACATAATTTAACTATATTTAAATATCTAGATATTTAAATATATCTGTGTACGTAAATGGTTAACATTACAACATTAATAGCAGTAATATTATTAATAAAAATAAATATTTAGGCTGAAGTTCAGGAAATCAGACCAGTGCAACTTAGAACCTAAAGAACTGGCCTAATCTGAGTGAGTCATTTGACTACTTTACACTTTTTATATTATTAAACAATTGAAATTGGGCTAAATAATGTTTAAATTACTTCGTAGCTTGGAGTTTGTATGTGTCTGTCTCCAGTGTTTGAAAACCTTGATTCCAAAACTGGCTCTGCCACGATTATCTGAGTGGCTTTGTCAGTTATTTAATGTCTGTCTCAATTTATTCATTTGTCAAATGAAGATAATAATAGTATTTCCTTCGTAGGTTTTTGCAGAGATTGATTGTGCAGCTCTTATACAGTGCCTCGCATAATGAAAAAATTCAATTAGTATTAGCTATGTTTGAATTTGCTGTTAGCATCAAGTTTAATTTCTGAATAATATAATGCCTATTTATTCTAGACACTTTATTTCTATACCACCCAATGGTGCTTAGTTGCTTACTCTTCTTATATACCTGTTAAAATAAATTATTCTATATACTTCAGTTTCTTGTTGCACTGTCTGATGCTTACTGTGTTATCTACATGCTAATTTCTTTTTTAAGAACCAAGATTTCTTCCGGACCTGTGGGCTCTCATTGGCTAGTGGAATTACTTGTTGGATAATTAAAGATGATATTCAGCCATATTTATGTGAAGAATTTTTTTTTCTTGACACTGAGTCTCACTTTCTTTCGCTGGCTGGAGTGCCCTGGTACAGTCATCAGCTCACTGCAGCTTTGAATTCCTGGGTTCAGGTGATCCTCCCACCTCAGCCTTCCTAGTACCTGGAATGACAGGCCTATGCCACCATGCCCAGCTGACTTGGAAAAAAAATTTTTCTAGAGACAGGATCTCACCATCTTCACCAGGCTGGTCCCAACTCCCAGCTTTAAATAATCCTCCTGCCTCAGCTTTTCAAAGCTCCCGCATTATAGGCATGAGCCACCATACCCAGCCAAGACTCTTAACATAATATTCAAAAATTATTTTATTGATTAAAAATAAAACAAACACATGCAAAATCAAAATAAAATTTACAAAAGTTACAACTTCTGTAAATAAGAAGTTAAATAAGTTACAACTTCTGTATTAAAACTTTCCTGCCCTAAGAAAGTTAAAAGTGCTTTTTGCACTGAATGGATCAGTAACATAATAAAATAACTCTTTCAATGTCCTTACAGGTTTCTTCTTGATACATTTCATTTAAATAATTCTACTTTCTCTAAACATAGTTTTTAATTTTCAGGTTTTCTAGAAATCTGGAAAACAGCAACATAATAGGTCTCAAGAATATTAATTACAGAAAATATGTATTATTCACCCCAATTAAATTCAAAATCAGGAACAATTTCACAACCTCTGTTTGTTAACATTCACAACCCTTACAAAAAAGACTCATACTAAAAACTTTGCAAAAACAACATAATTGTTGGGGTGATCAGGCCCAAAACCAGGCTGCGGGGGCTACAAAGTCTGGCAGAGTCAAAGTAATGAGAAAAGACAAGTTAAGAGTACATAAAGTGGGTCCAGGAGGCCAATGCTAGATTGGAGGCTGTGAAGGCCCTGAGTTCTGGGAGCCCACACTATTTATTGGTGATCAAACAAGCAAGCAGGTGGTGAGGATGTGCAGACGTGAGGATAAACAGGTGAGGATGTGAGGACGTGGGGGTAGAAAGGTAGTGGTGCATTAAGCAAAGCTGTGATGGTTTAGCATTTTCGTTGATGCATATAGAATATGTTCTGCTGCTTGAGATAATAAAGGACATGTTTATGAGTAAGAAGCAAGGAACTAACAAGTCTGTGCACATTCCAGAGGCTACCAGGGGTTTTATGCCCTGAGCCCTGGGTTCCATCCAAGCCACAAGGGGTTTTATGCCCTGGGCTTAGATTTGTGGTGCGGCAGGGTGGCCTTCCATCCTTTGGCAAAGAGCTTGGTGTTCCAAAGGCCACGAGGGGTTTTAGACCCTTGACCCTGGACATCTTCCAAGACTCTTTTATATTATGACAGACAAGGCAGTCCTGCCTCAGCTCTTCTACCAACAATAACAAGTTTTAAACAAAGACATAATTTTCATTTAGTGTATTTAACAAAATCTCCTTCCAACTTCCTTCTCTCTCTTCCTTCTTCTATTTCAGTGTTTGTTACTTGGAAACTATGGACGTCAGGGAAGTTACCTAACCCTACTGCAATTCAATTTGCTTATCATTAAAATAGTGATAGCACAGTTAAAAAAAAAAAAATATATATATATACTAGGCCAGGTGCAGTGGCTCACGCCTGTAATCCCAGCACTTTGGGAGGCCGAGGCAGGCGGATCACGAGGTCAGGAGATCGAGACCATCCTGGTGAACACAGTGAAAACCCATCTCTGCTGAAAATACAAAAAAAAAAAATTAGCCGGGCGTGGTGGCGGATGCCTGTAGTCCCAGCTACTTGGGAGGCTGAGGCAGGAGAATGGTGTGAACCCAAGAGTCAGAGCTTGCAGTAAGCCAAGATGGCACCACTGCACTCCAGCCTGGGTGACCAAGTGAGACTCTGTCTCAAAAAAAAAAAAAAAAAAAAAAAAATATATATATATATATGTATATATACACATATATATACACACACACACATATATATATATATATATATATATATATATATACTAGTAGAAAATTGCCAAGGGTTAAATCAGGATTAGTTAATACTACTAAATAAAGGTTACTTTTCTGGTTTCTGTAATTAAGCTATAATTACATAAGATATTATCATTAGAGGATGCTGGGTGAAGTGGGTGAGGGAATTCTCTGTATCATTTTTGCACATTTGTAAGTCTAAACTGACTTCAAAATAAAAAGTTAGAAGAAAACATGTATCTAATAACCCAAATAGTTCCTGACTATATTAAGAACTCATAACTAAATAAAACAATGAACTTGGTTGAAAATTATGGGCAAAAGATTTCAACAGATAGTTGAACAAAGAAAATACAGATGACAAATAAGCATGTGAAAAGATGCTCAGGGGAAATGCAAATTAACACTACGGTGAGACACCACTGCAAAGAATGGCTAAAACTAAAATAGCCTATATTAGAGCCACATCACATCATGTACCTGAAAAGATGCATCCACTTTGGGGAAAAAAATTTAAAATGGCACTTTTTTTTTTCTTTTTGAGATGGAGTTTTGCTCTTGCTGCCCAAGCTGGAGTGCAATGGTGCGATCTCAGCTCACTGCAACCTCTGCCTCCTGGGTTCAAGTGATTCTCCTGCCTCAGTCTCCTGAGTAGCTGGGATTACAGGTGCGGGCCACCACACTTGGCTAATTTTTTGTGTTTTTGGTAGAAACTTGGTTTTCCCATGTTAGCCAGGCTGGTCTAGAACTCCTGACCTCCGGTGATCCACCCACCTCAGCCTCTAGATTACAGGTGTGAGCCACTGCGCCTGGATGGCACTTTCATATAAAGTTAGTAACACACTTGGCATACAAAAGACCAATCCTATCCTTAGATATTCACCCAACAGAAGTAAAGACATATGTCCACCAAAACTTGTAGCCCAATGTTTACAGTGCTTGATTTGCAATTGCCAACACCTGGAATAAATCCAGATGTTCATTTACTGGTAAATGAATTAAAGAAATACTATACTCATGCAATGGAATATTAGTAAGTAATATAGAAGGAGCTACTGACACATGCAACAGCATGGAAGAATATCTAAAATCAAAACAGAACAATAATACTATGATAAGTAAAAGAGTCTAATGAAAGAAGCAGGCACAAAACCTATGTATGTTGTGCTTTCATTCATATAAAATCTAGAAAGCAAAGATATAGTGACATAAACCAGAGTTGTGGTTGCTGGACCTAGGGATGGAGAATAGCATACTAAGTAGGACAAAGCCATGAGATAATTTTTCAAGGTGATGGAAAGTTATATATGATGATTGTAGTAATATGTATATGATATCATGATTCCTTAATTTTTACACCCAAATTTGTTGAATTTTATATATAAGTAATACCTCAACAGACTGATTATTTAAATAATTTAAATACCCAGTGAAAGATAGAACCAAAAAGCTCACATATCTTCCTTTTAAGCTAATGACAATGTATTTATTAGTTATTTATTTGTTAAACGGGCTAACTTACAAAATAAAATAATGTTTGCTGTGTAATATAGAAACAATTATAAGTATTTAATCAGAAGTATAAAAGAGGCTATGCTGAAATACAAATTCATAGAAGAATATAATATATCAAGAAGTAGGAAAAAGGAGAGGAAGAAAATATGAAATGAGTAGTGTGATAAGAATTTTGCTGAAATTAGCTTAGATTCATAATATGCATTGTATAGTGAAATAAATGAGAGAGATGTAAAAGTTCTGCATATAACTACACAGTGTTTTAGAAAGGGAGCAAAATTCACCGAATTACTCTTTCATATATATATTTTTTATTTTAAAAATGTTAAAAGATGACAAAAGTGCTCACTTACCAAATAAAGTAGTGCCTCTTGATAATGACCTTCCCCTTAAAAAAATAACAAAATAACTTGTTTGTGGGCAGTTTCTTCTTTTTTATATTCTTTTTCAAGTTGCTGTGTGATCCTAACAGAAAAAGAAAGGCGTTCTTACAGTGGTTCAATTCATAGGGTTTCTAAATAATATAGATTGTCTGGTACTGAGATAGTTAAAAAGCTATATGTAAAGGCCTCAAAGCCATAACATTCATTTTAAATTTGCTCACTGAAATGGATTCTTTGTTGAGAAATAATTCTTGAGTATAACAGATTTTTTCTAGAGCCCTAAAATTTTTATCCATATTAACCATAGTGACCACATTTGTAAGGTTTCTCACCAGTTATCACCTATGGGGTAGCCAGTAAGATAGGAACCCTTCCCAGATGCTTTTTCACATTTCTTACAAAAGAGTTTCTTGCCACTGTAACCAACCTGTGCTTGGGAAGTCATGAGTCATGTGGAAAGGCCTTCTGACACTCCTTGTATTCATTGATTTTCACCTGGATGAATTCTCAGATACTGTGAAAAAAACTATCAACTATTAAAGGCCTTCACACATTTCTTGTATTTCAGGGTTTGTCACCATTGTACATTATCCAATGATAAAATAAACTGTGTGTATGAACTAAATGCATATCTAGATTTTCAACATTCATATAGTTTCTCACCGAAGGACTCTCTGATTTTGAGTAGATCTGAGCCAAAAATACGGTTATTTCTATAATTTTTACCTTCGGAGCATTCCATTCATTATTAATAGTTGTGTGTAGGATAAAGAATATATGCTAAGAGTGAGCATGTCTAGGTGATTATTACATAATTGAAATGTCTTCTTGAGATCCATTATTTTTGTTTGTTTGTTCAAACTGGATATCCTATTTCTAATAATCTCTTCAGCAACAGAATTCAGATTCATCTATTTAATGTTTCCATTTATTCATAATTTTCCATTTGAATGATTCTATTTTGTCTGTTTCAGTTTTGCAAGATAATTTCTTGCTCTTATCCCTTGATTTTTAGTCTAACTACAAACCTCCTGTCAGCTTTCTATCATCTATCCTGCGGTTACTCCAATAATGGGGTTTAAAAAATTGGAAATATTAAGTCCCATTAACATCAAGTATCTGAAGGTTTCCTGTATAAAACCTCTGATTAGAGTGATTCTCATCCCCCCTGAGTGAAATCTGCAATCACACCACTGAAAATGACTGGTTCATGGGCCTTGTCGTTTACATTCTCAAGAGGTGATTGGTTCTCTTTGAGACTATTCTGTTTTTTTTGGGGTTTTTTTTTTTTTTTTTTTTGTTTTTGCAAAATACATCCTGAGAAGTCAAGGCCACATGACACCTTGTGTGTTATGTGGTTCTTATAGCTAGGCTTTATTTCTTTTTAAAAATTATTTTCTATCTTTTTATTGAGACTGGGTCTCATTCTATTGCCCAGGCTAGAGTGCCATGGTGCTATCTTGGCTCACTGCAACCTCTGCTTCCTGAGCTCAAGTGAGCTCAAGTGATTCTCTCACCTCAGCCTCCTGAGTAGCTGGGACTGCAGGCACACGCCACCACCCATGGCTAATTTTTTTTTTTTTAAGAGGTGCAGTTTTGCCATGTTGTCCACGCTGGTCTCTAACTCCTGAGCTCAAAGTATCCTCTTGCCTCTGCCTCCCAAAGTGCTGGGATTACAGGTGTGAGCCACCATGCCTGGCCGTATATGCCTTTTTAAATTGTAGAAAAATAATGACGCTATGAGACCATATATCAAATTAGAGAAAAGATTATTATTTTAAAATTCAGGACTGATATTCTACTCAGTAATCCTTATCTTATTTGCTCTTGGCTTTGTACGTGATTCACTAATGACTAAATAAAACAATATTTCTTATTTCCAACCAATCATGATGAGTTTCTGTCTGTATCCTTTTTATTAATCCTGAATTTCAGGATAATATCTAAAGGAAAGTTTTTTTGTTTGTTTGTTTGATTGGTTTTATTGCTGTTTTTGGTGATAGTTAATGTCGCCATTATTTCACAATATGCCTTCTTAAAGTTTATTTCTCTATGCGTATGCTTTCTTATATTTCTAATGATGAGTTGAATAGAAATGCTAAAGATATAGGGAATGTGTGATATTATGGTCATACAAAGCACATGTGATACTAGTCAATAACTTCCATCACTAGAGATACATTTCGCTTGTTCAGGAATAACTTCACTTTCTTTCAAGGAAGGCAACACACTTAACTGGAGACCACCAGCAGACTGCTCCTAAACCACATTGGTTTGAAAATGATCATTAAACAGCATGCAGCCCAAGAGTTTCCACAGTGCCTCAGTTGTCTTTCTTTAATTTTATTAGATTGTTTGGGCAACAGGAGACTTAAAAACTTGACCATTTCATTCAAAGTAATTGGCCTTTGAATTCACAGCTTGAAAATCTCAATTGATAACATACTATAGCTTTTTAGATAGACAACTATATGTATATATATATGATAGTTAACTCCAAACTAGATACATTGAGAAGTCTTAATATATGGAAAAAGTTAGTCCTTCAGAAAAATGACATCATCTTTGAAATAACACTGTGACATCAGTTGTTAGTTTAAAATAACCCTCAAAATAAATATTTGTGAATAGCAACTGATTGCTACATCAAATGCTACTACAAATGCTACCTACATTGTACAATATTAACACAAAAAGATACCTCCCACCTTCAGTGTCTTCTTTACAGATCAAAACTTCTCTGAAACTGTAACATTTTAATAAATAACACCTTCTATCCACAATTTTTTTCTTAAATAGAAATTTTAATGAATTCATCCTTTCTGACATTTGCATTTGTCTTTAAATGCCACAAGATAACAGAGTTTTAATCATTCCAAATAGCTTTTTAATTATAGACCTAATTACTTTTGCAGAAAGTTAAGCTCCGCAAACAGGAATAAAACGATTTGCTTGCACTTTCTGTGAAGAATGATGTTGTGCTTTTGATTTAGGTATCTGGTAAATTCACTCGGTCAGTTTTATCTGACTTTTTAGTATTAGGAGGAAGACTTGAGTTTTAAGAGAATTTGACATTATGCAGTGTGAACCAAGCAGTGTTGTTTTAATTAACTATAGAATCAGAGAAGGAGTTAGAGGTGCTCTGCACAAGAAATAACAGATTAGTAACTGTTAATTCCAGCCTGTAAGGCAGCACCAGAGGCATGAGTATTTCAGTCTCCAGGGAACATTAGGTTGTTTTTCTTCGAGTTAATGAAGGAATTTACTTGTATAAAGTTCTTGACAAAAAAAAAAAAAAAAGAGGATTGCTATTTTGAAGCTAGGTTCTGAGTGAGGAATCAATTAATGATCTGTAGAAAAAAACTACTAAATTATTTATTTTAGTAGGTGTTAAAGATTTGTTTCTCTCTTATATGCTTCCAATAGCCAGCCTCAAACAGCTAATTTTTGAGAGTATAGTAACAGATAAATGAGAAATTTGTTGTCTTTAGCTGTCCTGCTTAACTTTTATAAAAGCTGATTTGTAAATTCTGAAAATAAAACTTAAATAGGATAATTTTTGTAGAATATGCAATCTCTCTTATGGAAAATTATTCATGTATACGTTCCTGTTTACTGAAGGTAAAAATGGTCAAAGTTCATGACAATTTAATGTGGTTGTTAAATAACTATGGGATACAGTTTCATATTTCTTACACTAATTATAGCTGCAACAGGAAAAAAAATCATACTCAGATTGAAATCCACTGAACGATAATCATGAATTCCCTAATTGTGCACCTTGCTTAACAGTGTCTGGTTAGATGAGGTCAATTCATCCACCTCTCATACTACAAACCAGACACAAATCTTGATTTGTGGGGAATTTTGGTCATTGAGGAGATCTATGACATGTACGTGACATGTAGTCATCCCATTTCCTGATTGTGGAAGGATGAAGTTTCCCTTGCCAAAGATTGTTAAATCACATTAGGAGAACGAGGCAACTTAAGATGGAACAATGATAGAACAATGTTTGTAAACACTGCCAAATACATTTTAATGTGAAAATTTTTATAAATATTAATGTATGCCTTTTACTATAAAGATATTTCAGTTTAGCTTAGTGAACCAACTTTTGTTGTGTTTCCACTATATATCAGACCCTATGCTGTATGCTTGAGATACAAGAGTAGATAGCATTTCTGCTTGAGCCTTCTTGCAGCCTATCCTGCAAAAATAAAAAAAAAGTGTGAGGTGGCAAATGTTATGACAGACTATGTTTAGCAGAACAGAGTATGGACTTGGTTCAAATTGGGGATTCAGGACAGGCTTCCTAGAAAAGCTGACTCTAGCTATCCAGAGAGATAACCAAATTATGTAGGTGAAGTTGGTCACTGTTTCCTGACAGAGAAAAAGCATTAGCCAAAAATGAAAAGCTTAAACTCTCATTCCATATGGAAGTGACATACATGTATGAAGTGGGAAATAGAAAGCGGAAGCAGGAAAGCTTATAAAAAATGCAGGGTGTGGCTAGATAAAAAACGTTTTCTAAGCCATACCAAGAAATGTGTGCTTTTGCTTAGGGACGGAGAGACATTGAATAATTATAAGTGGGGATAATATCATGAGATAAAGAAGCTTTTATCTTGGATGTATTATGTTTACCTATAAAAGACATTAGATTGTATATAACCATTTTGAAATGTTACAGTCTTAGTTCCTAGCTCCACTAATTATAGTTGTATGACCTTGGGTAAAATAATCCACTTCTCAAAAGATGTCATTTACGCTTCAGCAAAACAAACAACGAGAACAAAAAATGTCCTACTTCAAAATTTTCTGTAAGGATTAAATGACATAATCTTTGTTTAGTACTTGATACATGATAATAAGTAATTAAAACTAATAGGTGATCTCTTTGTGTATTCATGGAATGATTGAGTTGGTAGTATGGGATGGATGTTTTGTCTCCTGCAAATCTCAAGTTGAAATGTGACCTCCAATATTGGAGATGGGCCTAGTGAGCAAGTTTGGGTCATTGGAGTGGATCCCTTATGAATGACTTGATGCCCTCTTTGAGATAATTAGTTCATGGGAAAGCTGTTTTTTTAAAAGAGCCCAGCATCTCCTCTCTTCTCTCTTGCTCCCTCTCCTGCTACATGACATGCCTACTTTCCTTTTGCTTTCTGCCATGAGTGGAAACTTCCTGAGTCCTCACCAGAAGCCTAGCAGATGCTGGTGCCATGCTTGTAAAACCTGTAGAACCATGAGCAAAATAAACCTCTTTTCTTTATAAATTACCCAGTCTTGAATACACCTTTATAGTAACGCAAAACAGACTAAGACAGTTGGTATCACTAATCCATGCAGATACTATTTTCTAAATTTAGGAAAATGTCATTGCTATTAAAAAAATGGGCTTACTTCACACAGGATACAACAAATAAATCAGATGTGTTAAAGGTTTGATGTGAAAGTAGAAATATCTAAAGCTATGAGAGAAAAATGTAGTAGAATAGTGCTATGTTTATATGATGAAGAGTATTTAAATAAGACACTGAACTGAAAAGAAATGGGGAAATTTTATAGTATCAAAATTCAGGAAAGCCAATGGCAAAATTTAACAAACAAATGTACATTAGGCAAAAATATCTGCAACATTAAACTATTAAAGAGTATTATCTAATATTCAGAGTATTTGTATTCGTCCATTTTCATGCCTCTGTTAAAGACATACCTGAAACTGGGAAGAAAAAAATGTGTAATGGACTTACAGTTCCACATGGCTGGATAGACCTCACAATAATGGCAGGATGCAAGGAGGAGGAAGTCGCATCTTACCTGGAGGGCAGCAGGCAAAGAGAGAGCTTGTGCATGCAGACTCCCATTTTTAAAACCATCAGATCTTGTGAGATCCATTTATTTTCATGGGAACAGCATGGAAAAGACCTGACCCCATGATTCAGTCATCTCCCACTGGGCCTCTCCCACAACACGTGGGAATTATGGGAACTACAAGATGAGATTTGGGTGGGGACACAGAGCCAAACCATATCATTCTGCCCCTGGCCCCTCCAAATCTCCTGTCTTCACATTTTAAAAACAATTATGCCTTCCCAACAGTCCGTCAAAGTCTCAACTCATTTCAGCATTAACTCAAAAGCCACAGTCCAAAGTCTCACCTGATACAAGGCAAGCCCCTTTTGCCAATGAATCTGTAAAATCAAAAGCAAATTAGTTACTTCCTAGATACTATGGGGTTTATAGGCATTGGGTAAATACAGCCATACCAAATGGGAGAAATTGGCCAAAACAAAGAGGCTACAGGCCCCATGCAAGTCTGAAATCCAGCAGGGCAGTGAAATCCTAATGCTCCAAAATGATCTCCTTTGACTGCATGTCTCACATCTGGTCATGCTGATGCAAGAGGTGGGTTGCCATTGTCTTGGGAAGCTCTGCCCCTGTGGCTTTGTAGGGTACAGCCTCCTTCCTGGCTGCTTTCATGGACTGGCGTTGAGTGTCTGCAGCTTTTCCAGGCACATGGTGCAAGCTGTTGGTGGATCCACCCTTCTGGGGTCCGCAAGATGGTGGCCCTCTTCTCACAGCTTCACAAGACAGTGTCCTAGTAGGGACTCTGTGTGGGGGCTCTGACCCCACATTTCCCTGCCACACTTCCCTAGCAGAGATTCTCCATGAGTGTCTTGCCCCTGCAGCAAACTTCTACCTGGGCATCCAGGTGTTTCCATACATCCTCTGAAATCTAGGCAGAGGTTCCCAAATGTCAATTCTTGACTTTTATGCACCTGCAGGCCCAATACCACATGGAAGCTGTCAAGGCTTGGGGCTTGCACCCTCTGAAGCTACAGTCTGAGCTATACCTTGGCCCCATTTAGTCACGGTTGGAGCGGCTGGGACACAGGGCATTAAGTCCCTAGTGTGCATACAGCATGGGACCCTGGACCCAGCCCATAAAACCATTTTCTCCTCCTAGGCCTCTAGGCCTGTCATGGGATGGGCTGCCGTGTACTGTTGGTGGGAATACAATGTTGGGAGAAAATAAATATATTTTATCAGATTTACTGTGCTTTTATCACTCAGAAATTCCTTTTCCAAGTATATACCCAGAGAAACTTGAGTATAAATATTCAAAAAACTATGCATAACTAAGTTCATTACTGTAAAATGTATCATAGCAAAGTAATGGAAACCACCCAAATGCCCATTAAAAAACAGAATCAATACAATGTCATATATTATGAAAATTTTGTTGTAGTTACAGGAAATAACTAGATAAGCCTGCACCATTATTGAATTTGTAAAAATATATAATATTCTTTGAAATAATATAAGACATGATATCATTTATGCAAACTTAATATGCAAACTTAACATAAAACAGGGAGTTCCTTATGACAGAGGATAATGTTATTATAGATAAACGTCCAATGGACAATAAATATAATAAAAACAAAAACCAGACCTCCTATAGAACAATGATGAAAGTATATCACTAAATATTGCAATGCAATTTTGTGAATATAAAGTTCAAAATAAAAGAGGAAAGCAAGATTAAATAAAATTTACAGTAAATTTATTTACAAAATAAGCATGTGAATAAGCTTGAAAAATATTGCAAGAAAAACAGATTTTATGCCACATATAAACTCTTCCAGTTATCTTGATAATAGTTTGGAAAAATTAAGAAAATCCCATTCTGTAGGTTTCCTGTTCACTCTGATGATAGTTTCTTCTGCTGTAAAGAAGCTCTTTGGTTTAATTAGATCCCATTTGTCAATTATGGCAACTCCTCAAGGATCTAGAATTAGAAATACCATTTGACACAGCAATCCCATTACTGGGTATATACCCAAAGGAATATAAATCATTCTACTATAAAGACATATGTACACATATGTTCATTGCAGCACTATTTATAATAGCAAAGACTGGGAACCAACCCAAAGCCCATCAATGATAGACTGGATAAAGAAAATGTGGTATATATACACCATGGAATATTATGCAGCCATAACAAGGAATGAGATCATGTGCTTTGCAGGAACATGGATGAAGCTGGAAGTGATTATCCTCAGCAAACTAACACAAGAACAGAAAACCAAACACGCATGTTCTCACTCATAAATGGGAGATGAACAATGAGAACACACGGACACTGAGAGGGGACCACACACCAGGACCTGTTGGGAGGTGGGGGTGAGGGGAGGGAACTTAGAAAATGGGTCAATAGGTGCAGCAAACCACCATGGCACGTGTATATACCTGTATAACAAACCTAGCACGTTCTCCCCATGTATCTTATTATTTTTAGAAGAATAAAAAAGTCAAAAAGAATATGATTTTTACATTTAACAATATTGAAACAATATTGTGAATAGCAAGATGAAAATATACTGAACAAAAACAGGTTATAAAGTCACTTGATCAACACCTGGTTGTACCAATGGTAGGTAATTAATTTATCCAGCTTCTAATTGTCACACTGTTTACAATTCCTGTAGCTAGAACCCCACTGTACTGTGCTATGATTCCTAGATCAAAATACATAGATTTGATCAGGCCACTGGGACAGGAATACTTGTGAGCTTAGATGAGTAAATACTAAATCTCCGAGTAATAGAACATGGCTACTCATCTTGATTTTTAAATTTACCTCCTCTATGTCTACATAAAAATATCTAATGCACAATTATCAACAAAGGAATAATTTCATTGAAAACAACAATGATGTTTCTTCTAAATTCAACTTTTTAAAACTTTGTAAGAATGGATTGGATGTAGCACAGATAGCATGTTCAGGGTCCCTAAATGATTCAAATCATAGTCATGTCTCCCTGAAGGGCACAGAATCAGCCTTTAGAGAAAGGCAAGAGAGACAGATAGAATCAACTTATTGTACCATTATCCAAAGCCAAATAGATGACTTCATGCTCGTGTAGCTCATAGTACTGTAGGAATATGAAAGATTCATTGTTATAGAGGATACAATCAACAAATTCAGAATAGTAAATGAATGAAATCAGGTGTCTCATGGGCATGTAATAAATATTTCATGAAAATATTTGATTCAAGAGGCTTGTAAATATAATCTTTTAATTACCACAATGGGAGGAAGGAAGTGGAAATGTGTCTGCTTAATGGTGATTTTAGTGTCTGGTAAAAAAATAAAGAGATTTTAGAGAAGCATAGAAACATGGCCACGTTAAATTACAATCCAATTAAATCCACATGCTTTAAAAACCACTAAAATGAGGAAACATTAAAAATAACATTAATGATTGCACTTTTAGATTTTTAAGTATAATTTGGGATGAGGTACTTTATAGAGGAGGAATAGCCAAATTTGATAATCTGCATTGTTTAATAAAAATGCTACCTTAAAATTGGAGTACTTAGAATGTAATATTATGACATTGCCTTTTGCTGATCATACTTCACAACAAACTAATCACTTCAACTCAATGGTATAGTGATTTCTCCCTTTCCCTACACAGCCTGTGTCAGCATCTATTCTTCATATACAATTTTAATCAGATGAATTTATTAAATCATTTTTATAAGCAAAATTTCAGATCACTTAAATCTTGAGAAATAATTATACTAAAATACCAGAAATTTGGTTTTAAATCCCTGCATGAGACATGGATTTTATAATTTGTATTAAATACAGATTAATAGTCGGATGTATATTTAGAGTGTTTAGTGGTTATTTTTGATAGATTTTTGGAAACAATACAGCACATTTATGTATGTTTTGCTAACTTCAGAGGAAGCATTTATAATTTTTTTAAATGCATACAACCTTTTCATATTTAGAAAGCAGGTTAGCTTTTTCTCAGGTGGATCCCAGAGGAAAGTTAAAAATGAACATCTGAAATTATAAAAGTTTATCTTCAGAAGGTTAAAGTTTGACTTTTTTATTTGAAAAATCATAGATTTATTTTTTGCCAAACATTTTGTCCTGAAGCAATGAAAAAGTAAATTTAAATTAGATAAAAATAATTTCAACATTTTAAAAATTAGCTCTTATTTTAGAATTTAAGTGTAGGAACTTCAGTAATTTTCCTTACTATATAAACAGAATCAATTACTTTAATCTTTTTGATTGATAGATCCATTTACTCAATATCCTTAAGCAAACTTACTCTATTCTACAACGATGTAACAGTATTTTAAATCTAACATCATGTGGTTCATTTATCAGAATATTTTTAAGTGAGAGATTTTATCCAAGTAAATTCTAAACATGCGTTTGTAGAAAAAATGCGTGTATAGTATAGTATGCAATTCAGCTACCTTGGTTACCTTTTCACAGACATTAGAGTTTTCTTTACTCAACAATAAATTGTATTTAAGGGCAAGCTACCCAAGAATACTATTATGCAATATGCAAGACTCGAGCACATGGGAAAAAGAGTAAGTCGTGAGAACTGTTAACAGGCCATTTTATTTTTATTTTATTTTTATTTTTTTTATTTTTATTTTTTTGGAGACAGAGTCTCACTCTGTCACCCAGGCTGGAGTGCAGTGGTGCGATCTCTGCTGACTGCAACCTCAGCCTCCCAGGTTAAAGAGATTCTCCTGCCCCAGCCTCCCGAGTAGCTGGGACTACAAGTGCATGCCACCACGCCTGGCTAATTGTTTTGTGTTTTAGTAGAGATAGGGTTTCATCATGCTGCCCAGGCTGGTCTTGAACTCGTGAGCTCAGGCAATCTGCCCGCCTCGGCCTCCCAAAGTGCTAGGATTACAGGAGTGAGCCACCACGCCCGGCTACAGACTGTTTTTAAGCAAATTTTCTGGAAATGGATATCGATTTTTATAACTATTTGTATATCTCCATTATAGTTTTAAATAAAATTAAAGAACACAGCAGGATAGAACCAAAGGTTTCAAGTATTAAACTTCCTTGTAAAAACTGACTTGTATGTATATTAGTGATGATGAGACAGTAGGGCATTGGTAAATTAGGTTAAACTGAAAAGCATATGTTGAAGTTTATTATTACTGTAATGCCAACTTCAGGCTGTTAGTCATACAGGATTTGGATCAATATATTTAAAAAAATATTTGTATGTGATAAAACCTGAAGATACCTTTCATACATCATAAATTATTATTGCTTTCTTCTTTTCAATATTTTGAAAGTGTTGTTTGCATAGGCGCATAGCCTTTTTTTTTTTTTTTTTTTTTTTTTTTTTTTTTTTTTTTTGAGATGAAGTTTCGCTCTTGTTGTCCAGGCTGGAGTGCAGTGGCACGATCTCAGCTCACCACAACCTCCACTTCCCGGGTTCAAGGGATTGTCCTGCCTCAGCCTCCCTAGTAGCTGAGATTACAGGCATGCACCACCACACGCAGCTAATTTTGTATTTTTAGTAGAGATGGGATTTCTCCATGCTGGTCAGGCTGGTCTTGAACTCCTGACCTCAGGTGATCCACCCACCTTGGCCTCCCAAAGGGCTGGGATTACGGGCATGAATAAACTTTTTAATTCATAGATGTTTGTATATTTCAAAATTACTGAATGTTTAAATGTTAAATATTAAAATTTCCTTGGCTTGCTCTTCTTGCCTGAGGTGTTAGAAGACCTCCTCTTTCAGACCAATCTCTTGTGCAGCACACTCTCACCATAACTGTAGTCATGTTTCTCCAACATACAAAACTACAAAATGAAAAGCTCTACTTTCTGCCCTTCTTATTGCATAGCTTTTTCTTGTGTATCAATATATGCATGCTCATCTATTTTAAATCCAGCAGAATATGAGAGCCACATATAATCCCTTTCCACTTAGGCTACAAATGAATTGAAGAAATAGATCATTTTTTCCTCTGCCTTATTTTTTTTCTTCATTTGTTCATACCGATGTCATTGTTCTAAGCCTTTTTTCCTCCTTGTTTGCCATGAAATTAGTAATTTTTACTCTTCCTCAGACTCTTTCTTAACAAATAAACTTCACGATACCCAAATTAACCCCAACACATATAATTAACATGATACATCCTGTGTCTTATTGTTTCACTTGCATTTATTGTATAACAGATATGAGGTTTGTTCTAGCAAACATTTATGTGTGCATTAGAAAAATTATCCACAAAAATTTTTCTTAGTAAAAGACAGCACACAATGATTTAATTTGGATCTTTGTTTGGAGACCTTACTTTTCTATTCTACCTCACCAAAACCAGATGATAATTATTTAAATATTTTAAAAAGCACTACTAAATCTTTTAATATTCTTTAAAATAAATACTATACCAAGTTTAAATATTTCACTTATTCTCTGTGTATAGTCTCATCAATAAGTCATGTAAAAGACTAGAGGGCTTTCATCTGTGTCTCTTAACAGTAGGGTGCTGCCATATATAGCAGCCAAAGTTGCTATGAATACAATTGTGAAGTCTGATGAAAAATCGTTTTCGAGGCATTTCTATTCCAGTCATAAACTTAACTTTAAAATACATAATTGATTTAGATCTAATTTCCTAAAAAAATTTACCTCTGGGCTTAGATTATAAAAAAAGTTCATCCCCAAAAAGAAAACCCAAAAAATTATGTGAGAAAACTAGGTAAAATAAAGGACCTTTCAGAGGTTTTAATCATAGGGCTTCTTACTGAAAACTATAATATTATTATATTACCCTACCACTCAAATTCTATTGTTTCCTTCCTTGTTGGTAAGATGCCAAGCCACAGCTTAATATTAGGCTATATTTAAATGACAAAATATGTGTAAGTTCTCACATATCCATGACAAACATAAAAAGCTTCACCCTCCAAATATATTTTATATTTATTGACATATTTTCATAATAATTCAAACTGTATAAGTAATATTAATACAAATCTAATCATTTATTCTACAGAATAAATATTTAATAATGTAGTATCTGAACTTTGAAAAAATATTTTTACTACTAAAATTGCTGTGGATTTTCCTCACTTTCAATTTTAAACACATATTTGAAATGTGTATTGAGTCCAAGGTGTATTTGTTTTTCAAATATTAATATTAATTTTCTCAACTTTTACAAGCATTTTTTTCCTAAGGAGAACGTAAGTGTTTTTTCTCCCATTGGGCGTTTAGAGCATGTCTTATAAGAAGGTAAGATGTTTTTTCTGAAAAGTACAAGTCAGTTTTTAATAGACAAATGGAATAAACTACATTATTTTTAAAAATCTCAAATTGTGCTAGGCTGTACTTCACAATATAAAATATAATTTCCTAACTCTCTCTCTCTCTCTCTCTCTCTCTCTATATATATATATATATATATATTCCATTTAGTTATTATTAGGAAACCCACTTTGACACTTCAGTACATTTCTAGTTTACTCCCTTCCATGATGATGACCATATGAGGTTCTAGTTAAACTTAACTGTTACTGAAAGCACTAACATTTTTACTCATTACTTACATTTTGTAAAGCTTTTGCCTCATGCTTACTTCAGCTCATTTTACCAGTTGTCAAAGATATTTATTCTTAATTGTCCATTAATTAAAAATTTAAACTTAAATTAGTCATAAAAATAGGGTTTGTTTGTTTCACCTATCACATCTTAAATATACTAGGAAGACCTTTTTAAGAGGTAAACATGTAGAACTCTTTTGTAAATAATTAGTATAACTGACAACCTACCTAAATGTAATAAATGCAGATTGAAAACTAACAAAGTAAATAAAAATGAAGAAACAGAAAAACAAAAATGAACTTTATTGCAGAGCGATAGTTATATAAGATTGGCCTTCCAAAATTTTGTTGATTTACCAATGAATTAGAGCCAACAGGACAACAAACTCAGTACATACTTACAATACATCACCCGCCTAGTGTTCTGAAACTTCTAGCAACATAAGGCAGAAATACGGGTGCTCAGCTCACAGCTATGTATGTTGTCTCATGGGAGGGGTACAGATTCTCTTTTGAAGTTTTATGACACAATTTGTATTTTCTATGTACATCAAGGCGGTCATTAGAAATTGAGTCTCTCTACATTTTTTAAGTAAGAAGAAAATTATCTTGACATGTCTCGTTATTTCTTCCTTTCTACTAATATTGTTTACTTCACCAGATTATAGAAGGCATGCTATAAATAAATGAAGAAATGGAAAGCAAAAGGAACTTACATATTTTCAAACAGACTGTAAACTTTTTGAGGACAGGACCCTCTCGTACTCATTTTTGTATTTAACGCAGTCACTAGGTTGGTGTTTTCTCTAGTATAACACTGAGACTTTGAGATGTGAAACTACCAGACTGAGATATTAAACTAAACATACTTGACAGGAGCAGCCATTTTATGTAAATTACTCAATCCAGCCCACATGTAGTCTACAATTTTTAAGGGTGTCTAATGATTGACTTAAAGTAGTCTCAGAACTCTCCTCCTTCATACAATTTTGGCAACCTATTATGACTGTGAGGATATATTCATTTCCTGAGGAAAGAGCCACAGTTTTCATTGGATTTCAAATAAATAAGTTGCACTTCTTCATTTAAAAAAAAAAAAAACAGGCTGGGGGAGGGGCGCCCACCATTGCCCAGGCTTGCTTAGGTAAACAAAGCAGCCCAGAAGCCCGAACTGGGTGGAGCCCACCACAGCTCAAGGATGCCTGCTGCCTCTGTAGGCTCCACCTTTGGGGGCAGGGCACAGACAAACAAAAAGACAGCAGTGACCTCTGCAGACTTAAATGTCCCTGTCTGACAGCTTTGAAGAGAGCAGTGGTTCTCCCAGTACGCAGCTGGAGATCTGAGAATGGGCAGACTGCCTCCTCAAGTGGGTCCCTGATCCCTAACCCCCGAGCAGCCTAACTGGGAGGCACCCTCCAGCAGGGGCACACTGACACCTCACACTGCAGGGTACTCCAACAGACCTGCAGCTGAGGGTCCTGTCTATTAGAAGGAAAACTAACAAACAGAAAGGACATCCGCACCAAAAACCCATCTGTTGATGATGGTGATGTCCATCATCAAAGACCAAAAGTAGATAAAACCACAAAGATGGGGAAAAAACGGAACAGAAAAACTGAAAACTCTAAAAATCAGAGTGCCTCTCCTCCTCCAAAGGAACGCAGCTCCTCACCAGCAACGGAACAAAGCTGGACGGAGAATGACTTTGATGAGCTGAGAGAAGAAGGCTTCAGACGATCAAATTACTCTGAGCTATGGGAGGACATCCAAACAAAAGGCAAAGAAGTTGAAAACTTTGAAAAAAATTTAGAACAATGTATAACTAGAATAACCAATACAGAGAAGTGCTCAAAGGAGCTGATGGAGCTGAAAACCAAGGCTCGAGAACTACGTGAAGAATGCAGAAGCCTCAGGAGCCGATGCGATCAACTGGAAGAAAGGTATCAGAAATGGAAGATGAAATGAATGAAATGAAGCGAGAAGGAAAGTTTAGAGAAAAAAGAATAAAAAGAAACGAGCAAAGCCTCCAAGAAATATGGGACTATGTGAAAAGACCAAATCTACGTCTGATTGGTGTACCTGAAAGTGATGGGGAGAATGTAACCAAGTTGGAAAACACTCTGCAGGATATTATCCAGGAGAATTTCCCCAATCTAGCAAGGCAGGCCAATGTTCAGATTCAGGAAATACAGAGAACGCCACAAAGATACTCCTTGAGAAGAGCAACCCCAAGACACATAATTGTCAGATTCACCAAAGTTGAAATGAAGGAAAAAATGTTAAGGGCAGCCAGAGAGAAAGGTCGGGTTACCCTCAAAGGGAAGCCCATCAGACTAACAGCGGATCTCTTGGCAGAAACCCTACAAGCCAGAAGAGAGTGGGGGCCAATATTCAACATTCTTAAAGAAAAGAATTTTCAACCCAGAATTTCATATCCAGCCAAACTAAGCTTCATAAGTGAAGGAGAAATAAAATACTTTACAGACAAGCAAATGCTGAGAGATTTTGTCACCACCAGGCCTGCCCTAAAAGAGCTCCTGAAGGAAGCGCTAAACATGGAAAGGAACAACCGGTACCAGCCGCTGCAAAATCATGCCAAAATGTAAAGACCATCGAGACTAGGAAGAAACTGCATCAACTAATGAGCAAAATAACCAGCTGACATCATAATGACAGGATCAAATTCAGACATAACACTATTAACTTTAAACGTAAATGGACTAAATGCTCCAATTAAAAGACACAGACTGGCAAATTGGATAAGAGTCAAGACCCATCAGTGTGCTGTATTCAGGAAACCCATCTCACGTGCAGAGACACACATAGGCTCAAAATAAAAGGATGGAGGAAGATCTACCAAGCAAATGGAAAACAAAAAAAGGCAGGGGTTGCAATCCTAGTCTCTGATAAAACAGACTTTAAACCAACAGAGATCAAAAGAGACAAATAAGGCCATTACATAATGGTAAAAGGATCAATTCAACAAGAAGAGCTAACTATCCTAAATATATATGCACCCAATACAGGAGCACCCAGATTCATAAAGCAAGTCCTTAGTGACCTACAAAGAGACTTAGACTCCCACACATTAATAATGGGAGACTTTAACACCCCACTGTCAACATTAGACAGATCAACGAGACAGAAAGTCAACAAGGATACCCAGGAATTGAACTCAGCTCTGCACCAAGCGGACCTAATAGACATCTGCAGAACTCTCCACCCCGAATCAACAGAATATACATTTTTTTCAGCACCACACCACACCTATTCCAAAATTGACCACATACGTGTAAGTAAAGCTCTCCTCAGCAAATGTAAAAGAACAGAAATTATAACAAACTATCTCTCAGACCACAGTGCAATCAAACTAGAACTCAGGATTAAGAATCTCACTCAAAACCACTCAACTACATGGAAACTGAACAACCTGCTCCTGAATGACTACTGGGTACACAACGAAATGAAGGCAGAAATAAAGATGTTCTTTGAAACCAACGAGAACAAAGACACAACATACCAGAATCTCTGGGACGCATTCAAAGCAGTGTGTAGAGGGAAATTTATAGCACTAAATGCCCACAAGAGAAAGCAGGAAAGATCCAAAATTGACACCCTAACATCACAATTAAAAGAACTAGAAAAGCAAGAGCAAACACATTCAAAAGCTAGCAGAAGGCAAGAAATAACTAAAATCAGAGCAGAACTGAAGGAAATAGAGACACAAAAAACCCTTCAAAAAATTAATGAATCCAGGAGCTGGTTTTTTGAAAGGATCAACAAAATTGATAGACCGCTAGCAAGACTAATAAAGAAAAAAAGAGAGAAGAATCAAATAGACGCAATAAAAAATGATAAAGGGGATATCACCACCGATCCCACAGAAATACAAACTACCATCAGAGAATACTACAAACACCTCTACGCAAATAAACTAGAAAATCTAGAAGAAATGGATAAATTCCTTGACACATACACTCTCCCAAGACTAAACCAGGAAGAAGTTGAATCTCTGAATAGACCAATAACAGGATCTGAAATTGTGGCAATAATCAATAGCTTACCAACCAAAAAGAGTCCAGGACCAGATGGATTCACAGCCGAATTCTACCAGAGGTACAAGGAGGAACTGGTACCATTCCTTCTGAAACTATTCCAATCAATAGAAAAAGAGGGAATCCTCCCTAACTCATTTTATGAGGCCAGCATCATTCTGATACCAAAGCCTGGCAGAGACACAACCAAAAAAGAGAATTTTAGACCAATATCCTTGATGAACATTGATGCAGAAATCCTCAATAAAATACTGGCAAACCAAATCCAGCAGCACATCAAAAAGCTTATCCACCATGATCAAGTGGGCTTCATCCCTGGGATGCAAGGCTGGTTCAATATACACAAATCAATAAATGTAATCCAGCATATAAACAGAGCCAAAGACAAAAGCCACATGATTATCTCAATAGATGCAGAAAAGGCCTTTGACAAAATTCAACAGCGCTTCATGCTAAAAACTCTCAATAAATTAGGTATTGATGGGACATATTTCAAAATAATAAGAGCTATCTATGACAAACCCACAGCCAATATCATACTGAATGGGCAAAAACTGGAAGCATTCCCTTTGAAAACTGGCACAAGACAGGGATGCCCTCTCTCACCACTCCTATTCAACATAGTGTTGGAAGTTCTGGCCAGGGCAATTAGGTAGGAGAAGGAAATAAAGGGTATTCAATTAGGAAAAGAGGAAGTCAAATTGTCCCTGTTTGCAGATGACATGATTGTATATCTAGAAAACCCCATTGTCCCAGCCCAAAATCTCCTTAAGCTGATAAGCAACTTCAGCAAAGTCTCAGGATACAAAATCAATGTGCAAAAATCACAAGCATTCCTATACACCAACAACAGACAAACAGAGAGCCAAATCATGAGTGAACTCCCATTCACAATTGCTTCAAAGAGAATAAAATACCTAGGAATCCAACTTACAAGGGATGTGAAGGACCTCTTCAAGGAGAACTACAAACCGCTGCTCAAGGAAATAAAAGAGGATACAAACAAATGGAAGAACATTCCATGCTCATGGGTAGGAAGAATCAATATCGTGAAAATGGCCATACTGCCCAAGGTAATTTACAGATTCAATGCCATCCTCATCAAGCTACCAATGCCTTTCTTCACAGAATTGGAAAAAACTACTTTAAAGTTCATATGGAACCAAAAAAGAGCCCGCATCGCCAAGGCAATCCTAAGCCAAAAGAACAAAGCTGGAGGCATCACACTACCTGACTTCAAACTATACTACAAGGCTACAGTAACCAAAACAGCATGGTACTGGTACCAAAACAGAGATATAGATCAAGGAACAGAACAGAGCCCTCAGAAATAACGCCGCATATCTACAACTATCTGATCTTTGACAAACCTAAGAAAAACAAGCAATGGGGAAAGGATTCCCTATTTAATAAATGGTGCTGGGAAAACTGGCTAGCCATATGTAGAAAGCTGAAACTGGATCCCTTCCTTACACCTTATACAAAAATCAATTCAAGATGCATTAAAGACTTAAATGTTAGACCTAAAGCCATAAAAACCCTAGAAGAAAACCTAGGCATTACCATTCAGGACATAGGCATGGGCAAGGACTTCATGTCTAAAACACCAAAAGCAGTGGCAACAAAAGACAAAATTGACAAATGGGATCTAATTAAACTAAAGAGCTTCTGCACAGCAAAAGAAACTACCATCAGAGTGAACAGGCACCCTACAGAATGGGAGAAAATTTTCGCAACCTACTCATCTGACAAAGGGCTAATATCCAGGATCTACAGTGAACTCAAACAAATTTACAAGAAAAAAACAAACAACCCCATGAGAAAGTGGGCGAAGGACATGAACAGACACTTCTCAAAAGAAGACATTTATGCAGCCAAAAAACACATGAAAAAATGCTCACCATCACTGGCCATCAGAGAAATGCAAATCAAAACCACAATGAGATACCATCTCACACCAGTTAGAATGGCAATCATTAAAAAGTCAGGAAACAACAGGTGCTGGAGAGGATGTGGAGAAATAGGAACACTTTTACACTGTTGGTGGGACTGTAAACTAGTTCAACCATTGTGGAAGTCAGTGTGGCGATTCCTCAGGGATCTAGAACTAGAAATACCATTTGACCCAGCCATCCCATTACTGGGTATATACCCAAAGGACTATAAATCATGCTGTTATAAAGACACATGCACACGTATGTTTATTGCGGCATTATTCACAATAGCAAAGACTTGGAACCAACCCAAATGTCCAACAATGATAGACTGGATTAAGAAAATGTGGCACATATACACCATGGAATACTATGCAGCCATAAAAAATGAGTTCATGTCCTTTGTAGGGACATGGATGAAATTGGAAACCATCATTCTCAGTAAACTATCGCAAGAACACAAAACCAAACACCGCATATTCTCACTCATAGGTGGGAATTGAACAATGAGATCACATGGACACAGGAAGAGGAATATCACACTCTGGGGACTGTTGTGGGGTGGGGGGAGGGGGGAGGGATAGCATTGGGAGATATAGCTAATGCTAGATGATGAGTTAGTGGGTGCAGCACACCAGCATGGCACATGTATACATATGTAACTAACCTGCACAATGTGCACATGTACCCTAAAACTTAAAGCATAATAATAAAAAATAAATAAATAAATAAATAAATAAAGTACCTAAAAAAAAAAAAAAGAACAATGAAGGGGTTGAGGAGGTTTTTGGAATGTTGGCACGTCTTCAAAACAATCCTCATGTATGGTTTTGGTGAGATGTGTTTAATGTCAAAAAGATGAGAAAAACCCAAGCTCTCCATACACAGTGTATAATTAATTCCACAAAAAGGAAATTAAATAATTTCCACAATTAAAAAAAAACATAAATTTTGCAGGTTTTCTGAAGATTTTCCTCAAGAAACATAGCTTGTAGTGGAAATTCCAACTATTAGCTCAAACACAACTTGAGGCATTCCTACATCAAAGAGAAGAAAGTTGTTTTAACAGAAAAGAGGGCCACAGGAAATGTGAGTCCTTAAGGTGTTAGAAGCAGGTGTTGTGCATAAGTAGAGTACATGAGACTCTGATTCCTTAGCTACCAAAGATGAGAAACTCACGATCAACCTATTTATAAACTAAACCCTCTGTGTAACTCAACCACAGGACAACTAGTTCATTTGTTAGTTTAAAATTAAAAGATTTGGGTTATATCTCTTAATGCCATCCCACCCGTAAATGACAAGTTAGTGGGTGCAGCACACCAACATGGCACATGTATACTTATGTAACAAACCTGCACATTGTGCACATGTACCCTAGAACTGAAAGTATAATTTAAAAAAAAGAGAAAAAATAAAAGATTTGGGTTATAGGCTTCAATTACTGTGAACTTGGTCAGTATAATTAGGACTGAATTTTTATCCTAATAATCACTTCTTAAGTGAAAAACAAACTGTGTAACTTTATTGCTCAAATTACTGCACAACTTTGTACACACAGTATTTGCAAGATATGTAATTTTGAATTGTCTATAAAAAGCAAGGCTCTGATAGCCCAGATGTGGTAAATTTGTCTAAAGCCTTGTTCTTTCAGATCTTACACATGCATCATTTGCAACAATACTTGGTGTTATTGCTTAAAGGGCAGATTTCTAGGCACCACACAGACATACCAGATGAGAATCTCTAGGTGTGAGAATCTGCAATCTGTAACTAAATAGGCTGAGCTGTGATATGTAAGTGATATCCCAAATTGAGTCACTTTGCACTCTTCTAAATTGTCTTTGTTCATTATTACAGGTTATTTTCCTGAAAAAACTGAAGACTACAAAGTAATTTTAAAAAGTTTCATCTGGTGTTACTTATGGAAAATCTGTTATTGATGCGAGTTTACTTTTAGGCATGAATCTTATGCTTCTATGAGTTCTGTGGCTCATGTCATCTTCAGAAGTGTTCACTGAGACTGGGCAAAGAGTGCAATGGGTGCCTCACCAATAATTCTTTTGGATGCATTAGTCTGTTGGACTATATCCTGCAATCAGGCCTCCTGTCATGATTCCGTCTGCCTAGAGTATAGAAATATTTGAGAGAGAAAGAAGGAACACATGGTGAGCACTTTTATTAGAGACTCACACAATTTTCCATGTCCAGGACTGTGTGGTCAAATCGATTGTTGCATATTCTTCATGTCACGTTGGAACTATGTGACAGACCTTATGGTGCTTTGGTAAGACATTGGCATGCTCTACTATTGATTAATTGGTGTTCCATAGCTAGATCATTACCACATAAAGTGAGAAAAGATCTCATTGTTCTTTGTAGAAATTATGCCATATAAAATAGGAAATCCAGAGAAATAAGTCACTTGCATGGGTCTTCATGCCCACTGTGTGTATATTCTCATGCCAACACTGACTGGTGAACAAAGGAAATTAACAAAGAAAAAAGACATTAGACAGACATGTTTTCTATTTTGTTTATTTGGTTTTGTTTTGTTTTGCATTTCTGACTACATATAAGTAAGAGGATCATCAACTAAAAATGCAACTTTATTCAAGGAACACTGAGGAAGATTTTATTAGAGTCTAATTTTTGTTGAATATATCACAAATGGCAAGGGAAAGTTTCTTAGTAAATCAGCAAATTGATTAGCTACAAATAATAAATATAAAATATAAAGAAGATAGTAGATGTTATTTTGCTATAATGTATGATTTTACAATTTAGAAAACTGGGATCTAAGCAGATTAACTGGCTTATCTAAGGCCACAAAGAAAATTAGTAAAATGGGAGACAAAACCTCTGGTCTACTGTCTTCTAGAGATCTTTTGAATGTGTTCCACTGCTTTCTTGTTTTCCAGAATTTGGGGCAGTGCAAACACAGTTGGTGGTAACAGCCAGTGGGTTGTACCATGAAAATATCTTTCTGTGGAAGTAGAAACTCAAATTTGAAACTTTGCAGGGAGAAAATGTCATCTCTATAATTATGTGAGAGAAAAAAGATGGCTTGGAATATTGATTACTTGGAACAGAGCATTGACAGTAAGTTTGCAGTTACAGCCTCAAACAAAATATTAACAAAGGAAAGCAGAAATAATCTATCTCAGGTAGCTAATACCTTGGATGTTGTCAGAAGCAAAGTGATTTCTTTCACCAGAGTATCCCGCTGTTTTAAACAGGCAATTAACTCATAATTCTATTTCAGCGCTATAGATAATATGTATTTTTTTCTTGAGTTCTATAAAAAATTCGCTTCATTACACTAATGACAAAATTACTATCTTAATTGTATAAAATTATTTAGAGAAATACAAAAATAGTACCTCTGTATGTTATCACCAGTATACTTATGTTTAATTATCTATATATATGTTCATTTTATTAGCTAACAATATATACACGTACATGAATCTCAATCTTAAAATATAAAAATGTAATAAAAATATCATCCAGCTTATATTTTGTAAAAAGGACTAAAGTATTATTAAGAAACACCAGGTCAGTGTGTTACCTGTATTTTTCCCTGAAGACTTGCAAGGATGGAAAATAAAAAAATAAATGTTTCATCTTGTTTTTACATTTTTAGAATTTTTTACTGAACGTCAAGCTCTGGTATATCAACTTGAATAAAATGAAAGGCATTGGAGGAATATATTTATTTTCCTATTTTTATTGCTTATTGAGGTGAAATTCAGATAATTAAAAAATACAGTTGACATATTGGAAAAAACTATACATGCACTGTGATCAGAAACATACATACTAGAAGAGTGCCTGGTATATGGCCAATGTAGGGTATGTTTCTGATGATGAAGAGATATCAATCACTAGAGCTCTAAATAGTTTACATTTAATATTTATTAAAAAGCATTGAACAGGTCAGGCACGGTGGCTCACGCCTGTAATCCCAGCACTTTGGGAAGCGGAGGCTGGTGGATCACCTGAGGTTGGGAGTTCGAGACCAGCCTGACCAAAGTGGAGAAACCCTGTCTGTACTAAAAATACAAAATTAGCCAGACGTGGTGGTGCATGCCTGTAATCCCAGCTACTCGAGAGGCTGAGGCAGGAGAATCACTTGATCCTGGGAGGCGGAGGTTGCAGTGAGCCGAGATCAAGCCATTGCACTCCAGCCTGGGCAACAAGAGCAAAGCTCTGCCTCAAAAGTATAAAAAAATAAAAAGCTTTGAACTGATTTTTTTTAAATTAAGAATATTTTGGGATACACAAAAGTAGCTGGGCAAAATATACACAATATTTAATTATATGAGTTTACCAGCTCTTGAAAGATGATGTGAGGTCATTGTAGGTAAGATTTTAAACACCCAATGTTGTGCTTATGTGAGATTAAGTTGGTGTAACATAAAATTAAGCTCCACAGGCAACTGGTAAAACAGAATAAAGATACATTAAATAAATGGAAAATAATATATTTATTTTTTCTCTACAATCTGAAATAAGGTTGAAAGGCAAAAACGCAATCAAAAGATGCAGAAGCATCATGAAGAGATTGTTCTAAAGAATAAATGTGCTATTATTTTGATTATTAACATGAATATTTTATAAACGCTAAGGAGTATAGAATTTTAATTATTTTCATTATCATAATTTACGAGTTATGGATACATTTTTTAGCTAGAATCAGATTTGCACTTCATTACATAAATGAGTATTATGTGAGATAGTTTGTTCTGAAATTAAATATACATAATATGTGTGTTTAGAGGGACTATTCATTGCATTGTAATAGAATTCCACTCTAAAACTTAAAGCCATCTTGATATAAATTTACCTTTATAAAAATCTAGTCAAAATTTTATTGCTCCAAAGATGATCTCCTCTCTTGAATTCTTTAGAACTTGTATTTTGCTGAAGAACTGTATGTACCTCATAGATCTTTACAGGGAACCTCAAAAGACTGTTTCCAATAATAGTGCAAGTAGTATTAATTTCTTTGGTCATATGAATTAAAATTGTGCTTAAATTTTAAAAATTAATTATAATTCCAAGAAGTTTAGATTCAATCAATTTAATCCTAATTTTATATAGTGCAATTATAATTTACACCAACTTCATCATTAATGTTTTTGACCCTTTGACACTTAGCAAATGTCAATCAAAACATACAATTTCTGAAAAAAATGTTTGATCATGAGGCTTGCACATATATAACAATAGGCCTCGAGGTTTAATGGAGCTTATTTTTGTCTTTATTCTGATCCTTTCCTTAACAATAATCACAGTGTCTTTCCTTTTCTTTTTGAAACTTGTATTTTTCCTTCCTCATGCTTTTGTTTTCATTGAAAACTCCTATTATTCGCATGAATCCATCTCTCTGCCCATGACTGATTAGTTCAGGAGAGAGCTTAACCCATACAGAGATTTTCCCTGGGAGTTTTCAAAATATTCAGGCTTTGTGGTAGCAGATGTTATTGGATATAATAATATCTATAAGAGGCTTGAGATCTATGAGAAGTCAAGTGTCCTCCCATGAGAAATAAACTTGCAGTGAGACCAAATAAAACACACAAGTGGGGAAAAACATAGTTGTAAAACTGAAAGGGAGGTCAAATGGCATTCAAGTCCCTGGCTCTAGAGTGGTTTTGTTTTGTGTGTGTTGGTTTTAAGGTGTAAAAATATTCTTTTCTTACTTTGTACTTTGATTATTCAAACCATTTTTTGTTTTGGAATGTACTGTTTTTCTAAGTGAGTTAAAGTTCAATTTCTGTAACTTCTAATCCAAATAATCATGAACAATAGAATAGACCTAAATTAGGTTTTATGTTTACAAATATTTTTGCAGGATGGATTCAAACATTTCTGTTCTTTGATGAAAAATCTCATCATCTCTTATAGATTAATTTGATGTCACCATTGCATTAATATTTTAGGCATAGTTGTTATTATTATCTCTGTAGTGGCAGAAGGTGACTTCCAGGACAACACTTTCTTCAGTTACATTCTACCTCACCACAACACCTTTCTTAATTTCTATTAGTGGTTCTCTTTTCTCTGTGTCTTCGGCCTCTGAAGTTTTTAGGAATCTTGGAACCTCTGCTCTTTACAATCGATAATCAATTCCAAGTGACTCAGCACTTTAGATATTATCTATATGGTAACTAACTCAAATTTAAATCTCCAGCCCAAGCCAGTCATATCTTTGGAATGCAAGGCATGTATGCCAAATGGCTTATGTGATACCTTCACTGGAGCTGTCTAGTAGTAATCATCCAAACTTACCTTCAGATTCCTCATATCCTAAATGTATTGCTCCTGTAATCATCTTCATCTTAGCAAATGCCACTTCATTCTGCCAGCTATGCAAGCAAAAAAAATAAAATAAAATAGAAAAGACTTGGAGTAATTTTTGAGTATTTTTCACAGGTTATTTTATGTCTACAAGCAAATTCTACTAGTTCTAAATTCAGTATTTTTTCAAAATCTGACCATAACTTGTAATTTAATTTGTTACTTCTTTGATCAAAAATCTCATCATCTCTTGCCGCTTTTGCAATAGCCTCCTGACTTCTTACCCCACTTCAACCTTCAGCAACTGAATTATTGTAATAGCCTCTGAATGACTGTCTTCACTCAGAAAAAGAGATATTTTAGAAAGATTATGTCATTACTCTATTCAGATCTCCCCAAAGCAGCCCATCTCTTTTGAACAAAAGCCCAAATTCTTACAAGGACCTTGAAAATCTTACCTGATCTGGCCACAGGCTAACTCTGATTTTATGTCTTGCAAGTCTCTTCCTCTCTAAACAAACACACTTGCTTTCATACTATTTCTTGAATAGGTGACATATGAACCCACTTTGTGATCTTGAATTGTCTGTCCTGTCTGTCTAAAAGGGATAGAAATATTTGTATGACTTGCTCCATTAATTCCTTTAACTATTGTTTCCCCTTAATACAATATCCTCTAATTTTTTCTTATCCTTGATATGTTATATATTATTTTAAAAGGCTACCTATATTTTATAACTTCTCAGTGTAGGTACCTGCACTTTTCCTCATTGTAAATCATATATTTATAATGTGTAATTTTTAATCTCCCATTAGTTTCAATGAATGTTTTCCCTTTATTATTACAGTTTTCTATCATTAAGTACCATACATACTGACTTCTACATAGTTGATATATTAAGTTATAGGTTTTAGTTAAGCTTTGTACCTCAGTGGAGTAGACCTTAAACTTATTTCACAGAAACCTAGGACTCAGAGAAATTCCATCAATTACCAGAAGTCATACAATTAAATATTTGGGAAACAGGGTTCAAACACACATCCTTTGTTCCTTAGACAAATGGGCTTTCTTATTAGAACATAGCTCTGTTCTATATTTTTCAGAGGTATTAGAGATTTTGTCTTTTGTCACCTCTCAATTTATTATTCCATAAACTTAAAATTTTTAATGTAATAGTTATGTGTGCAAACTGATTAATTTCTCTGATCTTTAACAATTAAATTTAATTAATGAATTGTGGTGTATATGAAATTATGTGATATCCACTGCATACATGGAATATTCAGTTGCACTATTTAGTATTTTATATTTCATGAGAAGCCTTATAAAATAACAAGATTTATAACTAACAAGATATTTGGAATTAAAGAAAGAGCTGATTTTTGACCTTATTAGAATCTCTTTTAGAACAAGATCCTTTTATTTATTTGTCTTTGATGCAAGTTATTGCTCTTTATTTAATACAAATTACGTGGACAACAATATCAAACATATTCTCTATCCTCAGCACCATCCGACACTCAATACAAACAATCTGGTTTTATGGTTTTAGTACTTTGAAGTGTTATTTTAATAGAAGCTAGCAACAATTCATAACAGCATAATGAATTTATCATGTAGAATAGCTTCGGTGGGAGATGTTTTAATTTAGTGACTGTCAGAGAACATTTTAAAAATGGTAAATTGTTAATTCTCAAATTATTTACATTATCCATTTAGTTTAATAAGTGTTCATGCTGGTCGTAGCTAACTATTTTTCATTTTAGTAATAATGTTAAATTGTTCCAATTTTAAGGTTTTATAATATTCTATCGTGTTTGATTTACTCTCAATTCTATGACATAAGGAGGAAGAATAAATATTAGGTTGCAAAAGTAATTGTGATTTTAGACTGTGAATTTTAAATCATTATACCTAGGCTCAAACACATATTTATTATTCAAAATAGGAACCATTACAATCAACACATTATCGCCAATGAGAAATAAGTTTGTTTATTCCTGTAGTGTAAAAGTCTGTGCTTCAGGATTCGACGAACTCTTGGAAAGCATTTTCTGCATCCTGCTGGTTGTGGACGTGTTTTCCCTGCAGAAAGTTGTCAAGATCCTTGAAGAAATGGTAGTCAGTTGGTGAGAAGTCAGGTGACTATGGAGGATGAAGTAAAACTTCATAGCCCAATTTGTTTAACTTTTTAAGCCTCTGTTTTGCAACGTGCGGTCAGGCATTGTAGCCGAGAAGAATTGGGCCCTTTCTGTTCACTAATGCCAGCCGCAGGCATTGCAGTTTTCGGTGCATCTCATTGATTTGCTGAGCATATTTCTCAGATGTAATGGTTTTGCCGGGATTCAAAAAGTTGCATAGCGGATCCGACCGGCAGCAGACCACCAAGCAATGACCACGATTACTTTTGGTGCAAGTTTAGCTTTGGGAAGTGCTTTGAAGCTTCTTCTCAGTCCAGCCACGGAGCTGATAATCACCAGTTGTATAAAATCCACTTTTTGCTACACATCACAATCCAATCGAGAAATGGTTTGTTGTTGTGCAGAATAAGAGAAGACAATGCTTTAAAATGACGTGTGTTTTTTTTTGTTTTTTGTTTTTTTTTAATTTTCGCTCAGCTCATGAGGCACCCACTTATAGAGAGCTTTTTCACCTTGCCAATTTGCTTCAAATGTCAAATGACCATAGAATGGTCGATGTTGAGTTCTTCAGAATGTAGTGGTAAGAGGATCAGCTTCGATGATTGCTCCCATTTGGTTGTTGTCAACTTTTAATGGCCAGCCACTATGCTCCTCATCTTCCAGGTTCCCGTCTCCTTTGCAAAACTTCTTTAATGACCACTGCACTGTATGTTTGTTAGCAGCTCCTGGGCCAAATGCGTTGTTGATGTTATGAGTTGTCTCCACTGCTTTATGACCTATTTTGAACTTGAATAAGAAAATCACCCAAATTTGCTTTTTGTCTAATATCATTTTCATAATCTAAAATAAATATAAAACAAACAGCAAGTAATAAGTCATTAGCAAAAAAAAAGCAAGAAATGCACATTAAAATGATGTATAATATAACCAAATTTATTTAAGAATGTATTCCAATATCAAATGGCAAATTTCAATATTGTGAAAACCACAATTATGTTTTCACCAACTTATATTAACCTAATTTTATGGATTAATAAATTATACCCCAAGATGTACCCAAAGGCAAATAATTAGTCCATGAATAATTTAAATTAGAACAAAGTTATTTGGACCTTTAGTCTACTGAATTAGAATATTATGCTATATAGTACATCACTGAATACCTAAATGGCTCTTTTCAGCCACAAAATTCTGCTTGTATTTTTACATATTTTCCATGTTCAATAATTATATAAAGAATTTCCAACTTATATTTATAATAAAATATTTTAAACTTTTTCATATTAAGATAATATATAATGGCCTTTGAATTGATAAAGTAATTAACTAGCACCAGTATAAGAAGAGGCTAATATAACTGACATTTAAATATTATATGGCTTTTTTTTTGAGAACTTTAAAGGTATTATTAACTAAAATATTTATTTATGGCTTTATACAACTATTCTTTTGGACCTAGACACTGCTTCTTCAAATAGAGTAAGAAGAGATAAATGATAGACAGCAAAAAGTAATCATAATTTCTCTTTTAAGACATGATTAAAAGGGCAATTTAGAATGTAATAATTAATGTCAGTGATAATTGCTTTACTGTATAACATGCTGAGACAATCTGTGTCATTTAATAAGTTTGAATTTGCAAATCGAACTTTAAAAAGCTGGTTAATTCCTCCTAGGCAGTATGCCTAAAATTTGGATAGGAGCCAATAAGTGCATTATTTTGGATGCAATGGGGTAGCCATAAATGAATTCCTTCAACTTATACTGGAAGTACTCTTTGAGAAGACTCTTTACAACCTTTAGTAAGCATTGCTTTTTCTATAGGGTTATAATTTTGATTAAAACAATACTATAACATGCAACCATCAAGTTAAAGTTATAAAAGGTAGATATTATATTAAGTAATCATTAAAACACTGATATACATGTGCTTATACATACTGCAAAATGTAAATATTATATTTATTTATTGACTTATTATTTTGAATACTTAATAACTAATATTAACCAGCAAGAAAATGTACATTACTGACATTTCAAAACTAAACCAAAATATTTATTAGACTGATTAATACTATGATTGAGATTATCAAATAGTCTGTGGAAGTAAGAGCATAATATTGATAAGAAACCTAAATTTTGGATTCAGGAAAGACTTCCAAAAAAGTGATATTTATATTGATGGATAAACAATAAGTACCTAGTAACTAGGTAGAGGTGGCACATAAATGAGGGAAAATTCCTACATATCTAAAGGAAAGAGAAAATACTGTATTTTCCAGGAACTTCATGTCTATCTAAGTCATAAATCACTAGAGGATAAATGGAGAGATATTGGGAAATAGATCATGAAGGCCTTGGTGAAACATGAGGAGGTTGGACTTTATGCTGAAGGTAATAGGAATGATTGAAGGGATTTGATAGTAACTATAGTCAGATTTGTCTCTTAGTATGACAATGCTGACTGCAGTGTGGAAAATGAATGGAGTGAAGTCACTTCAAAATAAAGAGGAAGTATTTATGAATCTATTGCTGTCATCCAAAAATGTAATGAATCATAACAGGGAAGTAAAAGTGTAAGTGGGGAAAAGCAGATAGATTTCAAAGATAAGAAAACAGTTACCACAAATTATATGATGTGCAGGTAAAGGAAAATGTATGTTTCCTATTGAAGCCATAATAAATCACCAGCAATTTAGTAGCTTAAAACAATGGCTGGGCTCGGTGGCTCATGCATGTAATCCTAGCACTTTGGGATGCTGAGGCAGGTGGATCACGAGGTCAGGAGATCGAGACCATCCTGGCTACCATGGTGAAATCCCATCTCTACTGAAAATACAAAAAATTAGCCAAGCGTGGTGGCATGCACCTGTAGTCCCAGCTACTTGGGAGGCTGAGGCAGGAGAATCGTTTGAACCCGGGAGGTGGAGCTTGCAGTGAACTGAGATTGGACCACTGCACTCCAGCCTGGGTAACAGAGCAAGACTCCATCTCAAAAAAACAAAACAAAACACAAAAAAACCACAAAACTGCTGTTTCATAGTTTGGTAGATTAGAATTCTGGCACAGGTCTCACTGAGCTAAAATCAAGTTGTCAGCAGGGTTAACTAGTTTTCTCTAAGGCCTAGGGGATAATCTGTTTCCTTCCCGTTTGCAACTTCTAGGAATAGTCTTCATTCTTTGCCTCCTGACACCTTCCTCCCCCTTCAAAGCCATTAATGTTGCATCTTTCAAGTCTTGCTTTTATAGTCACATTTTCTTCTCTTACCACAGTTGGAAAAGAGTAGAGGATTTTAAGGACTGAGTTAGATTGGGTCCACTTAGGTAGTGCAAGGTAATCTCCTCCTCTTAGGATCACTGATTTAATTATGTATTTGCAGTTCCCATAGCCATAGAAAGCAACAAATTCACAGGTTCTGGATATTAAGTTAAGATATGGATATCCCTGATGGCCATTATTCCATGTACCACAGAAAGAAAAAGGTCAAAGGTGAGACACTTGTTTCTGAACTGGAAAATCTGAGGCAAGGAAAGTAAAAATTTTGTTCCCTGAGATAGATAAGAGAATAAGAAATGCTAGGACATTATGATTAAAGTAATGTGGAGAGAGAACAAAAAGAAGAGGAAGATTATGACAGAGGAGTGGGTTGGTGACTGAGTAACTAGAAAAGAAAATATATAATTAAGACCCGATTTGGACAAAAAGATATTGAAATATTACTTTTGTAATGGCCTCCCTCAGAGCCATACATCTGTGAATCATTAACTTTTGTTAGAAAGTGTGAAAGTTTTGGACTTGGATTTCCATAAAGCAACTTTAAAACAACTTATTGAGGTAAAATTCATGTACCATAAAATTAACCATTTTAAAATGGATACATTCAAAATATTTTGTAGCCATTACCTTTAGCTATATCCAAAATATTATTTTCATCATCCCAAAATGAAACCCCAATCTATTAAGCAATCACTCCCCATTTCCCTTACTCCCTGTCCCTCACATGCACTAATTTGCTTTCTTTGTGGTTCATAATAGTTTTAACCCTTGGGGGTATAGGTGTCTTTTCTTTTTCCTTGCAAAAATTGAATGGAGAAAGATCTACATGAATAATGGTGAACATGTTACAGAGTTTTTGGGAAACATGCCTGATCTTCGTAGGATATTTTCATTAAAAAGAGTAGATAGATTTATCCTTGTGTGCATATTATATATATGTAATTATATATGTATGTATATAATAATCTGGTTATATTTTTGAGGATTCTAATATTATTTAGATTTCTATAACAGAGAGAAATAGTCAACTGTCCTGAGTGATCTAGAAGCTCAATGAGCACATTATTAGATATGGCAAACAGTTTGAATTATCAGTAAAGAGAACACAGCTTATGTTAAAAGAGAAGTGATTTGCCACTTATCTCAACAATGTATTTACAGTTTACATTATTTAAGATGTGTACATTCTTTCTCCTTTATTTAACATTTAAGAAATTATTAAACCTTGGGGGTTTTACAAACGAAATTTTCAAGCTTCTTTATTAATTTGTTTTTACAATTCATATTTATAAAATAATTAGGATTGAAGATTATGAGTGGTGTAGGGAAGACATAAAACTAACTAGTAGATCAAAATACTAATAATCTTTAAAAGTGAGGCCAAAGTTTAGCCCTAGCACCTCAGTATGCACATTATACAAAATGTTTCTCTTTTCCTCTGGACCCTAGCTCCCTAATATTTTCATCTTACTTTCTTACTTTCTGTATCAAATTTTGCTTTCATAAGTGATCTCAGATTTATTACTAGCAATGTCTGAAGAGGTAACATGAGTTCAAAATAAAACTAACTATAATTTAACATGTATTAACATCTTAATCTAAATGGATACATTTCTTATTTATTTATTTATTTGTTTGTTTTTAGACAGGCTGGAGTGCAGTTGTTTGATCTCGGCTCTCTGCAACCTCTGCCTTCCAGGTTCAAGCAATTTTCCTGCCTCCGCCTCCCAAGTAGCTGGGATTACAGGTACGAGCAACCACATTTGGCTATTTTTTTGTATTTTTAGTAGAGACAGGGTTTCACCATGTTGGCCAGGCTGGTCTGGAACTCCTGAGCTCAAGTGATTTGCCAGCCTCGGCCTCCCAAGGTGCTGAGATTACAGACGTGAGCCACGGAGGCTGCCCTAAATGGATAAAGTTCTAATAGTGAAATTGCTCAGAGCAAATAGCAGACATATTGAGGGTCCCAGGAAAAAGTACTGAGGCATATGCTAATCTATGTATAATAGATCTTTCTTAGACACAGATTAAATATGACAATGGTCTATCTCAGCAGTTAGTGAGTATACATGAATAAAACAAGAAATGCCATAATCTGATTGTTGTTTAACCTTGCTTAACAGTGGGGTAAAATAAACTATGTCTTATAATTCAGTGATCATTTATTGAATAACATCCTAATGCATGTAAGAAAATATGTTGGGGGAAAATATATAAGATATAGAATACATGTTAAAACTTAAAATTCCTGAGGGAAAGTATCTTGATAAAGTACTATATTCAAGGAAGTATTTACAAGATGCTGTAAATGTGGTACAAGAATGTTATTGGAATTCACAAGAAAGAGAAAAAAAATTCACTGGGTTACTGAGGGAGCCCGAATAGAGGTGGTAAGAAGAAGTTGGAAATGGAAGAGAGTCTGACTTCTAAACAGCAATGACCCTAATCAAAATAGTGCAATATGACCAAAAACAAAGTAATTATTTATAAATGATATTGCATCCTCTAGATGAGACTTGTATTTGTGTTTATTATCAATGAAACACATTAATGACCTTTGAGAGATTCACTGGAATCCAGGATCTGTGTGTAATTTATTGAATGATGCAGCATTATGAATAATAATGTAACCTGAATTAAATAAATAAATAGCATTAGGAAACTGTGGAGGCCAGATCTATATTGTTGCCATATAAACACATTTTTTAAAACCCATGTCATTGTAATAGCAGTGTTGCCACCTTTTCCTCATTCTGAGACAAGTGAAATTAGTTAGGAGCAACATATTTAAAAATAAAGAACAAAAAGAGATATTTTTCTCGATACTGCAAGAATCTTCACATGCACTGATTAGACAGTAAGTAAATACATAACAATCTCTTTTCTATCCATTATTCTAAATCTTCATCATTAAGTTACTATACCCCACACAATCCTATGAATTTTGGAATACATTTTTTTATCAGCGTCTTTATACTATAGGGGATTCTGCAAATACTTTTGGTAAAGTGTGAACATTTTCAAAAATTTAACATTAACAAAAAATGATAGTATGAAAAAACAATAGTTGACATTTACTCCGTGCATACATACAATGTAGCAGATCATCTTCTAAGCATTTTACCTAGAATGTTCCAATTTAATGTTTAGGGCAACACTGTAAACCAAGTGCTACTATTATCATTATTCTCTTTTGGCAGTTAAGATAATTAAAGGCACTGAGATTTCTAGAATTCAATACATAAGTGTTCTGTATTTCAGGTGGCAGAATATTTTTGTTCAACATACAGATTGGCAGATGTGTGCCTTCTCAGCAACTCTGCAACATTCTTTTTCATCTGACTCAAAACCTGTTCTCCTTGGATTTACAGCCTCTTTCAGTCTCTCTTGACCAATACATCTTCCCTGAATCACCCATATCTTGTAAAAATAAATGACTCTCTTAGCTTCTGATCTTTGTTCTTGTAAGGTGTTCCAGCGCATGTGAAGGAGAAAACGTATTTTTAAAACTCACACCCTTTGTTTCTGGGCCAGCCACCTGTTCACCAGCCTTCCCATTACCTCTCTTCCAAAATAAAGCACAGAAAAAATCCCCCATACATCTCAGTAATGAAGATGGTGGTGTGCCATTCACTGCAAATACACCACTGGCCCAGGCTGGTAGATAGTGTGTTATCTGTGTGTAATCTACAACTCTATCATATTTAGGCATCTTTTGGCAGGTATTAAGCACTTTGGTTTTTACATAGAATGACATCATCTATTAGATAAAATATGTCTCTAAATATTTAGTTTTGCAGAGATTGATTTTTTACTCTTAATTTGCTTTCTAATATGTTGTACATTGGTTTACAGCTTCAGAGAGCAAACACCTATCACTTAAGTAAAAGCAAGTATACAAATATACTTCCAGTTATCATTTTATAAGGAGAAAACATTCAAAAGAGAATCTGAGGCCAGCCACAGTGGCTCATGCCTGTAATCCCAGCACTTTGGGAGGCTGAGGCCGGTGGATCACTTGAGGTCAAGAGTTCAAGACCAGCCTGGGCAATATGGTGAAACACCAACTCCACAAAAATATAAAAATTAGCCAAGTGTGGTAGTACATGCCTGTAATCCCAGCTACTCGGGAGGCTGAGGCAGGAGAATTGCTTGAACCTGTGAGGCGGAGTTTGCAGTGAGCCGAGATTGTACCACTGCACTCCAGCCTGGGCGAGACTCATCTCAAACAAAAAGAGAAAAAAAATGAATCATACAGAATAAAGCTCACGCCTCTTTATGCACTTCTTTAAATAGAATACATCAAGTAATCTATAAAGGGATAAAGGGAACTGTGGGGAGAACATTAACTGATATGACAAAAAATAAATGGTTCAAAATCATTTCACAGGTAAAATTTATTGTATTAATATTCATCATTAATAGACATTTTAATATAGTTTACCACAGGTACAGTTTCCTAGCATTCAACGTATGGTTCGATAGAATTCCAAAACAAATATTTTGTTATCTTTGGAATGTAATTTGTCACTACAAATGGGAAAATATTGAGAAATATGTACTATCCTATAGCTTTAAAAAATCTGTTCAGAGTGCTGGATCCTGTCGCTTAGTTCTGGAAGGGAATGTCTATGTCTTTCTCCCACCCTCCAGATTCCTCTACCATATTTATCCAGCAGCAGCAATGACCAAGAATAAGAAGCTCCAGTATCAATGCAGCTCACGGGAGTCGTTTTAGCAGACAAGCTTAGAAATTGATGCTTTAGCCAGGTGCAGTGGCTCACGCCTTAATCCCAGTACTTTGGGAGGCCAAGGCGGGTGGGTCTCCTGAGGTTAGGAGTTCAAGACCAGCTTGACCAATATGATGAAACCCCATCTCTACTAAAAATACAAAAATTAGCCGAGCGTGGTGGCACGTGCCTGTAATCCCAGCTACTTGGGAGGCCAAGGCATCAATCACTTAAACCCAGGAGGCAGAGGTTGCAGTGTGCCAAGATGGCACCACTGCACTCCAGCCTGGGCAACAGAGTGAGACACTATCTCAAAAAAAAAAAAAAGAAATAAGAAATTGATGCTTTACACATTGCTTTGAGGAGAGCCCTTGCTTGGGGAAAAGGGTCAGATTACATACAAAAAAAAGTGGTGAGTTTGTTATCGAAGTATAAGACTATTGCCACTAAAACTGACTGCCAGATCCTACGCTCTATTCTCTCCCTTCAAAAGAAAGAAAAAGGTAAACATCTACCTATAGCAGGGATACATTTCAAAAATGTTCTGTTCATCACATCTTAAATAAAAGTAGATTAGGCTGAATTCAGACGAACACTTCTTCTAGCTTCAGCATCCTGGGAATTCATTTGTTATCAGAGTTTCCTTATATAAAACAAGTTATTCTATGTGCATAGTGATGTTTCTTTTATATCGCCATCTAGGCAGCCATTCATTTTATTTACTTATCTTTTTTTATTGTTACACAGTTTATTCTGGTGCTGGGCTTCCAATTATTGAGAGGGTGTTTGCTTATATTAATCTTTGATTTTTTACTCTTCATGCCCCACCCCTTGGGGCCAGCTGAAAAACTCAACCTATAATACTTTCCTCAAATCCTCTAACATTTCTGCTTTATCTTCTAAAACATGGCTGTTATTATCACTGTGCTCTGTGTTTTGTTTCTACTTTAAAATTGGATTGGTGAGAGCATGCCTGAGGCAGTGAAAGACAATTATTTCTCTGATGTTCTGCTCTTGGTGATTTTTTTCAGAAATTCCTTTTAAAGATATGAACTCCTAGCATTTTAAGTGTTACAAAAGCCATCATGAAATTGTCACCGATGTGATTTTAACATAAGTGTTACTAAATGTCTTTGCAAGAAATGCTGACAAAGTCATCATTATAGACTAGAACTTGTAACTAGGATATATGTTTGTAATGTTACAACCACATGAGGCAGGTATTAGCCAAAAGATCTGATGTGCCTGCAAGAATAAAATAGTCATAACATTTACTTCTTTATGCACAAGTGAATTGACTGTCTGCCCCACTATCTCCCCCACCCCCAAGCCCCACTTATTTGGGAATATCTTGGCTATCAAGTTCAGCAGCCTGTGTCTGTGTATTGTTGGAGAAAAGATGGTTGCTGTTTATAAAGTACAAAACAAATATAAAATCAGACTCCATGGAATATCTTTTTCAGATTTAACAACAACAATAAATGCACTGGCCACAGACTCAACGTAGTCTGAGTTCAAATCTCAGTCTACTGGGAGTTTAGGCCATATTCTAAATGTCTCAAAAGTAGAAATGTTTCCATTTTGAGTTGGAGAAAAAAATTGCTATCTAAGCAAGGATTTTAGAATAATCAAACAAGATAATACATAAAAATACATATCACAGTACCCAGCATACATTCAGTTAACAAACACGCACATGAAATTTATGTATGTTAAGTATTATTATATGTGTTTTACATACATTATGATATGAGGTTCATTTTACAGATAAGAAGATTAGGGGAAATAGAGCTTAGATAATTGAGGTCTCACAGCTGATGAATGGGTATATCATGACTCAAACCCAGGCAGAAAAGCTCCAGAAACCATGCTTTCAATAGTGTCTAATCCCTGTCTAGCCTTTACATATTTTTTTTCTGTATTTTTGTCTTTTGAATTTCATTCCTTCTCTTGACAGGAATCAAAGGTTTCCAAACTTTCCATAGTCCTCTTAAAAAATTCAGTGTAAACCCTGAACATTTTGCTATTACTACCCCAAATTCTTATAAGATAATTCATAACCCTCAATGGAATTCTGGAATGCTGATTTCCTTACTCTCCCCTAGAACAGCCTAAATGGTTTAATATTTCTCCAGATGCCACTAAGGTCTTTCCTTTGGCACTGAAAATGGCTTCAATTTGACATCAGGTACCTGTGAAACACTTATGCTATTTCAGAGCAACCACAAAGCACCTTGGAAGAACTGATTAGGTCAAATCCCATTATCCTTTCTTTCAATGGTTTTGGTGGTTCACAGAGCTTACAAGGGTAGGAAGTCTAACGGGTTTTATTTGTACCTCTGAGTACATTCCACTCCTCTGTGAGCATCTAATTAGACATTTTTTGTTTCTGTTTTATTTTTCTCTGGACAAAAAGGAAAATAAAGTGCAAGGAGAAGAATGAAAAAGAAGGTGGTTTGTTAACAAGAATTTAGTGATAGGAGGGAGGGAGGTGGGGATATGTAGGTCTTGTAGCTTATTTTTTATTTTATACAAACTGGTATTTGTGTAAATATTAGGAGAGTATTAGGCCTACCTTCTTTTTGATTAACACTTAAAGCAAACGCCTTGGAAATATAAGTCATCATTTCATAGTTTCATTTATTATCGGAATATTATAATATCCAAAATATAATCACTTGTTATTTACCTAGTATCATTAATATAGACAAAAAGCAGGCAACCTATTCTTTCACATATGCTATGATGACTCTCTGGATTTATTCAGTCTGTTAAATTGGAATATTTTGAAGATACTTTAGTCTTTCAATCATTTCCTCCAAACCTACTCCCATACTCTTAAAAAATTGCAATTTGTCTTTCAGCCATCAACATATAGCAAGAGACTATGTGATAATAAATCCTCTAAAGCTTGTCACAGGTTTTATTTGTGAGGAAGTATTAGAGAATCTTGTTTTATTTAACAGATTTGTGTTTCACCATAGCTATGCTTGCATTTAATTCAGTGAAAATAAAAAAAAAATCATGTAACTATTTTTAAGTGATTGCCACAATAAAACTTAAAGCCAAACCCTTTGTGAAGTGTATAAGACATTATCATCATGATCACAGTAAGCATTTATTTAACATTTCCTATACTTCATGAACAGGTTTACCTGCTTTGGGGAATTTTATAATTTGATTTTTATACAACCTCCATTAAGCAAGTACCAATATACCAATTTATATTTGAGACTATTGAATCTTAGAGAGTTAAAGCAATCTTTCCAAAGTCAGGTAAGTTTGCAAAAAGGAATTCAAACCTATTTTAGTTTAAATTTGTGCTCTTACCCACAATGTTATATTATCCTACCTTGCATAGATTGTTTTTTCCTGGCAAACTCACTCTTAGTTTCCTACTTCCTTTTTTCATTTATTTCATTATCACTTAATTCAAATATTTTATCTTGCTAAATTATATTTATTTTGCTATCCATATATGCATAAGCCCATTTGCTTAGATATCTACATGACACTAAATCTATATGAACAAAGGCAGAATATGTCAATAATTAATAGGGAATGGTTAACTGTGGCTAATAGAAGAAGATTATAGTTATAAAGGAGCAACAAATAAATAAGAATAAAAATGGTGAGAAACAAACACACAGTCTCAAAATATTCCTTGATATCCAGAACTGAAATGCAATATAAATTGCAGAAACATATTTCTAAACAATGTTATTCAACTTTTTAAAACCAGTGTCAAATTGATCAGCTATTGAAATCCAGCAAGGTATTTTGTACAGTCAATTAAATCATAGTTTTTGTCCAGTCATAATACCTTTATTTATATAATTTTATAAATTCTTTTTCTAGTTTCCTTCCCATTTTTGAGGAATGAATTAATTCTATTTTTATGATAAGACTTAACATGTCAGAAGCAACTATGTTAAATGTTTAACAACTTGTCTTTTTAGTAAAACAAAAATCCTAAGATAAAACCCTTGTTATTGAGAGAGCAGATTATATTTCACTTCCATTTAAGCTGTTGGCCTTAAAATATGTTTCTTTGGTGAAGTTTTGTAAATTCATTTTTTTCCTAGTAATGTTGAGAACAAAGCCTTAATCTATATTAAAAATACAATTTTTTATAGAATTTAATAAGCTTCTCATAAAATTATATAAACAGGTTTTGGAAGAGTGCTCATAATTCTCTATCATTTTTTCCTGAACATATTTTATTTATGAGCAATATAAGATGTGAGATATTTGCACAAAATTCATAGTTAGAGGTGGCAAATTTCATCCAATTAGAAATGAGTGATATTAACATTTGTGACTAAGATTTTGCTTGTGGATGAAAAAAAAAATGACTAAAGACAAATGCAGCAGAGGTGGAGAGGGAATTACATACCTGAATTTACAAATGGATGGTGGGTGGCTTGCCTTTATGAAGTACATTATTTAGTTAACTTTTAAGACAGCATCTGTTTTCTTGGTAACCTTTTAAAGCATCTAATCAGAACATCTCATGAGTGTAGGGAGGATGCTGAGTGAACACGTTTTTGGCTTCTCCATTCATGTCCTGATGTGAGCTTTGTTCAACTGAACTATGAAAAAAAGGGCAGAATATATGCACAGCAAAATGTGGAAAGGAGGATGATGTGACTATTTGAAGCTTATTTGAATGCAATTTCATTAATATTGAATGTATTGAATAATATTGTATGGGAAGGAAAATTGCCTATGCAAAATTAGAGAAATCTAAACAAATTAATGGAATATTGAGTGCTTATACATTAGGCTTTGTTTTTTGTCTCTTCTGTGTATTATTTTATTAATCTCCCAAGTACTCTATGGTGTAAGCGGTAAAATGATGCCACCCTTTCAAAACACTGACACAATCCTCATAGAAGGTATAGCAAGCCAGGCACAGAGTAGGTATCCAAACTTGGGCAGAGTCACTCTTCACTACTAGGCAATACATTATTTTTGGTTCTGTGTTGTTTTAAATAACAATGATCTCTTTGAAATCTGCTCTTATTTTCAACCTTTCCTTAGAATTATTATTAAAGATTTATATTTCCAAAATATGCTGAAATCCATTTAATATTTGGTAAATAGGTGTTTTACTAAAGAGTAAAACCACAAGGTTAGCTGGCATATAAAATGGATCCCATATTTGGTAGTAATAAGTAAAAGAGTGAATTCATAGAGAGAAAGAGAGAACATTTCATGCTTTCTACGTTTATTTGAAAAAAACAAATTAGAGAGCTGAATAATGCTATTTAGAGAGTTAGAGTGGGAATGTTGATATATACATACACTCATGTACCTATCAGAAATGTCAACATTTGTAGGCATTCTAGCAACAAATCTGACAATAGTCAAGATAAAAATAAAATAACCTCTTCTATGAACAAGCAATTTTATCACATATGTGTGTGTATGTGTGTGTAAGTATATAATATATAACATATATAACACAACATATATAGCATATGTTTGTTTTGTTTCTTCTCACATGGATCTGTTAAGGGAATATGCAAAAGGGTGTTTCTTGCACTGATGTTTGTGGTGGGGATTTGGAGTGTGGTAGGAATCTGGGTAGAGTAACCATCATTGGGAATGACACCAGGCAAAATGTAGTGTATGGACACCAGAGTATACCACTGCGCTAAAAAGAATTGCAGAGAGAAAACGTTAGCTATGTAGATTAAACTTTAAAAGCATAAGTCTGCGCTAAATAAAAAGAAACAATAACATATATGGAAGATTACCATTACTGTGTGTTGACAATATCACAAAAGTCATTTTCTGTGAACAAATGCAGTCTATGTGAATAGTTGTCAGTAGGATGGGAGATAAATAGGAGAGTTATATCAGAATAAAATCAAATTAATAGTCAAGGGAGGGTCAAAGTCAGTGCTTATGATGATATCATGTGAAGAACTGAGGGTATGATTAACATAGCTCTTTGCATTGTGCTCTAACTAGACTTGGCAGATTAGCTAGAATGGAGGGACTATTTAGTTAATCTCATTCAGTGGCCTCCCTTACACACACATGTTCTAACATGTGATAGCAGCCTATTAAGTCTGAACAAGTCTGCATTTATCATAACTAATTGACCTAATGAAAACACATTTTCTCTCTTTAAAGTTTGTAAGAGACGGTGTTACAAATTTACATAAATTTGAATTGTTGTGATATATATTACTTGAAACTCCAAATTTGTTTTACTTCACTTAGCAGATAGTGTCTTTGTATGGGACTACCTGTTAGGCTGAACACAAGTGAGTTTCTGAGCCAAGATACATAAATACTTTATCTCTTTAGGGGATCCATCTTTTCCTCTCTGTTTATACTGTTTGTTAATGATCTGCTTACTAGCTGATTTGGCATGAACATATTTCTTCATGCGGGCAACCATATTGTTTCATAACAGATTGTCTGAAATTTTTGAAATACATTTCAACAGGACACTTTTGGATCTTTGGAATTTGCTTTTATGTTCTCAATGGAAGTTACTTTAATTATGCTATTTTAAAAATGAGTTTCAAACAGGGCTTTCCTCTACCTAGTCTACATTTTCAGAAGTCATTCCATCAAATAAATAATAATTGTTGTTTAAAATCATTTATCTTCTTACTTTTGGTGCATGACGTGATTCTAGATAATCATAATAATCACACATTTTCAAGTGTAAATGGATATCACTTAAATATAAAACATATATTGCCACATCTTCTAATTCAATTGTGCTTGTTACTGTAACTATAGAGATCAGTTATTCCAGGTCAATATAAATAGGTATCAGTTTCCGAAAGTTTAAAAATTGTCTCATTTTTGAAGACAAACTCAAGTGTAAGGAAAAAAAAACAAATTGTATTTACCGTGGCTAAACCTGATTCACATCCATTTTTTAAAATCGATCTTGAATTCTACTTCTAATCACTGTGCTTTATTATGATTGAGATTGACAGTAAGTCTAGACTGGATCAGCTTTCCCCGTCTTCATTGGTTTTCTCAACTCTATACCAGCTCCTAACCAGAATATCTTCAATCTGGACATCATCATCATAGTCGTCTTTTCTCTCTCCAAATTTGTGGATGGGCATTTTCCCCATAAATTATAATCTTCTTACCTTCATTTTATTCAGGCTGCCCACATTATTTATTTGTTTATTTTTAAATTTTTAATTTTGATGGGTGTGTTAGGCCATTCTTGCGTTGCTATAAAGAAATAGCTGAGACTGGATAATTTATAAGAAAACAGCGTTCATTGGCTTATGGTTTTGCAGGCTGTGCAGGAAGTATAGTGTCATCTGCTTCTGGGGAAGCCTCAGAAAGCTTATGATCATAGCAGAAGGCAAAGGGAGAGCAGGTACATCATGTGGTAAAAGCAAGAGAAAGGGAGGCAGAGGAGGTGCTACACACTTTTAAACAGCCAGATCTCATGTGAGTTCACTATTGCAAGTGACAGCACCAAGGGGATAGTGATAAATCATTGATGTAGGGCCCACCTCCATGATCCAATAACCTCCCACAAGGCCCCACCTCCAATACTGGGGATTACAATTCAACCCAAGATTTGAGTGAGAACACAGATCTAAACCATGTAATTTCACCCCTGACCCCTCTTAAATCTCATGTCCTTCTTACATTTCAAAATATAATTATTCCTTTCCAACAGTTCCAAAGGCTTAGCTTGTTCTAGCATTAAACCAAAGGTCCTGAATTCAATACAAAGGCTCATCTATCAGATGAGCCTCATCTTCTTCCACCAAGGGGCAAGTAAAATCAAAACAAGTTAGTTACTCCCAAGATGTAATGGGTGTATGTGGGTAGGCACTGGGTAAAAATTTCTATTCCAAAAGGGAGAAATCAGCCAAAAGAAAGGGGCTACAGGCCCCACACAAGTTTGAAATCCAGCAGGCAGTCATTGAATTTTAAAGCTTCAAAACAATATCCTTTGATTCCATGCTCCACATCCGTGGTACACTGGGGCAAGGAGTGGGATTTCAAGGCATTAGGCAGCCCTGTGGTTTTGCACGGTGCCGCCCTCAAGGCTGCTCCCACGAGCTAGAGTTTAGTGGTTACAGCTTTTCCGGGCACAGGGTGCCAGCTGCTGGTGGATCTACCATTCTTTGGTCTGCAGTATGGTGACCCTCTTCTAACATCTCCACTAGGAAGTGCCCCAGTGGGCGCTCTGTGTGGGAGCTCCAACCCCACATTTCTCTTCCACATTGCCCTAGTAAAGGTTCACTGTGAGGGCTCCATCCTTGCAGAAGGCTGGACACCCAAGCTTTTTTGGAGGATCCCAAGCCTTAACTCTTGAACTCTGTACCCACAGGGTTAATGCCATGTGGAAGCTGTCCAGGTTTATAGCTTGCACCCTCTGGAGCTGTAGCCTGAGCTGTACCTGGGCCCCTTTGAGCAGAGGCTGAAGCCCCTGCAGCCAGGATGTGGGGAGCAGTGTCCCAAGGTTGCACAGGGCAGCGGGGCCCTGGGCCTAGCCCACTAAACCATTCTTCTCTCCTGGGCATTAGGGCCTGTGATAGGAAGGGCTATCATGAAGTTCTCTAAAATGCCATCAAGACCTTTTTCTCATTATCTTGACTATCAGCACTTGGCTTCTTTTTCTTGCAAGTGATTGCTATGCAGCCTGCTTGGATTCCTCTCCCCCCAAAAAGTTTTTCCTTTCTCTGCCACATGACCAGGCTATAAAGTTTCCAAATATTCATGCTCTGCTTTTCTTGTAAGTAAAAATTCCAACCTTAAGTCATCTCTTTACTCCCACACCTAAGCGTAGGTTCTTAGGAGCAGCCAGGTCACATCTTGAATGCTTCACTACTTAGAAATGTCTATGACCAGATATGCTAAATCATTACTCTGAAGCTCAAACTTCTATAGAGCCCTAGGGGAGGGAACAATACAGTCAAGCTCTCTGCTAAGGCATAATATGCATGACCTTTGCTCTAATTCCCCCAAATTTCCTCATTTCCATTTGAGACCTCAGCATTTTGGTCACAACAATTCAACCGGTCTCTAAGAAGTTCCAACCTTCCCCTCATCTTCTTGTCTTCCTCTGAGCCCTCCAATCCCTTCCAACCTCTGCTCGTTACCCAGTACCAAAGCTTCTTCCATATTTTCAGATATATTTATAGCAATGTTTCATTCTTGCTATCAATTGTCTGTGTTAGACCATACACCTCATTGCTAAAAAGAAATACCTAAGGTTGTGTAATTTATTAAAAAAGAGATTTTATTGGCTCCATGAAAATGGAAGAATTTCATGTTACAAATGACAATGAAAACACAACATACCAAAACCTATGGGATACAGCAAAGCTGTACTAAGAGAAAAGTTAATATTTATAAGTGCCTATGGCAAATATGTAGAAAAACACTAAAGAAACAACTTTGCCAGGTGTAGTGGCTCATATCTGTAATCCTAGGACTTTGGGAGGTTGAGGCAGGTGGACTGCCTGAGCTCAGGAGTTTGAGATCAGCCTGGGCAACATGGTGAAACCCTGTCTCTGCTAAAATACAAAAAATAGCCGGGCGTGGCAGTGTGCACCTGTAGTCCCAGCTACTTGGGAGGCTGAGGTAGGAGAATTGCTTGAAACCGGGAGGTGGAGATTGCAGTGAGCTGAGATCACACCACTGCCCTCCAGCCTGGGCAACAGAGAGAGACTCTGTCTCCAAAAAAAAGAAAAAAAAAAGAAACAACTTAATGATGCATCTTAAAGAACTAGAAAGGCAAAAGCAAATAAAAACCAAAATTAGTAAAAGAAAAGAAATAATATAGATTAGAGCACAAATAAATGAAATTGAAATGACTAAAACATTAAAAAAGGTCAATGAAACCAAAAGGTGTTTTTTTTTTTGAAAAAATAAACAAAATTGAGAAACCTTTAGACAGGCTAAGAAAAAAGAGAAAAGACTCAAGTAAATAAAATCAGAGATGAAAAAGTGTGTACTACTGGGCTACTGCTGCTAATTATTCAAGGCTCAAGGGCTTTTCAGTTAGCAGGTGATGAATACTGCCAGGACTCAGTGCTTCCCTTCAAGGCTATGGGATCCCTTCTGGCCCAGGTGTGTCTAGAAATGTTATCTGAGAGCTAGGGTCTGGAAAGGCTGCCTCACAATTCCACCCAGTGGCCTATCCTACTGTGGCTGATCTAGTATCCAAGTTGCAAGACAAAGTCCTGTTTGCTTTTTCCTCTTCTTTCCTCAAGTGGAAGGAAGGGGTTTTTTTTTGGAGCTGCAAGCTGCACTGCCTAGATTTGAGGGAAGGGTGGCACAAGCACTCCACTGGCTCCTTCAGCTGTTACCTCACTAGGTCACATGCTCCCCAAGTCCAGTGGTTCTGAACCCAACACAGCATTAGCACTTGTGCAGGAATTGCACAGTCTAGTCCTTTTGGCCTAGACTGTCTTTCAAGTTTATTTAGAACCCCAGAACACTTTAGCCCCAAGTGGCAAAGCTTATCAGAACTCAGGTTCCAACTCCTGGGATGGATGACTCCCCTCTGGCTAGGGCTGGTCTAAATGATCCCTCCATGAGCATCAGCTGAATTCTGCATGGTGTTGTTTTCCACTGTGTCAGGGCAGCATTAAATTCCAATGCAAAGTCCCACAGTCACTATGCGCTCCCTCCCCTAAACACACAGATTCTCAGTGCCACCAGGTGAAACCAGGAGGTGGAGGTTGCAGTGAGCTGAGATCACACCACTGCCCTCCAGCCTGGGCAACAGAGAGACTTTGTCTCCAAAAAAAAGAAAGAAAAAAAAAGAAACAACTTGATGCATTTTAAAGAACTAGAAAGGCAAAAGCAAATCAAAACCAAAATTAGTAAAAGAAATAATATTGATTAGCTGCTGCTGGCATATGGGGGAGAGTTGGGATTGGCAATTCAAGGCCGTCTTTACTATCCTCTTCAGTGCCTCGGTCAGTGATATGAAGTTAAAACCAGGTACTGTGATCATTCACTTGATTTTTTATTCTTATGAAGATGCTTTTTTGTGTCAATAGTTGTTCAGTTTGGTGTTCCTGTGGGGAGGATGATCGGTGGTGGCTTTGATTCGGCCATCTTACTCTACCCACCTGTCTCACACTTACTTAAATTGTGGCCAGATCACCTCACATTATTCTGTACATTAGCCTGGTTTTGACTGCACTTCACATCTCATCCAGATTAGGGTTACATTATGGCACATTAAAACCATGGGAATGCTTGCCAATTTTTGCATGTCTTCCTGAAGCAGTCTATACTTTAAAATTTCTTCCATCATTCACATTCACTTTTACATATATACATACACTCACAGATAAGTGTATATAGAGAGCACATTATATACGTTACATATATATATACACATTAAAATATCAATTTTAAGAGCATATATGTGCAATGAATAACTTGGAAAATACAGACAGTATAAAATATTTTAAATTCCAAATCCAATCAGTTTAAATCTAACAAATATTAAGATTTTTATTTTTGATAGTCCTTTTTTTTCAGAGCATATATAAAGTGCATCAAAATATACCACTGGGACATATACTTTTAAAAAGAATATTTACTTAATTTAAACAAATCTGATGAGCACACCTATATCTATTTGAAATGTACCTGAGGCTTATAAAATCTGAACAAAATAAGTTATCAGAATCATGTTTGTTGAAGTTGATAGGAATATCCAAAAACTCTCCCTTATTAACCTTTTACGTTTTTTCTATCAGCCCCAATGCTTATATAAAGCAATCTATAAGTTTATTTTTCAATTTAGTTATAATAAACTCACTGAATTGAAGGGGTATGCAGTCATGGAGTTCCCAGTATATTTTCATATTTACCTTAGATTAAGGTTTTATGCTTTATTTGATTTAAATACATATTTGAATGTGTTTATATGACACTATATCTTATAACTGACAATATTTAACATGAATTGTGCAATTAAAAAAAATCAGTCCATCTCTATATTGTGTCTCTTTCCTACTCCATTATTTTCACATCCATACCTCTTAAAACTCTCTTGTGCCCAACTATTTCCTAAAATACACTCTAAAGAAATAGTTTTCTTACTGATAAAAAAGCTTGATTGCTTTAAACAAACCAGTTACTTTTATTTTTATTTTTTCTCTCTTACACAAACATGTAAGATTTTCATAGGGGAAAATGGTAAGCCATGCAACTTTCACCTATTATGTGTTACGATTTCTGTCTCCAATAATTTCCTGTGTGATGCTCAGTAATCTTCACAGAACTATATGGAATTTATCGTTACGCTTATTTCCAGAAGCCTTGGTCTCTTCAAAACCAAAATCATATTTACTTTTGCAATTCTCAGAAACAGAAAACAAACTCTGCTCATTGAAGACTGAAGCCCATTTTCCCTCCACTTTCTAACATGTCAGTGTATATATCCATACTATATCTTTTTTCATTTGTCTAGATGTTGGTCCTCCCTAACCTGCTTCTTCCACTAAGATTCTCACTGTGGAAGATCAGATCTATTCCTGAGGATTAATGGAGGCCACAACAAGATGTGGAATAAAGTTGAAAAGCCGCAGAACACTCTGAAGTGAAGCCAGATGGTAGTGGGATTATTTTTATGTCAATGGGGCGGGAAAGCATCATCTGATTTGTCTAGTTTATGGTGGGAAATTTCAAGGTCCACGAGACTCAAATCTTGCTGCCAGAGTCACATCCCTTTCCCCTAGACTCTCTTGGCTGGCATGTCTAAGTATCTACATTCATATTTCCATCATTTCTATTATCTAATAATCCTATTTTTAAATAAAATCTTTGTTTCTCTCTTTAATCCAATACTGTGTCTCCACAACATGCAAGCGTAACTGGCTACTTCTGTAACCTACAAAAATTCGATTCACACTGATGGTTCTTCCCTACACTGATTTATTTTTCTCCTTACTTTAGTGATTCACAGCAGTGGTTCTATTTGACAACTTTGTTTTGTACATATAAATGCATAAATGAATGCACCCATGAAAGTCACTGGTGAAATTTTCATTTGTCACATAAACTGGATCATCTTAATTTTTAATTTTCTGCAGTATGTGAAAACTTTAACCATTCGTTATTAAACTCATTTGCTGTTCTTCCCCAAACTAATGTAAAACCTTAAACTGGCAAGGAACTAGGAAGTTATAATGTTTATCCTCCTTTAAAATGCAAATTTTTCTTTACCTTCAAAGTCAACCTTTGGATGAATATTCTAGTGTCTTATTTGTGATAGCAACTCATTATTTTCAAGCAAAGTGTATTTTTTCAGCAGCCTTAATTACTAGAAAAATCATGCCTCACATTGAACAAAATCAGTGTCCCAAGCTTCTAAGTTGTCTTAGGTATAATGAAAAGCACAATATATATTTCCATTCATTCTTTCAGTATTTGGAGATAACTACTGCTATTAATATGTCTTTCCTGTTGCCACCAACTCACCTGTTATTTAGGAAAAATGATTATAGTTCTCTCAGTGATTACTTATTTGATACTTTCCAGGCTTTTTACTATCATCGTAGCCCTCTTGTTAATTTTTAGTATCTTCTTTTAGTGCAGTGCCTAAAATTTAATTCAATAATTTTTGTTACAATATTAACAAAACCATTCTGGACTCTACTCCCCATTTTTCTCCGGACCACAGGATGATGGCAGCTTTCTGCTGTTGCTAATTCCTGGATTGTGTCACACTTTCTATTTGTTCTTTTAGCTCTTCTATTATCTCATTTTAAAATTTTACTTAGAACTAATACCAACTTTGACTTCCATACTGATCCTGATTTATATAAATTCAAAAATTTAAAATAAATGTTAAAAGGAAAAATAAATTACAAGGAAGCAAAACTCTAAATATAGCGAAAGGAAACAAAAGACATTTTATTAAAGAAGAATCAACAGTCTGGATGTTAGGAAGTAAGAATAAAGGGTATAATATATAGAGAGTAAAAAGTGATGTCAATATTTTAGACTTTGGGACAAAAAATGTATTGATAGAGAAAGGAAAGACAGTCAATAGAACCCAATAATTCAGTTTTTGAGTAAGAGTTGTGAGCTTGTTTTTTAGAACTGATGAGAATGCAGTGATGGTAGGTAGAAAGTTTAAGTCAAAATTGTGAGTAGACAGTAGCAAACTGTGTCAGAATTAGAGATTCAAGATTCATCCAAATAAAACTAATGTGTTCTCTAAGACATTTTGTAAGATGAAATAAGAAGCATGAATTATGAACCTTGGCAAAAGTCAGTGCTATGAGGAAAAGAAAAAGAAGAGCTGGTGCAAAATAATACACTAATATGTGAATAATTCTTTACAGCTTACAAAACACTATAAGATGCAGATGCTTATTTTGCCTTCACAGAAATCCTGTTAAGTTGGCAGTACAGATGGAACAGTTCTTGTTTATAGGCAAGGAATGAAAATGGAAGAATAAGAGAAAGAACAGCAAAACATGGAAACAGGAAGTGGAAACAAAATCAGATAGAGTCATAGAGCAGGAAGGTAGAAAAATGGTTTAAATGCTAATGACTTTATTTCTACTTATCATATAGGGAATTAGTTGAGGTGCTGAAGTATTGACACTAATTCTGAAGTACTGAATTTAATTCTGGTAATGATTATTTAAATCTAACAACAGCATTAACAGATAAGGAGAGGGTGATTAGGATAATAAATGGCCTGGAAACATACTACATTAGTAATAATTGGTTTCAGAATGTGGGTTCAGGAGGGAGAAAAATATTTCCAACTTACATTGTGGGTGAAATTAAAAGCTAAAATCCTTATGTTGTATCACTAATGCTTTGGATGGCAATTTATAACCATAGTGACACTTTCCTAAATGTTATTTCTTTGATCAGGATCTATAGAACCTGGTGCTGCCTAGTAGTGAGAATTAGAAACAGAGAGGAGATTCGCTTCTGATTATGATGAAGCAGAGATAGAAAAAAGAAAGAAATGTCTTGGCTTATATTTTACTCTCAACTTCCAATTTTCCACCAGGACTGCCATTGCCCATGCTGGAGGCCAAGGGTCATGAAAGCCTGAGAAACATAGGCTGTGAAAGTTTAACCCCTGGAATAATTAATAGATTGGATGAAAGCAAAGTAATACATCTTTGAACAAATCACAGACACCCTTTTGGTGTCATTTAATCATATCTCAGTCTCATGAGAAGGCTATTATTTTCATTTTGCTGAAAATAAGACTCAAATAAGTGCTTTTCTTCACTACATATTCTGGAATGCTACATACACTAAATTAAATTCAATAAATATTTATTATTTCAAATTTGTTATCATGACTTGCAGTATTATTTTAATATTTCTCAGGTTTTTTTTTTTGTTTCAGAGCATGTAGGAGACACTATTTGGACTCCAGTATTTTTTCTAGTAACTAAATAAATAAAAGCAAAGATAAATTTTCTGCAACAGAACATTGGTATTCAAATTGTGATTGTAATTATTTACATTATATGCATTCAAAATTAATTGGGATTTATTTAATTTAGCGGTTAATTCTACATTCCCAGGAAAAATCTAGATAAGAGAAAATTATATTGAACTATCAAATATTTGGTAAGTGGCATGTTTCCCGCATTGTCTTTGATTTATGAGTTTGAAATTTTAGGTTTTACCCTTCATTGAGATGAATTGTGCAAAGATCGTAGAATAATTTATATCTGTGCTAATGATCAGTTTTAGGATGTGGGTGGGAAAAAGGAAATCTTTCTAATTTATATTGTAGATGGAGGTAGCAGCTAAAATGAACAAACCAGTGTACAAATAACATTTACACAGCAATTTATAACAAAACACTTTCCTAAATATTATCTTTTTGTCAGAAGTCACATTAATCTTTTTTATCACTCTTTGTGTTATTTCAAAGTCTATGTTATTTCTTAGGCATTATGAGAATAATATAGAAATTTGTATACTCATATATTGTTACCTATCTCAAGTTATTTTAACACAATGTGTTTCTTTCTCTGGAAGGTAAAACGTATTAGTTTCCCAGGGCTGCCATAACAAATTGCCACAAACTGTAGGCCTTAAAACAACAGAATTGTATTATTTTCTCACAATTTTGGAGTCTGGAAGTTTTATATCAAAGTATTGGTAGATCCATATTCCTTCTAGCATCTTAAAAGAGGAATTTTCTTGCCTTTTTGTAGCTGTTGGTGTCTCTAGACAATCCTGGCCTTGGCCTATAGCTGTAACACTCCATTTTCTGTCCCTATCTTCGCATGGTCTTCTTCCCTGTGTGTGTGTCTCTGTGGCTTCTCTCCTCTTCCTATGAGGGTGCCACTTATTGGATTTAAGGCCCATCCCAATCAAGCATGATCTCTTCTTAACTAATTACATCTGCAAAATCCCTATTTACAAATAAGGTTACATTCATGGATTCCAGGTGGACATGAATTTTCAACACTGTTTAATTCAGTAATGTAGTGATTTAATTTAGAAATCAAGTCTAAAAGTGGCAGTGACCAAAACAAAGAGGGCAAGAAAGCAATAGAGTAAAAGAAGTCTGCAACCAGGAATGAGGCTTTGCTTCCAGTAATTCATCACCAAAGCATCCTAGGAATCTATCTGAGAAAGAAAAAACTTATAACTCAATTGAAGTTGCATCTATAAAATATTTTTTCTAATTAGTTATATCACTGCTAAAGCATTAATTAGGCAAAAGTATATATGTCTCTTAAAATCAGCATCCATGTTTACCTAAAGGACTTGTAAAGATGGGAAGTAAAACATCCATGATATTTTTAATTAGTATTTTTAATTAAAAACATCAAATCTCTGTAGTTTCCTAGTCCACAAATAATAGCTGTAAATTTGAATGAATTTATATTTTGTAAATGCAGGTGTGTGGGTGTACATTTAGGAAAAATTATACTCTGATTGCAAATTAATAGTATTTACATTTAATTGAATAGGTTAAATAGTTATCTATAAAAGTAAGTATTATTTGGAAAAAACATTCATTTTATACTCTCCATGAATCTGACAAAAAGTTGCTGCTTACTATATATGTGAACTTTGTGTTTTCTATGTTTTCCTAAGTATTTTTGGTCCATCTTGGGGCATGCAACACTAAGGATGTCAGTTAAAGAAATTGATTTGAGTTGGTTTCTCAATTTCTCAAGCCACTGTAAAAGTTCTGCACCATTGCTCAGACTATTATATGAGAGAGAAATACATTTTCACCTTGTTTAAAATCATTGTATTTTGTTATCTCATATTACAAGAACCTAGTCAGCTTCATATGTAATTTTGAGTATTCAAATATCAACTAAGTTGTTTTGTTAAACAAAGGGAAATTTAGTTTGAGTCTGCAGTTTTTTTTCAGTCTTTCTTCTCCCCCTAAATAATGACACATTGAAAACGCAATCGCATGGAACTATACTAAGCCTAAGCAAAAAACTGTTGTTTGTGCCTGGCTGGCTTCAAAATTGCTACGGACCAGTGACTGCTGCATCTCCCACATCCTACCTTTGTGGATAGCTTGTCTATTAAGCTTATAGTATGTCAATTCTGCTATTGTTTGTTGGGAGAATAGGAGAAAGATATGGCTTATTCAATTTTTTTTTTTTTTTTTTTTTTTTTGAGATGGAGTCTCGCTCTGTCACCCAGGCTGGAGTGCAATGGCACAATCTCGGCTCACTGCAACCTCTGGCTCCAAGGTTCAAGCGATTCTCCTGCCTCAGCCTCCAGAGTAGCTGGGATTACAGGCACCCACCACCATGCCCAGCTAATTTCTGTATTTTTAGTAGAGGCCGGCTTCACCATGTTGGTCAGGCTGGTCTTGAACTCCTGACCTCAAGCAATCCACCCGCCTTGGCCTTCCAAAGTGCGGCTTATTTGTTTAATTTACAGTTTTTCAGGTTAAGAGAAATCAAACTTCAGCAACCAAACTCAAGCAACCTCATCTGCAGCTGAATCTAATTTCGATTATGAAAACTTGGGCTTTACGCCTGATTCTGTAATTAAATGCAACTTAAAATGGGTGTTATGTGTTGAAAGTGGAAACTTGTATTTTATACATATGAGAAAAGTAAATAAATTGAAGTCAAAAGGCAGGCTATGGTGGTTTTAAAACATGGACTGTAATTTTCTGACATTTTTCTTATTGAGTGGTAGGGTCTGTGTCCCTTCCCTTGAATCTGGTTGGGCCTGTGACTGCTTCAACCAATAGAATAAATTAGAAGTGACACTCTGTGACTTCTGAATCCAAGTCATTAAATGCATGAACTTCCTGCTTTTTTCACCAGAGTGCTCACTTTTGGAGCCCTGAGGCTTCATGTAAAAACCTGGATACTAGTGAATGGCAAATCATGAACTCGTAAGCTGACAATATTCTAAGCATCTGTACTCTAGAATTCTTACAACTCACCTAACCATATTGGGTGCTGGAGAGTGTCAGCTAACTACTTTCCAGGTAAAATTCATCTTCTGATTTGGGTTGAGGCAACCCAGGCCATAAAGGTTTCTGGACTCCAAGATTTGCTTTAGTATTACCAATATCTATTCTATTAGGCTCTAACAGCTAGTTACATTTGTTTTATATCCCAATGGTAAGTAATACCCTGACAGAAGAAGGTCCTGTAAGAAAAACCAATAATAGACTACCTAACCAGAGGAGATGATAGGATTAGTGAGTGCTTTTTGTAGAGGACATTACACAGCATTAACTTCCCCCCAAAAAATCATTCTATGATAATATTTTTTAGTCTTAATTTTGCTTACTAGACATCTTAGCCAATTTCTGCAACTGCGTGATAGTGGAATGGCTTTCTATGGGAAAATAAAGACTGTGTAATAATTAGAATCTGTTTAGATCTTGAATTTGTGCATCAACTTTTTCATCACATATAGGAAGTGTCTGGCCGTCACCTCAAATGTTTTTTCAACCATTTCTCTTTCTGTTCATTTTCCAGGACTCCCACTGTACATGTGTTGGTAAACTTGATGGTGTATTACAGGTTTCTAAGGCTCTGTTTATATTTCTTTATTCTTTTCTGTTTCTCAGCTTGGATTATCTATTTTACTTTATCTTCGTATTCACTGATTATTTTTGGCATGTCACATTTGCCGTTAATCTCTAGTGAATTTTTATTTCAATTATTTAGCTTTTTAACTCCAAGAGTTTGGTTGGTTGTTCTTTATAATTTTTATTAATTGTTGTTCTGCATTTGATAAGTTCTTATTTCCCATCCATACCTTCGTTCTTTGCACATAGTCCCCTTTAGTTCTCTAACCATATTTATAATATCATGTTTGAAATTTTTATCTGCTAAATCCTTCATCAGTGACACTTCAAGACCATTTCTGGTTAGTTTTGTTCCCTGAGTGCATAAGTTACAGTTTTCTGTTTCTTTGTGTATCTCATTATATTTTGTTCAAAATTGCATATTTTAGCTAAAATATTGTTGCAACCCTAGATTCTAATCAGTGCTGATTTTGTTTGTTTTGTTTGTTTGTTTCAACTAATTCAATAGAGTAAGTCTACCCCAAATGAATTGCCACTGAAGTCTCTGCTCAGTTTCAAAATTTTTATTATTATATTTTTAATTGACACATAGTAATTGTACATATTTAAGGGATACAGTGTGGTATTTCAAGTCATGTATACAATGTTTACTGATAAAATCAGGGTAATTGCTATATCCATCACCTCAAGCATTGGTCATTTTCCTGTATTGGGAACAATAAAAAATCTATCTTCTAGCTATTTGAAAATATACAATAAATCACTTAACTATGATTACCCTACAGTCCTATAGAACACTAGAACTTATTATTCCTATCTAGCTGCAATTTTGCATTAATTAACTGACATTTACATATTTCCCATCCCTCTATACCTCCCAGCCTCTAGTAACCACTTTTGTATTCTCTACTTCTGTAAGATAAACATTTTAAGCTTCCACCTGTGAGTGAAAACATGGAGTATTGTCTTTCTATGACTGGCTTATTTTATTTAAGACAATTTTAATGCTGACTTCCTAGGGGTTCCTTTAAATCAGCACAGCTTAGTCATCAGCCAATGATTGGTGAGTAGTTATACTTAAAATTATTGTGCAAGTAGTCTTTTACTATTTGCTGATAGATTTGTACATGAATTAGGAACACATTCAAATTTCAATGTTTTTGCAATTCTTCCCCAGGCTTTAGTTTCTGCATGCTTATGGCCTCATAGTTATCCACATACAAATAGATGAATAAAGCTGTCTCTGTTTTTGTTTCCTGATTGTGCAGAGAACCTTGCACAAGTGCACAGAATTCTATACTACCAGGGTTATATGAAATCTTATCAGGGCTCTTTATACCAGTCCGGTTACCCAGAACTTCCTGTGAACTTTTTGACTCTTCTGATGGTCTGTGCCCCAAACTATCATGGCAAAGTCTAAATGTGATGTTGGCCCTCTCAGATTGTTTACTGTTATTCTGGAATTGTTTTCTATGGTTTCAACTGTCTTTCCTTGTGTGGACTTTTCCATGTTCTCATATCAGATCAAATCAGGTCTTTTTGTCAATAAGGATGCAAGTTCCTGTGGTCTGCACTTTCTCCATGCACTGAAGACACAGTGGGGAAGATGGTTACCACACCAGGCTAAAACACTACAGACTCCCACCGTTCTTACAGAAGTTCAGGACTTCATCTTGAGTAAACATTTCTCAGTTTTTTATGCCTTTGATCAATGTCCAGAATCCTAATGTAATTGTTTTTGACAATTTTGTCTATGTTATTACTTTTTGGAGAGAGTATTTACAAGTTCCTTACTCATCCATTCTAGAGGCGCCCCCTACTCACATATTTAAAATACAGCTTGCAAATCCCAATCACCTAGCACAGTGCCATGGACACAGGAATTATCCTATGCTCTTAATTGAATGTATATGTTTGTTTGCATTTGTAACAAGCATTTGTCCACTTGTATTTAATGTCTAAAATATGTTTCTCTTTGTTGATCACTGTCCTTCCTGCATCATTTTTAAAAACTACTAGAACAGAATACACTCTTGATTTCTGCTTAACCCCTTGTTATTAACTTCTGTCACCTTAGCTGACTCTTTCTCTCATGTCAGTCTTTTATATGTTAGAGATTTCTAAAAGCTTGATCTTCAGTCTTTTTCTGTTCTGCTTGCTACCCTTTTTCTGAGAGACATAATCCACAAATCTAGATTCAACTGCCCCTCCCTCTCCCTCAATTGCAGATGATAGTAATGTTCAGGCCACAACTATGAACTCCACGCTTCCAGCACTTTGCAGTCTGATTGACACCACCTTTCTGATGCCATAAATATCCCTCACCCGCTATATATTTAAGTTTGAACTTGTTTTATTCCTACCAGAAGTGAACCTCTCCAAGTTCCAATTAATGAAATGGCATCACAATCTATCAATTCAAACCATTACATAGCACATAGGCTATTCTTGCAATTGTGCCTATTTGTGGTTTCCCAAGCTGGTCATCACTACAATGACTTTCATTGATGCTTTTAACTCTACTGCAAGAGTATATGATGTAATGTATAAGCCTTCTCATAAAAAATTAATATGCCCTTCCAAAATTGTTCAATCATAAGCCCAATTTTTAAAAAACAGCATTTTAGTGTTGTCCCCATAACTAATGTAATGTACAACTATCACTATACCAGAAGAGTAAAAGGATACAAACCTTAACACAGTGCTGTTAAAAGGTACGAGGTTTTTTGGTTATGATATTATGATATTAAAATACAAAGACGGCAATATTAAGAACTGTTCTGAGATAATCGTTTTCCCATTTAGAAGAGTCTAACTTTCCCATGTATTTTAGATTAGCATTATGTCTATATCTCTATCAAAGCATTTAAGAGTCATATAGATGTCTGGAGAGGTTCCCAAAGAGGTTGGTAACAATTAGTAAGCAGTAAATAAATTAACAAATATATAAAAATAAATAGTGCTATAAAATGAACTGCTAAAGAAGTATAAAGGGGGTTTTACAGCAGTTTTGAAACAGAATTACATTATCTTTGTGTTAACATTCAATCCAATAGCTCAAAATCCCATCAAGGATTATAACCATAATAATCTCGATGAGTGATAGAGGAGGTGTCGTCATTGCAACTACACAGATGAAAACAATTGTGGTTGAGGACAGCTGGCTCTTACAAAGACACAGAATTATTGTGGAGGAGAATTTCTGCTTCTAAATGTTGATCTTTTTTACTCTAATAGCAATTACATAGGCAATTGTTATACTCATTTGCTCACTGTAAAAACTGGCAAAATTTTTCAATTAGCAAAATTGATATAATTTAAATAAAAAATCTTGTTTAAATTAAAAATAATGGATTAATTTGCTCAACAGTGTTTGAATGAGCCCGTGTTCTAAACATAAATCTGTCTCAGGAATTAAGTTGCACACAATTAAGTGTTTTTGAAATACTTCAGTCTTTTAGGGCAGAGGTAACTCTACATAGTGTTCAGTAAACCTTAACACCCTTAACAATGAAAGAGAGGATTTTGGGCCCTTTCAGAAACTTTGACTTTTCTCATTCCACTAACATATCAGAATATAGGAACCAACAAGTATTTTAAAACCAAGCAAACTTTTAAAGAAACACAGCTTCAAATACGTATTATTCACTCATTTTCAGAATTAAAAAATAATAATTTTTATCAAAAGCAGTGGTGATACTCCAATTAGCAATAAGGAGAAGTAATTTCTTAAATATTTATCATTCTAAAACATTGAAGTTAATTTTTAGGAAAAAAATCTGAGGGAGCTTATGACTATTTCTACCTAGATTGATAGAGATGGAATCTGAATTAAATTAGAGAGGATATCATTAAGCCTAAAATATGATGTCATTGTTTAATCTTAAAAAATTTTTTGTACCCTCTTTATTTGATATTACATTCTAATATTAATAAGTAGGTGGTTGTTTATTCTGTCACTATATCTTTCAAAGATCCTTCTGCCACCTGTGGTCTCTAGATAGAGGACGTTTTTGGTGGAAGAAGGTCAACACATTTGGGGACTGAAAAATAAGAATAAAATAAAATCTTGCTTTTGTACCACTTCAAGTGATTTATTTTACTCAGCAGGTTTCTCATATTGGCCTGGGAGTTGATATTGCCCCGTGAGCCAAGCTGGGTTGGCTGCAGAAGATCCTTAGAAGTGCCAGACTCACAGTGATCCAAAAACAACAACTATCAAATCAATTGCCTCTATGCTTCTGGCAATGGCTGTGGGCACTCAGCACCACCTGAAAATTTTATATTTGGTTGACGAACAAATAGAAGGTGGAAAAACATGGAGTAACATAATATTTGGCTCAAGGATAGAAAACAATAAGTTATTTAAACAATGAATATAAATTATACCAAAATTAAACAAAGGAAATGAATAAATTACTATTTGGCAGGTGATATGATGGTTGCTATCTGCTATCACACGGCATGTCATGGAATCACCACAATTGCTATATGAACATTTTTACTTTTTACAGTTGAGAAAATGAGCCTAGATATGTAAATACTGCCCTAATTATTCATGGGTTCCACATCCATGGATTCAACCAACCACAGACCAACAATATTTAAGTATATACTGCATCTGTACAGAACATGTATAGATTTTCTTGTCACTGTGTCCTAAACAACACAGCATAACAAATATTTACATAGCATTTACATTGTATGTGGTATTATAAGTAATCTCGGGATGATTAGTATATATTGGAGAATGCACATAAGTTATACACAAACACTACATCATTCATGTCAGGAACTTGAATATATGCAAATTTTGATAGCTGGAGGTCCTGGAAGCAATAATCCCCAGGGGATACCCAGGGATGACTGTAATTTGCTAAAAAATGTATATTAGGTAATTACCAAGTTGTTATGTGAATGAACAAATTAAAAATATGTGTGTTGTGTGGCAAAATTAGGAGCAGAAGAAAATATATTTACTTGTTTCATATATAAATTCAAACTTATTTCCAATTCACCATTAATTTTAATGTAGAATTAGGGGAACAAATAATCATGTAATTTAAACCAACCCTAGATTTTTACAAGTATAACATAAATACATACTTAAAATTATTTTATTTCAGACTTCATATGCTTGAAATTGATTTAATCTATCTGTCTTTTGTTCTCTGATTGCATTTTTATGTACCACTTTTTCAACTTAATAGAATCCATCCTTCCTCAGGATTGGATATGTGTACATTAGGCTGTAGCAATTACAAGATGCTATTTGTTGAGAATAATCATGGCTTCAGTCTCAATATAAATGCCTTGCAAATCTGTATCTCTAATTAGAGTCTTCCTGATACCTAGTTTCCTATCTATAAATACTTACTGAGCATGCCTGTTAAGTTACTTATTACTATTAATCTAGCAAGCAAATAACCCATAACTCTCCTTCTTAAAAGGCCTTCCTTTTTGTCTTCCTTATTAGAGGGACAGCCAATAGCTCTGGCTAAAAAAGGATAAAATAAAATATCAGAAGGTTTTGGTTTTTGTTTTGTTTCTTTTTTTTCTTTTCTTGTGTCTGTGTGTGTGTGTGTGTGTGTGTGTGTGTGTGTGTGTGTGAAACTGGCTGAAAGGGAATTAGAGAAATGTGTACTCAGTAACACATGTCCTTGGGCCATGTGAAATTAGAGATCAGAACAGTAGAAATAAGAGTGAGTCCAATGTAGTTTGATTACAGAAGGGTGACCCCAAATGATAATATAACTCACTTGTATTCTTTAGTAGGGGAGGTCGTGCAGGTGAAGAGAGATGTTTTAAAAAGGTAGAAAATATAGGTAATCTACAGGCAATCCACGGTTGCTTAAAGCAAGCCTTAATTTTATTTATATCAAGATAATATATTTCTGTGTATTTTGCTTTATGTATAAATATGAGTATGCAAATTTTTTATTAAGATTTGAAGTTGGAAAAGTCAAAATGTATTATATCTCTTAACTGCTTCTCTGCCTCAAAAAATTACTATTTTCTCAAGAAAACAGGTGTGAAGAATAATTCAAAATTTTTCATCAAGGATTATATCTCATCTAATGATCAAGTAGCACTCAAGTGAATTTCTTAAAAATAAAAGAAATCATAAAGGGCCACTAAGCTTTGCAATCTAATCTTGCCATGAAAGGAAATTAAATGAAAAATCAATTTTCCAGGGAAAACTCACCCTTACTCTACAGATTAGTTGTAGCACATATATGCACAGCACAGAACAAAAAGAAAAGGACAAGCAGTTGGTATACTTCAGTTCAAGAGGTAGATGTCTCAAGGACTATCCAGTTGATTTAAGGCCATGAATAAGCCATTTTCGGGACTGGCCATATAGTAAGAAATCAAAAGTAAAAGTCTGCATGTAGCTTTAGTATTAGAAAGACCTCATATTGCTGACATGTTTTCTTCATGCCCTGATTGCTGATATGTTTTCTTCATGGGCTGATTGCTAATACATTTTCTTCTGGCATAATGGTTTAAACTTCAGAGTCTTGGCTCTTTTGATCTGTCCTGCTTTTTTTCTTTGCGGAAAAAAGGATAATTCAAGGATCTATGTAGCTCTTATATAGTATAATGTTTGTATTACTTGTTTTCTAGTTTTATAGTGAACCTATGAACACCAACTTAAGCAAAGGTATGAGTCTGGCCACAATTAACATGTTACATTATGAGTAACATTCATTATATTGCCCTTTGAATATGGAAGCTGGAAATATTTGTGTTTTTAGATGTTTCTTGGTTTGGAATCTAGAATATTATTCCAAACATATGCCCAAATCTGTTATTAAATTTATAACATGACCTGGTGGAAATATTAGATCATTTCTGTGGCTCCGTTGAACTAATAGAAAAAAAGTATAATAAAAGTGTTAAGATATATAATCATATAAATGTTTGAAAAATAGCCACCTCTGGTCATGCTGCCTGGTCTTTTATTATCAAATGCCCCAGGTACCTAAGCACATAATTGCAATCATTGATTCAACAAATAAATTACTGTTTCTATGCACAGACACTGTCCAAGGTGCTGAAGAATTACAAATAAATCAGGTTTTATCCATTCCTCAAAGACAAAACCACTGAAGAAATTATTGAAAGTGTTATGATAGAAATAAGGAGAACCATGAGGGAATAATATAAGTAGTGAACAAGTAATTTATTTTTATTAATTTTAATTTTAATACAAAATTTAGATTTAAGCAATCACTTGTTTCAGCAGTGAAATACTCTCATGGGTCAGACTCTCCTGCTAGAATTTAGGTAGTAGCTCATTTTACAACTACAGCAAAATAAGCCAAACAGTTTGTGCTGCCAAATAAGAAATCTATAAATTCAAAAGATTAGTGTCAGGCCTAGGGCTTTTTCATTTACTTGAACTGCACAAAACTTAAGTTGCACGCCCAGGTTCACTTTTTCCACATGGAGAGTTCAATCAAATGCAAGGATTAAGTCTCCAAGTATTGAAGTGAAGCATTTCTTTTCTCTTATAGTTAATAGAATTAGTAATGTGCACATAAGAGGAGAGGTAATAATAATTCTATTGAAGTTCAAGTCAGAAACCACTCTATGATAAAATTGCCTGAATGTCAATAATAATTCACCTGGACAAATAACTATTATCTTAACACTAGAACTTTTTTATTTCCCTGAGAATATTTAAGCCATTTTTGAGGCCAGTAATAGAGAAAACTAAGAATATGATTTTAACTATTGCATGTATAGAAGTCTTCATTAACTATTAATGCCATTAAAGCAAATATGTAGATTGCTGTTATTTGTTTCAGAGAATCAAAATGCTTACACATTTAGCAACAAGTTATAAAGGTGAAACTTAAATGAAAAAGAATCATTTATATTTTTCCTTATAATTATACTAGATAGAGCATTAATAAACAGCAATGCTTTAAAGAAAGTTTTACTTTTTAATAATGAAATTTAATGTTTCCATTTTTTTTGTCCATCTCAGTTTTACAGACAAAAATACTAAAATTAACGGACTTACTCCAAGCTATTAGTAAAGTCTCTTTGAAGTTTCCACTTTACATAAGTCTTTTTTTTACATTATCATAGAGAAATTGAATACTACAAAAGGAATATGTCAGAATTATTTTAAGAATAAAAATATCCTGCATGCAAATTGCAGGATATTTAATGCTTCTCTCATGAATTCCACTTATGAATATCATTGATGAATCTCTGCAGAAGTTATTTTTTGAATAAACTTCATTAAACAAACACAAGTACAATTTATTTGTTTGCAAAAACCAAATAACAAAGAGAAATAAAATTATTGAAATAATAAATTTATGAAATTTTAATCTCTCCACCTCTAAATAAGAATGTTGTAGCTTACTGCTATTTCTGTAAATTTATCTTAGGAAGTTCTGTTCCAATTGGCTTAAATGCAGTTTTGTTTCTGTTTTTGTTTTATATTTTTTTAGTGTTTACTCATTTATAAGCTGTAGTTTTATCATATGTATTATAATGTGCAAATTAATTTAAAAAGCAATTATTTTAGCTTTCAGTCATACTCTCTGTGGAAAATAATTATATTAATATTTCAGATTAGATTTTTTTATAAAATGTATTCTCTACAGAATTAACTGTTCAATAATTGCTTTTTATTGTTTAGTGCACCATATTTTCAGGATACATTTCAGGTTTTTCAACAACTTTATTTCAAGCAACTTAAAAATTACTGCCTGTACTCCTTTTCAAACCAAGTACTTGTCCAAATACCCATGGACTTCAGTATGAATCAGTTCTAGTTGAGTGACAAATTATTTTACAAGCCAGCAAATCTCAGGAAGTCCGAGTATCTGTTCTGGTCATATATTGTCCACTAATTCAATTCATCTTTTCTGTTAGCTTATTTTTAAAGGTTAAATCCAGTTGTGGTACTATAAAAAATATTTTATTTTCTCTATACTTAAGGATGCTCAGAAAGCCATAAGCATAAAGAAACATAAAATATTTTTTCTATAGTTCCACAACTGGCTTCACAGTGGCAATAAAAAAAGAATCATATCAGTGGTCAATATATGACTATATATTTGAATACATATATTTAGAGTAATTGTCTTTTAATAACTGTCTTTGACTTTTTTATTATAAAGGAGAATTTGTAAAAGCATTTTATGAAACTAGGGAAATCATTAGAGGGAACCTCTCTGTGCCCTCAGTAAGTTGCTGATGTTCAGGGTACCTGACTGAATTGTTTTGACCAGGAAATATTCATCTATGCTTAAAGATGCCACTGTATCAGAGAAGTCAAAATAAAAATAAAAACAAATAATAGGCCGAGGGTGGTGGCTCACGGCCTGTAATCCCAGCACTTTGGGAGGCTGAGGTGGGTGGATCACAAGGTCAGGAGATCGAGACCACCCTGGCCAACACGGTGAAACCCCATCTCTACTATAAATACAAAAAATTAGCCGGGCGTGGTGGCGGGCACCTGTAGTCCCAGCTACTTGGGAGGCTGAGGCAGGAGAATGGCATGAACCCGGGAGGCAGAGTTTTCAGTGAGCCGAGATAGCGCCACTGCACTCCAGCCTGGGTGACAGGGCGAGACTCCTTCTCAAAAAAATAAATAAAAAAAAAAAAAGTAAATAAATTTTAAAAAATAACAACAACAATTACAAACATTTAATAGTGCATTTTCTGGGAGCTGTCCTCGTATAATGTCCCTCCCATTTAACATAAAATAAACTGAGGCACAAGTAATTTTGGTCAAGTTTATACAGCAACTAAATGGCATAGCTGCAATTTGAACCCAGGCAAAATTGAATCCAGATGTTGCATTTTTAAACATTATTCTTAAGGATTATCAGATATCAAAGAGTAGGCATGAGTGGGTTAGGGACATTGGTATGAAGGACCCCCTTACTGGAGTTTGGAAGTTTCCCCTGTGAATATTTATTTTAACCTTAATTAATTTTCCCTCTGCTTCTGTGGTTTTCTTTGCTTTAATTTTAAAGAAATATAAACAATTGATGTTGATCCTCATTTTTAAAAATTAGTTGATGCATTCTTTCCTGAATGCCTATTAATATACTATGTAACCTATTGTATTTTTTTATTTGAAAAAAGCAGTAAGACAAAGGCTTAACTACAAATAGAATGTCCTCATTCAGTGATGTAAACACATACACACAGCGATTACAATTGGCTGGTGATCAGGCATCCAAGATATTAGTACCGGTTCTGGCTATGACACTAGCTTCCCTTTTATACCTTAGGAAGAAAAATTAGAGTACTAATACCTTGGATGTCTGATCTCCAGTCTAATTTAGGGCATAATAAGGTGCTTAAGTAGGTGATATTTATATCTTTGTTTCAAATGTTCTACTTACAAGTAGTTTTGACTCTGCTCTATTTTTTCTACCCTATGGAAATGTTGTAATTAGTATGCTGAACTAAACTAAATATTCTTCTATGCATGAGAATGTGAATTAGTCACAATTAAAGCACCCTCATGCATTTATAGGATCCTTCCTGTGATTCTTGGACAATAATACCAATAAGTGAGAATGTGTCTATGATATGCTGAAATCATTAGGGAATAAACAGAGAGCACATAACCTCTTAAATTTCATATAAAAATTCTTGCTGACCTTGGATATATTAATATAGATATAGACAGAAATATAGGTACATATTTAGTTCTTAGTGCCACTGAAATGGGCTGCCTGTTGTAAAAATTTTTCCTTTACAAGGATGAAAATGAACATCAATACTACCTAAATGCTATTCTGATAAACTGACTAAATAAAAACAATTAAAACTCTAGGCATAATAGAAAATCAAAACTTCCAAATAGGGTGGCATAGTTTAGAAAACTATAATGTCAGTAGTCAGCAACTTTAGAAAATTTGCAAGTCATATAAATGATTTGCCTGCATAAAATACTTTTTTTCTTCCTCCTCAGCTGAGAAACAACTAAGTACCATATGTTGAAACAAAAAATTATCTTGCTGATTTCAAAAATAACCACTTTTTAAAAGCCACTATAGAGATACCATGGGAATTTAAAAATGGCATTTTCTCTGTCCTATATAGAAAAGAAAGCAAAGCATAAGGTGATTGCATATGATCATCTCTTACCCTCTGTATTAAAATGCTCAAAAGAAAATGGGTTTATATTATGAGCATGTAAGTCTAGGTGAGATTGTGGGAAGAAAGGCAACTTTGGAATTTGTAAATCAGAGAGTTTTCCAGATTTCATTTTAGTACAATAAATACACATACTGCAGACTATCAAAATCTTCATACATCAACACTTATCAAATATTCATTGAGAATCTGGTTGCCATATTTTGTTGATCTTATTTTCATAGTGAATGTAGCCTCTAAAACAGTTTGAAGAAGCTAATTAAAGTGGAGTTTAATATAATTATTTGTAGACCAAATGGATAACAGATCAACAAACTGGATCTTTTAGAAGAAATTGGAAGTATCAGCTTGAAAAACCCAAGGTTACAAACCAGAAATCATTTGGGAAAAATAGAGTTTATAAAAGACAATAAACAAGATATGGAATGCATAGTGTATTAGTCCCTTTACACACCGCTGTACAGAAATACCCAAGAAGGGGTACTTTATAAAGGAAGGGGGTTTAATTGACTCACAGTTCTGAATGGTTGGGAGGCCTTAGGAAACTTACAATCAGAACAGAAGGCAAAGGAGAAGAAAAGGCGCGTCTGAAATGGCGGCAGGTGAGAGAAGCAGGGGAAATGTCAGATGCTTATAAAACCATCAGCTCTCGTGAGAACTCACTAACTATCACATGAACAGCAGGGGGGAAACTGCCCCCATGATCCAATCACCTCCCACCAGGTCCCTCCCTTGACACGTGGGGATTATGGGGATTACAATTCAAAATGACATTTGGGTGGGGACACAGAGCCAAACCATATCACATCGCATCTTACTTCTATTAAGAAAATATGCCTCAATTTTCCCTTGGTTTATGCCTCACTTCTTCCTTTCTTCCCTCTCATTTCCTTCAGAGTTTGTTTGCTTGCTTGTTTTTTCATCAAACACGAGGATACATTTCTGGCACAACTTACTGGTTCCTCACAGTTTAATGTATCCTACAAATATAAACAGATTTCCATGTTAAATGGTAACTCATCATTTGTCAACAGATCAACACCTATATTAGAATTGACTTACTGCCTTCCAAAGCAGAGGAGAAAACACAACTCAAATAGGCCTGTCACTGGGAAAACCTTGCCTAATCCCTCCAGGTATGAGCATAAGTAGGCTTTTATTATAGTACTTCCTCATAGGCCTATTAAAGCAATTTAAGAAAAATCAATTCAGCTTTGTCAAATGATCTTTATATTTCCTACATTAACATACTATAAATGAGCTCAGCTTTTAAAACATTAAACTCAGATCTGTCCACAAGTGCTAGGTTTATTGATTTATCCAATCTCTAGAACTGTGCTGTTCTGTGTGATAGCCACTACCTGCATGATGCTATTTAAACTTTAATTATAAGTAATTAAAATTAAATACAATTAGCTGGGCATGATGGTGTGCACCTGTAGTCTCACCTACTCAGGAGACAGAGCAGGAGGATTGCTTGAGCCCAAGACCAAGAGTTTGAGACCAACCTGGGCAGCATAGTGAGAACTCATCACTAAAGAATAAATAATAAATAAAATTAAAAAATAAAAAAATACAATTAGATTCTGTTTTTCAGACACTCTAGCCACATTTCAAGTGTTTAGTAGTCACAAGCAGCTAGCAAACATTATATTAAACATCAATATTATAGAATATTCCTATCTTTACAGAAAGTTCTATTGGACAGACCTGCTCTAATATATTTTTAAAATTTATTCCAATCTATTATTCTACTATCACTTACTTTTCTATAACTGAGATCATATAGACCCTCATTATAGAGTTGTACCTACACTTTTAACCTTTTGACTCCTTCTGCTATTCATTTCCCCATTTATAGAAATGTCAAACACTGTATCAACATAAACTTCCATCTTTTATTTGCCACACAAATGCTGAACAATGCAATAGAAAAATCAAAAACAAAAATGATGTGGAGTGAACTACAATAAGTTCATCGTTTTCATTTTCACTTGATCAGCCTGAAAACACATATAATTAGGCCCCCATCACATTCCCAACAGTCAAGTTATTCTAAATCTCTTCTGACTCTTCTTAAGATTTTTCACTTCTTTCTGCAAGTATATTAGCTTCTGTGAAACATCAAAGATAAGTATAGCCAGAACACGTATTCAGTTGTTTTCCTACTGTTGGGACTTCAAGGGATGTGGGGGATGAGTAAGAAAGAAAGATATAAACAACAGGTTGCAGTAGATCACACAAGCTTGATTTGGGGGACTCTTTGAAAAGCTTGCATGTGAGGAGAGTCCCTCAGAGCATGAAACTCTCAAGACCATGGCAACATGGGGGCCACCATCCAGAATGGAAGGAGCACAAAGGGACTCCTCGAGGAGAAGGGGATTGGAGAGGAGGGTTATGTGTCTACATAATGTTTTTTAGCAGCACGGTGGGAAGTCTTTGGGTCAGAGAGCTCCAATGGGATGCAGTAGCTTGTGTCTTTATAACCCTGGGTTTTACATTATCTTTGGTTAGCAGATGTTGGGCACAAATTTGTGGGTTATGCAAAGCAGGCAGGCTCTAAATGGCTAAAAATATGCTTATTTTAGCAATGCTAAAACAATTGGATGTATAAAAATCTGAGTTTGGCATGAGCAGGCTTTTGAGCTAACAGGTCTGAGCTTGCTGTGAAGAAATAAACAACTTTGAGACCAACATGCGAAGGCCATCCTAGCTCTCTTTTATAACACCTACCTACTTAAAACATCTACATCCCCCACACAGGCCTTCTTTCTTTGAACTTTCATTGATGAGGACCTTTCCTTTTTTGCAAAACTGTTACCTCTTTTGGTATCTTGGATTCCAGACTTCTTGATTCCTTGGGAAATGAGACTTACCAATAAGGCCTTCCTTCATCTGGAATATCTAGGTAAAAATATATGAGATGCATTCAACCCTCCTAAACTCCTGTAGAAGAGAAAAAACTAAAGGTTTATTGCTTATATTAAATTTAAATAATTATTATTTCTTACAGCATTCTAACTAATATAGCTGCTAATGGTAGTAGAAGTAGTAGTAGTATTTCACACTATCTTCAAAACTGAGTGTTCTTGCCTACAAAATTGAGGGCAGTTGGTGATTTTTTTCTGTTTTTAGTGTACTTATTATTTTTCTTAGCCCCGCTTCCAACCATATACTATTAGGTAAGTACTTACTTCTTTTTCCTAGTATATTTTTCCTGTTTTCCTTTTGGAACTGAAAAAATGCATATATAATAACTTCCTTATATTTTACTAAATTATTTGCTAGCATTCCAAAGGTTTGCAACATATGTCCCTGATCTTTTACTTCTGATTCACTTCTACAATTCCCTTTTTACGTTTCCTCTTTTACATTGTGTCATATTTTTAATTTTAATTCTCATTTTTTAGTTATTTTCCATTTTTTCTTCTCCCTTTCTTGTGTATTTTTCCTTTTAGTTTGTCTTAGACATATATAGAACTTATTTAATAGAAGTGACACAGCTGATTTATATGTACGTTTATATTTTTTTCATTTATCTCATTATTTCCCTGTTATTTCTTTTAGCAGTCACACATTGCTTTTTCTCTAAAAGTTGTATATTCTATGTTCTGAACAGTTTATTTAGAGCTCTACACATTCTCACATATCTAGTTTTCCAATAGCTTCTCTTCTGTAATGCATAATTTTTTAAAGTCAAACAAAACAAAATACACTAATCAAATAGAAGCACTTTTTTTTCCTAAAATAACAGTGAACACAAATTATAAAAAATTATATGAAAACGCCTAAAGAAAAAATACAATTTGCTTTAACTATGACATTGATATGGAAGGGAGTTGCTGGGAGGGGAAGGGCAGGGTTCCTTTAAATGATACAGAAGGAGAGAAGTGCTGGATAGAGGAGGGTGTAGTCCCTGGCTAGGGCTCCACCGCTGGGCTTGTGCCCAGGAACCTAGGTGATGACAGGTACTTCTGTCTTCATGCCCAAATGTTGCATTTCCCAAGACCATCCTCGCCTGCCATGCCCCCATCCTGTGCCTATAAAACCCCTGGAGACCCTAGTAGGCAGACACAAAAGTGGCTGGACGTCAAGAGGAGCTGATCGGCTAAAGAAGACACAGAGGCAGGCTGGGTGCGGTGGCTCAGGCCTGTAATACTAGCACTTTGGGAGGCCGAGGCGGGTGGATCATCTGAGGTCAGGAGTTCGAGACCAGCCTGGCCAACATGGTGAAACTCCATCTCTACTAAAATACAAAAATTAGTCGGGTGTGGTGGTACATGCCTGTAATGTCAGCAACTCGGGAGGCTGAGACAGGAGAATCCCTTGAACCCGGGAGATGGTGGTTGCAGTGAGCCAAGATCCCATCACTGCACTCCAGCGTGGGCAGCTGAGCGAGACTCCGTCTCAAAAAACAAACAAACAAACAAACAAAAAACACACAGAGGCAGCTGCACATAGAGAGAAGCACATCAGCGGAGGAATACACAGGCGGCTGGATGTCGAGAGGGACTCACCCGCAGGCACTAGCATGCCGACAAGCCACTCTCCAGCAGAACGTGGAGTTTGGCCAGGGCAGTCAGAGGAGAGCCCGGCTGCCAAGCGGCCGGACTCCAGGGAGAAACCATCTCCTTTCTGGCTGTGCCATCTGCTGAGAGCTACTTCCACTCAGTGAAACCTTGCACTCATTCTCCAAACCCAGGTGTTATCAGATTCTTCCAGTACACCAAGGCAAGAACCCGGGATACAGAAAGCCCTCTGTCCTTGCGACAAGGTAGAGGGTCTAACTGAGCTGGTTAACACAAGCCTATAGATAGCAAAACTAAAAGAGCACCCTGTAACACACGCCCACTGGGACTTCAGGAGCTGTAAACATTCACCCCTAGACACTGTTGTGGGGTTGGAGCCCCACAGCCTGCCGGTCTGTATGCTCCCGTAGAGGTTTGATCAGTGGGGCACTGAAGAAGCGAGCCACTTCCCCTGTCACATGCCCTGCGAGGGAGACAAGGGAACCTTTCCTGTTTCAACATTATGGTTAAGAAATTATAAATCTGTACTGAATAAATATGTATGTACTCACTATATTCAAAACAACCAAATGAGATATTAATAAAACAGATATTATCCCTTTCTATAGGAGGTACACATCTAGGTTTATCTATTAGATTGAAGAGAAGAGGAAATATAAACAATTTGGGATTTTTCTTTGAACTGTACTTCATCAAATACTTGGGGGAACTAAGTTTTTAACTAGCGGTAGAAAATGTTAAATCAAGCAAACTTACTAAAATTTATCCCAATAGTATCATAGCAGTGAATAAAAATGTAGCTCTCCCTATAAACTTACAGATGGTTGATGGTTTTCTGAACGTACAAGAATACGAGTTGATACCTGTTTATTTAAAGAAATCATGGAGATTCTGATACTTATATTTGCTTTCTTTTTACTTAATATGTTGTGGATACTGCTGATAACTTAGAAAATGCTAAAATTCTTTCTCATATTAAGACTGTCAGAATTACTCTTTAATGTTGAACAAAGTTTAGTCATTTTCAGCTTTTTCAAAGCCTTACAAAGTAGATAAAATGCTTTCAAAGGGTAAAACACCAAGTGTCTATTACACCATCATTTAGAGAAAGTTGGTGATCTTAGATGTTTCCTGAGACAAGCTAATCTTTGAAGTATCCTTTTAAGAACTTCCTCATAAGACTTGAATTGACCTCTGCTGCTGACTCTACCAGGTCTAGATCTAGTTGTCTTCTTTGTAATGTGTCAAATAAGAGTCACATAATGATCAGAATGCTGAAATAGGAGTTCACAATCCTCTACTGTAGAATTCCACACAAATGAAGCATCTCCCCAGACTGTAGAGACTCCACTCAATGTCTGCCTTCCCAGACACTTCCCTTACAAAGCTGCATTGCTTGGTGAGTGTTCATGAACTTGGTATCTGGTTTTCATTTTGAAATACTAAGCCAGCTTCTTGTCTCCTTTCATCATTTGCTAATTATCAAATATTAAGGCCCTTTATTTTTTGTATCTGCTTCTTATAAACTTATGTTTACTTTTTTTTCCACCTCTCCTGTCACTCCTAAGTACAATAATTAGGTCTTTTGGAAATTTTATTGTAGGAAAATCATCCTTCGGTACTCTCTAAATTAAATGTTTTCTTTGACTTGCACACCATTGCTTTGTTTTATCTACAACGGGACCTTTCTATAGTGATCTTATCACCAGGAACCAGGTCCAATCTTTTGGCATGTGATATATTCAGTGCTCAGCGTCCGGTGCTCAAAAGAACTCTGTGTTTTACTTAATGTGATGACATCACTGTCTTAATATCCTTGTTAATTTTATCTTTGAAGTTATTTTTTAATGTGAAGTCTGATGTATGGCATATATATTATGTAACGTATTACATAATATATGTATATATTTGCATATGTGTATATGTTATATAATATATTGTGTAATATGTGTATATACTGCATGTATATCATCTGGTGGTTTCTTGTCACCAATTTACATATAGCATTTGTCATGCTTTGGAAAACAGTTCCTATGGACTTAGGATTTATGAGAGTTCAACGAGGCTCAGAGTGAGTACAGATAAATGTGGATTCCTTCAACTAAGTAAGCAGAGGCACTAACTGTCCCAACACACCTAGCAGGCAGTATTTCATATTAAAAGCACAGCTAGCTTTGAATACAAAAAGAAAGCAATGGCATTCAAAGAAACACAAATGATCAAGTGATTCAATCATACCTTTTCTTACTCAGGTTACTTTCCTGTATAATTCAACTGAAACCAATTCAATAGTCCCATAGACAATTTTTTTTGGATAAACATAGAAATTGACCCCTCTGGTATGAAAGCTTGAAACTTGTGTGTTTCATCTGAGTTCCTTCCTCAGGAAACAGCCTTTAGGCCTCCTCACAAAATATCAAAGAACTGAATCTCACCAGGTCATGACATCCAGGCAAGGAGATGCTGGACACCTCATTCATCATGATTCCCATTTACTTACACATTGTTTCATTTCTTCCCTATTATATAAACCCCTTGTTTTAATTGGTCAGGGAGATGGATTTGAGACTGAGCTCCCATCTCCTCAGCTGCAGCATCCAATTAAAGTCTTCTTCCTTGGTAATACTCATCATCTCAGTCATTGGCTTTTTTTGTGGCAAGCAGCAGGACCTAGCCTGAAACCCTGGTGTTTCAGTAACAGAACAACTTATGCTGAAAAATCACATAGAAGGAAAGGGAAAGAAGCCAATCCATTTCTTTTTTCCTGTAGTCCTTCTATATTCATTAGTAAACCTAAGATAGAGAAACATTGGTAGTATGTGTGTATTATCAAAAGATAAAATGAAAAGACTGGAGTCAAGTTTTGTGCAGTATTTCCATTATACTGGTAAGAACAAAAATACCACCAGGCACGGTGGCTCATGCCTGTAATCCCAACACTTTGGGAGGCCGAGGCAGGTGGATCACCAGGTCAGGAGTTCAAGACCAGCCTGGCCAATATGGTGAAACGCCGCCTCTACTAAAAATACAAAAATTAGCCAGGCGTGGTGGCATGTTCTTTTAGTCCCAGCTACTCGGGAGGCTGAGTCACGAGAATTGCTTGAAACCATGAGGCAGAGGTTGCAGTGAGCCAAGATCTCATCACTTCACTCTAGCCTAGGAGACAGAGCAAGACTCTGTCTCAAAAAAAAAAAAAAAATACATGTGCATGCACACAAACTGTGAATATGAGTTACTCATACTTGCATTTAAAATTCCTTAGATGAGGGATTTAGAGTTATAGACTATTTTAGAACATTTTTTTCTCTTATAACAAGGTCACTCATACTATCTGAGCCACCAGTTCAACACACCTGTCACATTTCTACTTATAGATGCAAGTATTTATTTCTGGATGCCATCTAATTGCTGCACTTGGACATTGACCTGCTGAGATACATATTATCCTGGTTACCTTTACATAAATAAAAATGATTTATTCTTAGTTCTTCATTTGAACTGAATCATAATATATTTATTAAAGACATAGTATTGCTTAAAGACAAATTTTAAAATTCAATTATATTACAAATAATTATTGAAAGCATATATCTGTGTGTATCTATCTTCCTATCTATCTATCTATCTATCTATCTATCTCCAAATGATTCTACAATTGATACATACACAAAAAGGTTTCATCATATTTTCTTGGAAAGTTACAGTTAAGTCTTCTGTAGACACATAATAAATACTAATAAATACAATGTGTTTGAATTGTGCACCTTCTAATTCCACCTTTGGAAAGAGCCTATACATTTCTGAGTTAGACAGAAAAAGACACAGGAGTTTAAGCTATAATTAAGCTGATAAGGATAGAGACAAAGGCATTATTATTCACCTCTACAGTTCATTTGTCAAACTATAAAAATGTTTAAGGTCCTGCCCCAATTCTAATAATTTATTTTTATTGATTAAATTATAGGTGTTATTATGGAAAGAACTTTAGACAGGTCAAATGTCTAAATTAATACATTAGTTCATTTAAATGTCAAAAGGAAACCTTAAACCATAGGGTTGTCTATTTAAGACAAGATTGAAAAAAAAAAGGACAGTTTATCAAAGACGATTCTAAGTGAATTCAAATGAAAATCTGGTGAATCCACAGCATCCTAACATGCTATTCACAGATTAACACATATGTAATTTATAAGCTATGAACCATAAAACTCAGTGATAGTTGTTTGCCCAATTCTACAGAATTGTTTGAAAAATATTGGACTTTTTTTCAGTAAAGTTTAAATAAATAACATGGTTTTACAATTAATGGGAAATAATCCAATTCTCTTTTGACTTTTAAGTAATTGAAAATTAACTTATCAAGAGATATTCCAGTGAAGCTAGGATCATTGTGTCATAAAAAAAAAAACATGTCTGCCTGACCAATATTTTTTCCAGAAAGGAATCTATGCAACATGTGAGCTGGAAAGTTGCAATTGCAATGTAATCATGCCTATTAGAGCTATTTATAGGTAAGGAAATGGGTTGCTATATAAATTCTGTCACAGATATCTTTTATACATTTCAGTAAAATGTTAATAAAAAGTTTTATTTTTTATTTCTTCCGTCTTTTTAGGGAAACCTACTTTTCTTTAAGATACATGTGTATTTCTTATTCTGAACACTTTACAAAGTTAATAATTTGATCATTTGTAACAGTTTAATACAAATTTTATATATATGGTAAAAATTGTGACATAACTTATTGACTCCATGTTCAAAATAGAGCCTCTGCTGGAGCCAAGGGAAAGATGGCATTATACATTCTATTTCCAGAATGTATAATGGCATCTATACATTCTATTGTATTCTATAATGCAATTCTATTGTATATATTGTATATAATACAATTCTATTGTATTCTATAATGTACATTCTATTGTATTCTATAATGCCACTATACGTTCTATTTCCAGAATGTATCCACTACTGTGAAAAAAATACACCACCCATTCATCTTCACCTCAACTATTTTTTTTTGCAAATAGCACACATTAGCATCACATGGGTAGCTTTAAAACATGACTATCCTCCAAGCTTCACCCCTAGATATTTTAATTTAATAGTTTTGTGATGGTATCTAAGAAGCAGTATTTTTGTAAGCTTGTAGGATGATTTTACTGTGCAGTTGGGTTTAATAACTGGATTGGTACAAGAAAAGTGGATAATTTCCAGCTGCTATTTTTTCATTTACCAGAGTTCACTGATATACATTAATTTTTAATGTTGTACTTGACAGAAATATTATTTCTCTTTTTACTTTTTGGAATATGTGTTTGAGCATTTAAGACTTAACCTTTCATTGCTCCAATATCAAATGTACTATAAGATTTACAAAGCGAAAGTAAACAAAATAAAGTTACAAATATCCATATAACGATTTTCTAGAAATTTAACATTTGCCATTTTAGTTTTATTTTTCAAGGTAGTAAACCACTTATGTTTAACAGACAACTACTGCCATTTAAGAAAAATGTAAGAAATAATACATTTACAAATGTTAGAATTTGTAGTTTGTTTTTTTTAAATGGAAGAAGACAAATTAGAAATCCACTCACTTACATTCCTTTTTTTTTTTTTTTTTTTCTATTAACACAGACATGACAAGTACTTTGTCTTTCGGCCTCATTTTATAGTAGGGGTTGTAATCTCAGCACTTTAAAGAAAGAAATCAATCCCAGATTCCACAAATTCTAGATCAGGTCAGGCATACAACATTAGAGTACCTCTCAAAGTGGAACATACTTTGGAAAATAAAAATGTAGGTAAACACCTCCCTTCCCTAATAGAAATATTGACACATTGAAAGGATATTCACTGACTTTTAATGAAATATGTATTTGGAAAATTACATTTTAAAATTTAAGCAATAAAATTTATTAAATTCTAAAATGGATTTCGTAGAAAGATTTAAAAAGTCTTTCTCTTGGACTTCAAAATGATACAGCCTCCTGAACCACATTAGACTCATTTTTAATTTCCATTGATTTTACGTTTTCAAGTGAGCATATTGTCAAAAACTTAAAATCAGTGAAGATGTGACCTGCCTAAAGAGCCCAGGTCTACTAGAGATGGATAGGTAAAAAGATGGTAATAAGAAAATACTGTCTGACAGCCTTACAAGAACTTAACAGAGAGTACAAGGAAGTCCCAGGAACTTGTCATATATATTTCGCCTAGAAATTGGACTGGCATTAGTGTGTTCTTTTTGTTTTATTTTGTTTCACTCCATAATAAAATAATATTGGAAAGCCACTTAAATTAAAACATGATACTTTCAAAATTGTTTTCCAAAATATAAACTTTTTAGCCCTTGTGTTTTAAGATACTAGATAATAAAATATTATTAAAACTGTCATTAATATCATATTTTACTATATGGAAAAGTTTGTATGGCCAAATATCACATTCAAATAAGGCTTATAATGCCTCATAAATTGTTACTTTTAATGTGTTATCAATTTGAGTGATCTTTTATAATCTATTGGTATAGAAGTTCCTCTGTGGAATCTTAGTGTTGAATTCTGGATAATTGTTGCCATTTTTAAAAATAGGTATGTTGTTACTAAATCTATTTCCAGATAATGGATTATTTCAAAATTGGTTACATGGATACATTATTCTAATTGTGTTCACATTAAAGTCAAAAGCTAATTTGTAGTCAATTCCATTTAACAGAAAAAAAGAAAAATTACAAACATGCAAATAAGCCATTTGGATCTTAAATGTACGCTAGTGTAGACAGGTTTGTAAAAGCTCAGAAGATAACTTCTGCTTCGGCATGGACACCTCTAAACTGTATTTTCTCTTTTAATCTGGGATATAGCATAATGAGATAAAAGAAGGTGGGCTAATATAGCTAATATATATCAATGGTGGAAAAACTTTACATGACTATTCTATAAGGCAACATGCCTCTTGAAAAAATACTGCTAACACATTGTATACCTAAAAGAGTTACGCCTTAATTATTTGTCTTCTTCAAAGGTCATTCACCAACTTTTTTATTGTAAAATTAGCTTAAGTCTGTGTTTTAAACTTGTTAATTTTCTTTTTACTTTCCTACCTCACTAATTCCTAATAAATGATTCTAAATTCATTTGTAGTACCTTTCTTAGTGAGGACATTTCTTCTTTCTTTAGACTATAAGACAGCGTACATACACCATACCATTCACCCTCAATAAAAATGTGTTGAATTTTGTGCACACACTTTCCACATAAGAAGTTACATGATGATGCCTGGCTTACCATAAATGTTCAAATTACCCGTATTAAATGTGTTTTGGACAACACCATACCATTTAATTTCTCCTACTCTAAAATTCTCTCATTCTCCAGGTATTCCTTTGTCTGCTCCCTAGACAATAGGCTATTTCTGGATTACTTGTATCTTCCTATAAAAGCTAAAACCTCTAAATGAAGAGCAGCACACTCATGAATTTTCATATATTTATGAGCATTTTAAAATTATGTACAAAGTATAAATTTTATTAATATATTACTGACACATTAGACTATGCTAAGAAATTGCTTCCTCGAGGCAGTACCATGTGAATGACAGTGACAAGACTTGCCAAAAGAAAATGGATACTTACTTCTAATATTTCCCTAATGCCAAACAAAACAAAGCAAGCAGACAAAAATATCTCCGTCTCAAAGACATGTATTTCTCTTGCCACTTTATACAGAAATGGGCACTCATCTCGTTGTTGTAAACATTATCTTATAATTTAAAAAATTAATTGCCAAAACTGATGTCAATGGAGACAGCAGAATGATTTCTTCCCGTAGGTAGATAGGAAAGCAATGTTGCTGGAGAAAAAAAAAAAAAAGTAAGTGAGAGATAAACATCTTGGGATTATGTTCTGTTGTTCTGATACCTTCCAGGTATGTGGCTTCAGAATGTTACTGAGCCTCATGGAAAATTGACAAAGTAATATCTTGAGTTTTGTGTAAATTAACTGAGACAGCATATGAGAATATATCACATAGCTTATGCTCACTAAATGGCAACTACTCCTGTTTATAATGAAAGAATATTGAAATGTAAGAAAAGATCAATAGACACATGTATTAACAAGAATGTCGTTAACAACTATATGTACCATGTTAACATTGGAAAAAATAATAAATTTCATTAACATACATATTTTAATTGAGATCAGAAAGGATTTTCAAATTTAAGGATTAAGAATGTGAATGCCTTAATGAAGGTTTTAAAAATCTTTCTGTATATTTTCCTAATGCAATCTAAAATTGGAAGAAATTTCTGCCTGGTTTGATTTCGATAATTTTATCTAGGCTAATTGATTGACTATTAGTTATTCTACGTGTCTTACATATGTCTTAAGGTGCTAAAACTGAATGTCTTGTTCCTCTTTTTTTCTGTATTTTAACTTAATGATTTAGGCCACAGCAAGGAATAATTCTTTCAGATTTTCCTTTAGTTGAAGTATAGATAAAGTGTCCACTGTTTTTATAGCTTAAATGTCACAAATAGCAGTGCACACACAATTTATGTCAGAGTTGGTGCTCAGTTTCGTTAGAGCCTTTGAAAAAGGAATTCCATAGTTTAGCAAACTCCACAGGTGATTCATACATTCTTATCTGTCATCTCCTCCAATTAAGCTGATACACTGACACTCACAGCTTTACTGAGTTACTACATGAGCAAATATGGAACAGAAGTAATCAGTTTTCTGTTTTAAACAAATGGTGTGTGAGAGAGAGCACATAGGAGACAGCGAGAGATGGAGAGAGAATGAGGACACTGAGAATGTAGTATAGTTACATCAATATCTTATCAGCCGTGAAATTTTCATTGTTCCTTATCAATTTAACACAAGAACAATTTGTTTAAGTGCATGGGAAGTTTCATATTAAATCATTACATGACTTAATTTACATGAGTTTGAAAGGATCATAATAAGAATATGGATATTTTAAGGTTTAAATAATTAAGTCATATTGCTAAAATTGTTGTTTCAAAGGAGTTCAATCATAAAAGATAAATATGCAGTAAGAACTAAATAAGCAAATTCAGTGATGTTAACATTACATTCAGGGTTGGTAAGTTGGACCCTAGAGTGTTAGCAGTATTGATATCTAGTTCTTCAAAACTAAGCTTTTAGTGTCTTGGAATTAGAACAAACTGAGTGAAAAAAGCATTGCCATTTCTTTTTTGTCTCTGAAAACCCAACATGAGCTCGTTTTTTCTTAGGCATGAAAGTGAGGAAAAGGTTCACCTACTGGAGGCTGGGGCTTTTTGATGTCAGATCACTCCACATGACACCATATTATATGTAGAACATAATGGGAGAGTTCAAAAAGACAACCTTAAATACCATGAAAAAGTCTTATTGTTTACTTTATGCAACATTGCTCAATGAAAGTTACTTTAATTGTAGTTTGTATGCATTAACACTGCTCTAAAAGAAAAAACTTTCTGAAACATGTTCCTCCAAGATATAATATTTTTAATTTTCTCCATCAAAATGTGAATGCTACATGTTCTCTCTATTAAAACTTTGTTGTCATTAAGTGAATATGGAATATATTATGTACCATTTCTATTAAAATTAAGTAGCTAAAAAATGTTTCATGTACAAATTTTCTAAGTTGCTTTTGGTGAGCCATGTTAGTGATACAATCATCCCTGATGGCCAAAATAAAAACAATTCATCTGGAAGAATTAATACAAACAGAGGGAAAAGAGAAGATGCCCCAAGACTCGAATTAGACTCTTTCAATTCACTATAATTCCGGTACTAGAAATGAACTACTGTTGAGAAGCTATGTCTATCCCCATGACAACATCTGTTTCTTCAGACACTAGAATCACTTATTATTCGTTCTCTATGAGGGGCAACCATTTGCTGAACAATAAAGGGAAATTACTACTTCCCTGCCTGCTATCATCAAGGCTTTGTATATGCATAACAATATTTTGAAAAAATCACAATTTTCTGACAAAAAATTGTCAGAAAGTTGTTTTGCTCTGCCCTTAGTTCTTTAGTATATCATCCACAAATCTAGCAGAGAATTTCCCTTCAGGAAAGCATTTTGGACTCCAAGTGAGCAAAGCGATTATGTATCACTTCATTCATGTATGTTTTATGGACCTTTTCCTGTAAAGACGTTTGTTTCCCTGTTTCTCTTGCCCTTTATGCTGCATGGCTCTTGATAGCAGGAATCATAGTTATTTCCAACAAGTTCTTCCAGAGGGCTTGCACAGAGTAGCTGCTGAATGAATAAATGCATAAGTGAATAAAAATAAAAGAAAACATATGTGTGTTTACCCCAAAATCCAAACTTTAAAAATAATTTACAATAGATTATTGCCTATTATTACCAATTTCATCCTATATTATTCAACTAATTCCAAAATGCAATAATTTTATTTATTTTTCCCTATTGTTCATCTCCATTGGGAATAGAAGAGATAAAATAATGTTTTAAACAAGTATTTGCCAATTCTGTATAATTGTATGTCTCATTGCAGTAGAAAATGAGAGAATGACATAGTGTTCATGAAGGTATATAATGTATCTGTAACTTTGCTGGATATCTTACATGCTATTAATATATCAGAAAAACATTAAAATCATAAATCATAAAACAAAATATAAAAATATTAAAACATTAAATCATTAAATATTAAACATTAATAAAATAATAAATAATAATAATCATAATAAATAAATAATAATAAATGGTGTTGGGAAAATTGGCTTGTCATATGTGGAAAGCTAAAACTGGATCTCTTTCTTACACCTTATACAAAAATTAACTCAAGATGGATTAAAGACTTAAATGTAAGACCAAACACCATAAAAACCCTAGAAGAAAACCTAGGCAATACAGTTCAGGACATAGGCATGGGCAAAGACTTCATGACTAAAACACCAAAAACAATAGCAACAAAAGCCAAAATAGTCAAATGGGATCTAATTAAACTAAACAGATTCTGAGCAGCAAAAGAAACTATCATCAGAGTGAACAGGCAACCTACAGAATGGGAGAAAAATTTTGCAATCTACCCATCTGACAAAGGGCTAATATCCAGAAGCTACAATTAACTTAAATTTACAAGAAAAAAACAACCCCATCAAAAAGTGGGCAAAGGATATGAACAGACACTTCTCAAAAGATGGCATTTATGCAGCCAACAGACACATGAAAAAATGCTCATCATCACTGGTCATCAGAGAAACGCAAATCAAAACCACAATGAGATACCATCTCACACCTCTTAGAATGGTGATCATTAAAAAGTCAGGAAACAACAGATGCAGGAGAGGATATGGAGAAATAGAAATGCTTTTACACTGTTGGTGGGAGTGTAAATTAGTTCAACCATTGTGGAAGACAGTGTGGCGACTCCTCAAGGATCTAGAACTAGAAATACCATTTGACCCTGTCATCACATTACTGGGTATATACTCAAAGGATTATAAATCATGCTGCTATAAAGACACATGTACACGTATATTTATTGTGGCACTATTCACAATAGCAAAGACTTGGAACCAACCCAAGTGTCCATCAATGATAGACTGGATTAAGAAAATGTGGCACATAGATACCATGGAATACTATGGAGCCATAAAAAGGATGAGTTCATGTCCTTTGCAGGGACATGGATGAAGCTGGAAAACATCATTCTAAGCAAACTATCACAAGGACAGAAAACCAAACACAGCATGTTCTCACTCATAGGTGGGAGTTGAACAATGAGAACACATGGACACTGGATGCGGAACATCACACACTGGGGCCTGTCATGGGGTGGGGGACTAGGGGAGGGATAGCATTAGGAAACCTAATGTAAATGACGAGTTGATGGGTGCAGCAAACCAACATGGCACATGTTTACCTATGTAACAAACCTGCACGTTGTGCACATGTACCCTAGAAGTTAAAGTATAATAATAAAAAAACTCTATCAAAAAATCAATAAATTAATGAATGAATGATATTTATTTTACAAAATGAATTTGATGAAAAACGTTTGTATAGTTTTTTCTATATACGATGTGATTTTTAAAGAGTTCAATTATTAAAAGGCAGAAAAATAATTTTTTGTAAACATGTTTGAAAGATATATCTATACTGTTTATTGGACATATGGATTTTGGTTAGAATTAGGAAATATTTATATAGTTCTCAAAATATTTGGTTGGAATTAAACAAAATCTCTTAAACTACATGCCTTTCTATCTGTGTCCTTAAATTTTGTGAATAGAAATGGATTTATTTCAAATTCTATATTCATTAATAATTAATTATATAATCTGTGGAAATTTAATGAAATTGACTAATGATTATATATTTTAAAATTGAATAAAATCCTTGTATCATTGATCATCTAAATAGCCAAAATTGTAATGACTATTCATAGAGTCATAAAAGATACATTAATTTTTCTCATGAAAACAAGATGACTAAGATAGCAAAGGTTGATTCTGAAAAAAATTAGAAACATTAAAATAAGATTAATAAAAAGATGCTAGGGTCTCCATATACTATTATTTTTATAAATGCACAGATAGCATGCATGAGTAGTAAAAACTTCCAAAATAATAGTAACTTCTGTTAAAATGAAAAAAAGTTATAATAAATTATTCTATTTATATTCTATTATTATTATTTGATGATATTATTGCTACTTTTTATTAATGGCAGTGTTTTAAAAATACACAAAGATATAGTTTATACAGGAAAGAGAGTAGTATGGTAAAAATGAGGAAGAAGATTCTACCTAGCATTAGTATTCCAAATCAACAAAGCCTTGTACCCTTTCCTGTAAATGGCTAACTCTCTAACGTAAACAACTTTATCCCTGAATTTGCAACACTGACACCTACAAGTATGATAATCACATGGGGGAAATTATTGTTTTATCCACATGAATAGACTCACTGTAATCTTGGTAACCTAGTGATTTTTCTCTCCTTTAAATATCTACTGGCTCATTTAGTCAAGAAAACCTTTTTGTCTCAAAACAATTCATGTATATATGCATATATACATATATGTATATAAAGATACATACAACATACATATGTATATGTGTATATATATACACGGAAGCTATTTGGAAAGAAATCATGGTTTTCTAGAATGTGGCATCAAATGTCTGTTAGTGAAAAATTTAATATATGGCATATTTGCCATCAAAATAGCTTAAATTACAAAGGTCCTTGATGATATATTTTGTCCTAGTGCCTACTCAATATATGTATAAAATAATCACAGTGTCAGATGGGATTTCAGTATGTTCCTATAAATTATTTTTCTTCACCGAAATGAGAGTCGTGGCAAAGTTGGTTAACAAGATGCCCTGTGTTTTAATTGCCTGTAGCTGCGTAACAACCATACCAATAAGTAATGATTTATGATAGCAATAGTTTATTCCTTCTCATAATCAGGTGGATTGGCTGGATTCAGCTGAACAATTTTGCTCCATGGGGAGGTGATTTGGGTGACTTGCATCACTCAAATGCTGAGCTGGATTAAAACAAAATCTAAACAGACTTCACGCACACGATTGGAGCCTTGTTATAAATATCTGGGAGGCTATAGCCCTGCGATCTCTACCTGTGTTCTCTGCATGTAGATAGCTTGGGTTCCTTAAATGGAGACTGTAATGCAAGAGAACACGCCCAGTTTGCAAGTGTTTATCAGGCTTCAATTTGTGTAATGCTTACTATTATTTAATTGTCTAAAGAAAGACACATAGCTAAACCTAAAGTTAATGCATAAAGGTACCATATAAAGCATAAATATCAGGGGAATGGTTCACTGTAAACAAATAGTTTTAACGGTTACAACACTTTACTTTCACTGGTGTGTTACTACCTCAGTTGGTCAGTCACTCAATCAAAATCCATTAATTGTGTCTCCATGCTTAGGAGCACCTTTGTCTCTGAACCATTGCTTCTAAAATAGTGTCTGCAAAAGGCAATCCAACTATAAGAAAAAATGGTCTTCTGAGTCTCTTTTTTAACCCTTCTCATGTATGAGAACTCTAGAAAATTTGTTATTCCAAAACTTTAGTTTAAAGTAATAATGTAATGATTTTTTTTCAATATAAGGGAAGAACTATAAAACCAGACAGCACAGGTTAAAATCCCAACTGCCATTTCCCAGCTATGTGACCTTGGGCAATTCCTTTGAAATATCTCCATACAGTCATTTCCTCTTCCATAAAAATCTAATGTCTTATTTGGAAAATCTGAGTTAACATACATGTGATTATTAAAATAATACTTGGCAACTAGCTTTGGTGATGATAAAAATGAGCATGGGGATGATGATGAAAATGATGATGAAAACGGTGTTTTGGATGATAATGTGCATAAACACATACTGAGACTTCGTCTCTCCTGATCAAAACTGCTGACAATGATTGGAAAATTTCCCATCCATTTTCAAATTTTACCATCTTTAGTACCATATAAATCTATGCATATGGATTTCAAAGTGAAACTAATTTTTCACATCCTTATTTGCTTAATTTACCAAATATTTAATTGGTATAGAATTTCTGCAATTTAGCAGCCTGCCCTATCCCTTCCCTAAACATAAATGGCAACATGCTTCTACTGAACATAGTTTGCTTTCAGCTCTGGTAAAAACGAGCAATTTAAAAGTGAACTTCTCAAGGGAGTTTTCAGATTTCACAGTTATGCTGTAGACCGCTTGCCACATGAAACTATTTAATAACTTATAACTTAGAGAGTGGCTCCTGAGTCTGTATGTAGGGGTAACGTGGATACCTTTGATCCATTCATTTTCTAGTCTGAGGATACATTTAATGGCAGAAACATCTAAATACTCAAGGCACATATCTATTCATGTGGTAGATTTAATATAACCATTGAAAATATTAACTTGAAAATGAAAGCTTATAAACTGGTTTTACAACTTGTTTTTCTTCCTCAGATATCATAGTCAGTCATATCAAAATGTCATAATTTAAACCATAACAATGGTATCTTATGAAGGTTTATCCAGATTTCCATTTGTGAATTAATTCATTTAAGGGAATTGTCTATAGGTAAAAGATTTGTTTATTTTAATTTTGTTTTATGTGGAATGTAAATTTCTCTCCTTAATAATGGGACTAGTGATATTTTAATAAATGTAATAAATGATTGAGGAGATGGAGGCCCAATTTTTCATGATGTGATTATTACTCATTGCATTCATGTACACAAATAAACATATATACCTATGTTCCCACAAAAATTAAAAGTAAAAAAATTAAATGAAGTAAACAAATTTTAGCTCTTGTTTAACTATATTTGACTCACTGAGACAGAGACTTTATCTGTCTGTCGTCTATCCTCAGCATCTCACAGAGCCTAGCCACATGTTAAGCACTCACTAATTATTACTGAATAACGTGCCTACATGCTGCAAGACTCGTTAGCCAACTATTTTTTCATCTATTTCTGTTTTCATTTTAATACTAATAAAATATAATAAACTGATAAATGATCACTTAAAGAATGAAGAATAAAGTAAAAATCACGAGGATCTGAGTAGTGGAAACTTCCACGTGGAAGGTTACACTGATGTTGAAAATTAATTGACATTTGAGGTAAGATTCTGAAATATTGGCATATGACCTACCCCTTGTGAGTTATTAAATGATGTAGATTTTCATATTTTAGTGATAAACAAGAATATCTTTCTAAAAATCTCTGCATTAAATTAGACTAACAGTGCCTAATTTGATAAATGAGTAGCAACCGTATTTTTACTGATAAATCTAATGATTATTTTATGAAACTTTAAAATGTAACCAACTTACCTCATTGATGATATCTAACACATATTCCATTTGTGCATTTATATGTGGTCAGTGTTGTGAATAACATTTTTGTACATGCTTAATGAGTTTTTCCCTTCACATTGCTTGAATGGCTGCAGCAGAAATTCTGTGAAGTTATATGTATTTATGATGATCCATATGAAATTGCATATATGTGACCATTTTCAAGGTACAAAAATGAAAATTTCAAATGTTTTCACTAATATGTTGTCTATAAATTTTAAGGATTACTTCTAATCTTATAAGTATTATTTTGAGTTTGTGACAGCCAATGTATTATGAAATATAAGTTGATCAATTTTTTCAGCTTCAATAATTAAGAAAAATATAATTATAGATTATATATAATAATATATATACATACACATACACATATTATTCACATTTTAGATTGCTTCTTTGTCTTGTTTTCTTAACTGGAAACTGATCTCAGGCTGTCCTTTGAACTGACGACCTCACAATTGTCACAGTACTCTTTGCAGTAAAAAATAAGCAAATGTTCTTTTATCTACTTCTGAAGCAGCAACTACTATGATGAGGACTGTTATACATCATTCTTTTTAAGCAGAAATCATTCTCCACAGAAAAATGGAGGATGGCTATCTTTGCACTTTGCTTTGCTGATGTAATGTTAACGGCATTTAGTCACTGCTGATCTAGGTCACATTTGAATTAACTACTAGTTGTTGTGAGGCTCTGTGTACTTGCTTCTACAAATCCATCGGCACAACTTACAACAACCTCCAATGCATTTCACAGTCCATTCTTGATGAAAAGTTCTTCTTTCCTTTTTAACTCTTATGTTATGAGCTAAGGAAAATGAATGGGAGTGTAGTCTTCTTCTTATTTTGTGGTTTACTTCTTACCAGGAGAGCTTCAGAATTTTGATATAAGTTAAATACGTGTCTCTCTGAATGGCTGTTTTGGCCTTTGATACATGAAATGATTGTTTTAATAGAAAAATACCAAAATAATTGAGTTGGGTAGCTTACTGAATAATTCCAAAAAATTACATATATATATATTTACATATAAATACGTTGCACATTTTAATGTTAGTTATGTTTACCACAGAGATTAATATTTTTCTATAGTAATTACATCAATTTTACATTTAAAGTAATGTATTGCACTACTTGATTGCTATACAAAAAAGCTTTAACATAAAACATATTAAAATTGAATTATAAAATCTATATGATAGGTTTATATAAAACTGAAATTTAATATATTTCTTAAGCATTTACTTCAATAAATATGTATCAATGTACAAAAATGGTCTGGTAGGTGCTATAGCCTATGAGAAAGTGAAAAAAAATCCTCTACCTCTCATTTTTAAAAATGCACTTTAAAAGGCAGATAAATGCACAAATAACCCGAACACAAGAAACAGGATGGTAAGAGTTATCACAGAAGCACAAACATCTACTTTAGCACAGAAGAGGGAAATAGTAATATCCACATAAAACAAATTTATCATGGAAGCCTCTCTGTGGAAAAAATAAAGTTGTCTGTATATTATTTGTATTATAAATTAATAAATATGTTTTATATGTGTACATCCTGAGAATAGAATTATATGGGTCCTATAAAACAAAATATCTTATTCCAGATGGTTGTGATATAGAAATTTCAGGATATACATGAGACTCGTACTATATTATAAACACAAAATGACTGGAAAGTATAATAACTACTTTTGAAGAAATTGCTACCCTATCATCAACCGCAGTGTTATCATTAAGAAACATCAGTCTTTTGGAGTGATATTTATCAATGACAAATGGCCCTGGTGGTTTTATTATTTTAAAAATAATACCTTTTTTGATATTCAGTAAAAGGTATGTGTATGTGTTCAGGAAGGAAGAGTTGCTATATTAAAATTTTTATAAATTATGGTGAGAAAAAATGACAGTATTCAAAGTGATGATCAATTTTTATAGTTTTAACAGAAAAATTATTTGCAAACAAACATAAAATGGAAATATTGTAAATCAATCCATTGGTATCCATAACATAGAATATATGTCAACAGTATACATTGTAAATATTGAATTTTAAAAATTATTCTCTGAAATTCTTTTCAAGCTGTCTTTAGAGGAAAACACAAATGTTACTCTTATCTTTTAGGTAAGCTGTGTAAAAACATTTTTTATTATATATCTAATGCTAAATCTTTATATATTTTCCATCTAAGCTGTAAATCAAAAGTGTACATTTCAGATTTCTATGCATCTCTACCGGTTTGAGAAGATGATCTTTTAATATTACATGTTATATTATTACCTCAAGCATTATTTATGAGTGTCCGGCTTTCATATGGAAATGGGTAGAAAGGAAAACAGGTCAAGAACATTAGAATTCTCACCCAAATGAGTTCACAATTCCAAAGGAGAAAGTTTTTATCAGCAGTTATAGAAACTGCTAAGGGGAAAAAAAAAAAAAAGACAAAGGAGCAGTTGAAGCAGGTGGGTTTGCCACTAAACAGATGGGCTTGGGAAGGAGTGCAGAGGAAAAGAAAAAATTATTTCAGACAGAGAGAAAAGGGTGAACATTAATCAGTATGCTATTTCAAGTATATAGGATAGTGTGAAATGAGGTGTGAAGTTTGGAGTGGGTGGAGAAGACAAATATATAACACAAGGGCATACTTGAACTAAGTAGTTATGATATTTAGATTTCTCACTTGCATGTCATTGGTAGACCTCAAAATTCTTAAGAGCAGGCCTTAGGGATTGGTTACATATGCCTAAGAAAGAGTTGCATTTGTATTATTTCTTAATAATTTAAGAAACTGCTTTGTTTAAACAAGAAACTGCAAGGCCGGGCGCGGTGGCTCATGCCTGTAATCCCAGCACTTTGGGAGGCCGAGGCGGGCGGATCACGAGGTCAGGAGATCGAGACCATCCTGGCTAACACGGTGAAACCCCGTCTCTACTAAAAATACAAAAAATTAGCCGGGCGTGGTGGTGGGCGCCTGTAGTCCCAGCTACTCGGGAGGCTGAGGCAGGAGAATGGCATGAACCCAAGAGGCGGAGCTTGCAGTGAGCCGGGATAGCGCCACTGCAGTCCAGCTTGGGCGAAAGAGTGAGACTCCGTCTCAAAAAAAAAAAAAAAAAGAAACTGCAAACCTTAAAAAAATTGCTTTTCTTAAACCAATACTTTATGTTTGCCTGAAAATCTATCTCACAAGATTATGAGCTATATGAATAATGGTATTTAAAGAATGAAAATACTGTAGCTTGATATTTAGTTTTTATACTTCGTGTTTTACGTATATGTTTGTTTTCATTTGAGCTTTAAACCCAAATGCCACTATGGGTTAGGCAGTTTTCATTCATAGATAGAGAGGCTATTTGAAGCAATAATGTGGTAGGAGGCATTGGAACTAAATATCTTGGAATACTTTTTTTAAAGTATTCTGTCAACCCAACAAAAACAGGTATATTGACTGAATTTAGCCCATGAGGACTGAAAAAAATTGAGATGACAAAGTTAAAGTGCAAGATTAATTAATAATTTCAGAAATTTACTTAAATAACTTTGTTTTCAAAAAAAGATTGAAACATACACACTTGATAACATTATTAACCTCACTTTGTTGAATGTAAACATGGCTACATACAGCAACATTTACCATTCAATAATTTTCAACTTAACTCTTGTAAATACTTCTTCACTTTATGAGGAGTCATGGCCCAAGTGGCAGCCACTCTTCTGTCAGTACACCAAACTCTTTTACCTTTTTATCCCTCCTTTGTACCTGTCTATCCAGAATGTGGTATAAATTTCCATGGCCAGGGGTTGACTCTTGAACTTGTTGGTTTAGCTAAGAATAATAGGACAAAATGACATAGTTCAGATCTGTGTCAATATAAAGTCATTGTTAGTTTCCATCACTATATATATATACATACACATATATATACCTATATATACACACGCATACATACATATACATATATATGTAATGACAGTAGAAAGGCAAGCAAAATAAGAGATGAGAAATATAAACCATATTTAGCAACATGCCAGTGATTGATAACATTAGTGAAAATAGTTTCAATCAACTATCAGGGCATGGGGGACTACCTATCAGCAGATGCTCCTTGTCAATCTAGCCTCCACATTACCAAAAAGGAATTTCCTGATAATACAATTCTGATCACTTCAGTCCCCTGCTTAAAATACTTAAATGGCTTCCAATTACTCTCAGGATAAGATCCACTTACCTTAGAAAAATAAGCTAAGCATAAATACATCCACTCAACTGTGCCTCATTCTTTCTTGACTCTGGCCTTCTATGCATACTATTCTTTTGGGGCCGAATATTCTTAAATTCTTCTCCATTTTCTCCATGAAGACTCTCGTTAAAATACCACATTCTTTAGAGATGTTGCTGTTGTTATGTTTGTGTGTACGTGTGTTAATCTGTAAATTAGAAAAGATTCTCATTGATACAGTTTGGCTCGGTGTCCCAAATCTCATCTTGAATTTTACTCCCATAATTCCAATGTGTTGTGGGAGGGACCCAGTGGGAGAGAATTTGAATCACGGGGGTTGTATCCTCCATACGGTACTCATGGTAGTAAATAAGTCTCATGAGATGTGATGATTTTATCAGGGGCTTCTGCTTTTGCATCGTCCTCATTTTTCTCTTGCCACTGCCATGTAAGAAGTGCCTTTTGCCTCCCACCATGATTCTGAGGCCTCCCTAGACATGTGGAACTGTAAGTCCAATAAAACCTCTTTTCTTCCCAGTCCCAGGGATGTCTTTATCAGCAACATGAAAATAGACTAATACACTCATGATATTTTTACTCATTGGTTCTAAAATTTTATTTTTAATACCTGCCAAATTCTGCCACTTCATTTATATTAATTGTTTACAAAGTTGAGTTTAATTCTGCCACTTCATTTATATTAATTGTTTACAAAGTTGAGTTTTGAACAACATTGGTTCAAACTGTGTGGGTTCTACTTGTATGCAGATTTTTTTTTCTTCTTTTTCCATTTTCTTTATTATTATTATTATTATTATTATTATTATTATACTTTAAGTTGTAGGGTACCTGTGCACACGTGCAGGTTTGTTACATATGTATACATGTGTCATGTTGGTGTGCTGCACCCATTAACTCGTCATTTACATTAGGCATACCTCCTAATGCTATCCCTCCCCCACTCCCCACCCCATGACAGGCCCTTGTGTGTGATGTTCCCCTTCCTGTGTCCAAGTGTTCTCATTATTCAATTCCCACCTATAAGTGAGAACATACGGTGTTTAGTTTTTTGTCCTTGCGATAGTTTGCTCAGAATGATGGTTTCTAGCTTCATCCATGTCCCTATAAAGACATGAACTCATCCTTTTTTATGGCTGCATAGTATTTCATGGTGTCTACATGCCACATTTTCTTAATCCAGTCTATCATTGATGGACATTTGGGTTGGTTCCAAGTCTTTGCTGTTGTGAATAGTGCTGCAGCAAACATATGTGTACATGTGTCTTTATAGCAGCATGATTTATAGTCCTTTGGGTATATACCTAGTAATGGGATGGCTGGGTCAAATGGTATTTCTAGTTCTAGATCCTTGAGGAATCACCACACTATCTTCCACAATGGTTGAACTAGTTTACAGTCCCACCAACAGTGTAAAAGTGTTCCTATTTCTCCACATCCTCTCCAGCACCTGTTGTTTCCTGACTTTTTAATGATTGCCATTCTAACTGGTGTGAGATGGTATCTCATTGTGGTTTTGATTTGCATTTCTCTGATGGCCAGTGATGATGAGCATTTTTTCATGTGTCTGTTGGCTGCATAAATGTCTTCTTTTGAGAAGTATCTGTTCATATCCTTCGCCCACTTTTTGATGGGTTTGTTTTTTTCTTGTAAATTTGTTTGAGTTCTTTGTAGATTCTGAATATTAGCCCTTTGTCAGATGAGTAGATTGCAAAGATTTTCTTTCATTCTGTAGGTTGCCTGTTCACTCTGATGGTAGTTTCTTTTGCTGTGCAGAAGCTCTTTAGTTTAATTAGATCCCATTTGTCAATTTTGGTTTTTGTTGCCATTGCTTTTGGTGTTTTAGACATGAAGTCCTTGCCCATGCCTATGTCCTGAATGGTATTGCCTAGGTTTTCTTCTAGGGTTTTTATGGTTTTAGGTCTGATGTTTAAGTCTTTAATCCATCTTGAATTAATTTTTGTGTAAGGTATAAGGAAGGGATCCAGTTTCAGCTTTCTACATATGGCTAGCCAGTTTTCCCAGCACCATTTATTAAATAGGGAATCCTTTCCCCATTTCTTGTTTTTGTCAGGTTTGTCAAAGATCAGATGGTTGTAGATGTGTGATATTATTTCTGAGGGCTCTGTTCTGTTCCATTGGTCTATATCTCTGTTTTGGTACCAGTACCATGCTGTTTTGGTTACTATAGCCTTGTAGCATAGTTTGAAGTCAGGTAGTGTGATGCCTCCAGCTTTGTTCTTTTGGCTTAGGATTGTCTTGGCAATGTGGGCCCTTTTTTGGTTCCATATGAACTTTAGAGTAGTTTTTTCCAATTCTGTGAAGAAAGTCATTGGTAGCTTCATGGGGATGGCATTGAATCTATAAATTACCTTGGGCAGTATGGCCATTTTCACGATATTGATTCTTCCTATCCATGAGCATGGAATGTTCTTCCATTTGTTTGTGTCCTCTTTTATTTTGTTGAGCAGTGGTTTGTAGTTCTCCTTGAAGACATCCTTCACATCCCTTGTAAGTTGGATTCCTAGGCATTTTATTCTCTTTGAAGCAATTGTGAATGGGAGTTCACTCATGATTTGGCTCTCTGTTTGTCTGTTATTGGTGTATAAGAATGCTTGTGACTTTTGCACATTAATTTTGTATCCTGCGACTGCTGAAGTTGCTTATCGGCATAAGGAGATTTTGGGCTGAGACAACGAGGTTTTCTAAATACAAACTCATGTCATCTGCAAACAGGGACAATTTAACTTCCTCTTTTCCTAATTGAATACCCTTTATTTCTTTCTCCTGCCTGATTGGCCTGGCCAGAACTTCCAACACTATGTTGAATAGGAGTGGTGAGGTAGACATTTTAAATAAATATATTGGAAAATTTTATTGAGATTTGCAACAATTTGAAAAAACTTGCAGACTAATCACGTAGCATAGAAATATAAAAAAATTAAATGTATATTATGAATGCATAAAATATATGTAGATAATGGTTTATTTTATCATTTGTTAACATAAAATATACACAACTCTATTACAAAGAGTTAGAATTTATCAAAATGAATGCATACAAACACAAACCATACATGGTGCCATTCACAGAAGAAAAAAATGTAAACAAATATTAAGATGCAGTATTAATTATAACTGCATATAATTAACTGTAGGATATAACATACCACGGTAATAATTTTGTAGCCAGCTCCTGTTGCTATTGCAATTACTTCAAGTGTGAATATACACTTAAAACTCCGTGTGATGCTGATCGTCTTTGCAAGAGTCGCTCATCTCTCCAATGAATTGCATATTACAGTAAAAAGTGATCTCTTACAGTTCTTTCATATTTTTATCATGCTTTGTCCAATACCACAAACCTTGAATAATGCCAGGGGACTCATATGAAGTACACCTAGGGTTGCCTGGAAGTGCCCTCAAGAAACAAAATCATGACATTGCAGGAAAAAGTTGAATTGCTTGATGTGTACCATGGATTGAGGTCTGCCGCAGCAGTTCCCCATCATTTAAAAATACATGAATCCAGCATAAAGACCTTTGTAAAACAAAGAAGAGGAAATTTGTGAAGGCTTGCTGCTGCTACACCAGCAGGCACAAAACCTGCACTTTTTGTGAAACACCTGTTTGTGTTATATTGAAAATGCAACATTTATGTGGGTATAATATTACTATAAGTAAGGCATACCTATAAACTCTAATATGATTCAAGAAAAAGAAAGTGCATTATATAACAAAGCAAATGGAAGTTGAAAGATCTAAAGCTGGAGAATTCACTACCAGCAAAGGCTGGTTTGATAATTTTGGAAAGAGGTTTGGCTTCAAAAATGTCAAGGTAACAGGAGAACCAAGAGGGAGCAAGAGTTCCCGGATGCCATTAAGAAAATCATTGAGGAGAAAGGATATCTGCCTGAAGAGGTTTTGAATTGCAGAGAAAAATGCCCTATTCTGGAAAAAAAAAAAAAAAAACCACAAAGGGTATTTATTAGTAAGAAATAGAAGGAGTACCAGGATTTAAGGGAGGAAGGGATAGTTTATGCAAATGCAGTTGAATTTACCATCAGCAATGCTCTTATCTATAGAGCTGCTAACCCCTGAGCCTTGAAGGGAAAAGATAACCAGCTGTCAGTCTTTTGGTTTCACAACAAGAAGGCCTGGACAAGTGCCCTTTTTTCTGGATTGGTTTCTTTGCTTTGTCCTCGAATTCAGAAAATACCTTGCCACTAAGGATCTGCATTTTAAAATGCCTTTGATATTGAACAATGCACCTGGACACAGAGAACCCTGTGAACTCAATATTAAAGATGTCAAAGTGGTCAACTTGCCCCACACCAAATATATATATATGTATTTCAGCCTTGAAATGAGGTGGTAATAAGGACCTTTAAGTCTCATTACACATTGTACTTTATGGAAAGGATTATCAATGCTATGAAAGAGAACTCAGAGAATGTTATGAGAGTCTGGAAGGATTACATTATTGAAGATGCCAACATTGTTATACAAAAATCCATAAAAGCCATTAAGCCTGAAACAATAAATTCCTGCAGGAAAAACTGTTTCCAGATGTTGTGCATGACTTCACAGGATTTATGACAGAGCCAATTAAGGAAATCATAAAAGAGATCATCGATATGGCAAAACAAACAAACAAAAAAAACCCACAAAATGTGGTGTGGGGATGGTGAAGGGTTTCGATATATGGACCTTGGAGAAATCTAAGAGCTAGTAGGCAGCACACTAGAAGAATAACAGAAGGTGACTTGAAGGAAATGGGCATTTCCAATCCAGTACCAGATAATGAGGAAGAAGATGTAGAAGCAGCAGGGCCAGAAAACAAGTTGACATTCAGTAATCTGGCAAAAGGGTTCCAATCATTCAAGATTGCGTTTGACTTCTTTTATGACATGAGTCCTTCTATGATATGGGCACTGAACCTAAAACAAACAGTGGAAGAAAGATGGCCATCATATAAAAACATTTTTAGAGAAATAGAAAAGCAAAAAAAAAAAAGACAGAAATTGCTATGTATTTTCATTAATTACACTGACTGTGCCTCTCCTACCTTCCCTTTGACATCTCCCACCTCTTCAGCCTCTGATACCCCTGAGACAAGTCCAACCCCTTCCCTTCCTCTTTCCCCTCAGCCTACTCAATGTGAAGATGACAAGGATGGAGACATGATAATCCACTTCCACTTAGTGAATACTAAATACATTTTCTCTTTTGTTATAATTTTCTTAATAATGTTTACTTTTCTCTGACTTACTTGTCAGAATATAGTATATAATCCATATGTCATACAAAATATGTGTTAATTGACTGGTTATATAATTAGTAAGGCTTCTGGTAAACAACAGTCCTTAATACAAGGCTGGAATAAATATTATATCAAACTGTGGGAAATCCATAAGAGACTGAGAAATTAATAAATAATTTTTGGTTAAATTTATTAAATCATTGCATAATTCCTATAAAATATTTTTATCCTTAATTTCTATAATGTAGTGGAAATAATAAAGGCTTGAGAATGACAATCCCTGCTTCTCTATGTGAACAAAAACTTGATTACATACCTGACTTTTCTAAATCTAATTCCATTAGTAAATTACATGATACTAATGCCCATTTAAGGGCATAGTCTGAATTAAAGAAATGAGGTAATTGTCATATGCCTACCACAACATAGGCACTTAATATAAATGTTACTTTGAATAATATTTCTTATGTTATCAACCGCTTTATACTGGTTTTGTTCCCAATAATCTCCTGGCTATTTTTCTATCTCAGTTTGACCTAATCTCTCAATAATATCCATATTATTATAATATGTATCCATATTACACATTGTTCCATGTAGACTAACATGTAAACACTCAGTTCCCATTACCAGCAGATAAAGTACAAAATTGGTAATTTTTTATGTTTTGTTTATTCAACAAGTATTAATTTGAAAACCTACCAAATGCCAAGGGATGTCTAGGCTCTGGAGATAGTAATTAACAATTGTTGATAAATTACATAAAGAAAAATAAAGCAGGAACAGAGAAAGGGTAGAGCTTTGTTCCAATGTGGAATTTTGTTTTGGGTTACACTTTTAAATAACTAGAGAAAGCCTTTCTGAAAAGGCGGCACTTTATCAAAGACCTGCATGTATCTGAAAGGAAGAGGAAATAGAAAATTCAAGGCCCTAAGGCCGGAAGGTCATATTTAGGTAATAATAAGCTTGGTACAGAAAAAGGGAAGGTCACGACACAGGACAAAAGTAAAATAATAAGAAGAAGAAGACTAGGTAATGTAGGGTTTGCTTAAACTTAAGAGTAAGCTGGTAATCGACCGGAGAATAAGAAGATAGAAGGATAGGAGATGACTTGGGGATACGGACAGAAAATTTGAGAGCAAAACAGTGATTTGATGTATGTGTGAAGAATAGACTGTAGAGACAGAATCAGAAGATTGATGAAGGAACCAGAAGAGTGATGAAGGGGCTATCACAACAATACAGAAAAGAAGATAATGATGGCTTGGCCCAGGATGGTCGATGTGGAGGTGGTGAGACACAGAGAGTCTGAAGGTAGAACCAACAGAATTAACTAATAAATCACACAGGATATCTGAAAGTGAGGCATCAGTAGTTGGCAGGCACAGATGTAAGCTCTAAGGTCTCTATTCAAGAAAATAAATCCAGCCCAACTCTGAAAAATATAATTAGCTCGTGGTTTCCAACTGCTAGTTCCTTTGGGGTTTGCTTCAGCTTTCGAGCCAAGGTCATGCTATTCTCAGGGTGGTCCCACCTAAGTAAGAACAATAGCTGTGTAAGATGATGTTGCCATGGGCACATTTTACTTAGAATAGCTCCCAGTTAAAAACTGAGTGAATTGTGCAGGGACTTAATCATTTGTTATGGATCTTCTCATTGGTGGATAGCAACTGTCAAATTAAAAGGATGACGTCCGATAGTTCCCCCTACCAAATCATGCTTCCTCCCTTTACCTTTCACAGATGTCACCCCTCACAAGTCATTTGTACTCGTATGTCAATTTCTGAAACTAGAATTCTCAGATTTTAAGAAAACAGCCTGTCCTAAGGAATTATTTCTTCCTGATGATCAAATTATCTCATTTAGCTTAGAATTTTTTGAGAGGAAAAGTACAACATTCCAATATGTGCATCAAATGTAACTACAGAGATGAAGACTCAACTTCCCTTTGGGGCATAAGCATCTGCATATATTCCCTGAGTCCTGTATTGTCCAAAACTCTATATAAACTTTGCTTGCACAAAAAACATGACATCTCATGAAGTCTACTTATCTTAATGCCAGAATTTGATGAAAGAGAGAACAAATTCCTTTTCTTTCATGTAAACGTTTTAAAAATGTTTGAAATCAGCTATCCCAATTACCTATGTCTTTCCTCCTTTTAAGTTAAGTATTCTGAAGCTTTTTTTTTTTCTTTCTTTTGATATTGTTGTTCTATTTGATCTGGGAAAGAAAAAATACTCTACTGGAAGTCAGAATTCAATCAATTGAAATATCTTCAAATATATGGACTGTGTAATGACAGATTACTTTATAGCTAAAATGTAAAATGTAGAAAATAATAGTGTTAGCAGTTACACAAATTTTCTATTTTTATAATATTACATATGACAAATTAAGTATCATAATATTTCAATGTAATTCTATATAATTGTGTCTATATGTGTACTCATGTGTATGTGGCTTTATTATCTATATCTGAAATAATATTTCATAGGTTATCATGTAGTAAAAATAACATTGAATTTGAAAATGAAAACCTGATAAAAAGCAATCCAAAAATTCACATGGAACCACAGCTCCCAAATAGCCAAAGTAATCTTGAGAAAAAAAAAAATCTGAAGTTTTCATTCTACCTGAATTCAGAATGTACTACAAAGCTACAGTAATTTAAGAAAGCATATTACTGGTATAAAAACAGGCAAATGGACCAATGAAACAGGATAATGACTCTAGAATAAACTCACATATTTATGTTCAGTTTATTTTTTATCAAGATGCCAGGAAAACACAGTGGATAGCTTCTTCAAAAAATGGTGTTGAGAAAAGTGAAAATCCACACACAGAATGAAATTAGATCCTTATCTCACACCATACACAAAAATCAACTTGAGATGTATTAAAGTTTTAAACATAAGACATTAAACTGTAAAACTACTAGAAGAAACATAAGAAAAAAGCTCTCTGACATTTGGTCTGGGCAATAAATTTTGGGGTGTGACCCCAAAAGCACAGGCAACAAAAGCAAAAATAGACAAACAGATTTACATCAAACTAAAAATCTTCTGCACTGCAAAGGAAACAATCGACAGAGTGAAAAGACAACCTATGAAATGGGAGAATTTTCAAACCATTTGATAAGGGGTTAATATCAAAAATTTGTAAGGAACTCAATCAACTCAATAGGAAACATAAATAACCCAATTAAAATTGGGCAAAAGACTTAAATAGACATTTCTCAAAAAAAGACATACAAATGTATGTGAAAAAATGCTCAACATTACTAACCTTTAGAGAAACGCAAATTAAAACAATGAGATATCACCTCACACTTATTGTAATGGCTGTTATCAAAAAGACAAAAAAGAAAAAATACTGTTTAGGATGTAGAGAAAAGGAACTCTTATACACTGTTGGTAGGAATATTAGCTAGTAACAGCCACGATGGAGAACATTATGGGGGTTCCTCAAACAACTACAAACAGAACTATCATGTAATTTAGTAAAACCACAACCGAGCATTTATTCAAAGAAAAAGAAATCGGTATACCAAAGAAATGTCTGCACTTTCATGTTTATTGTTTTCTATAACATTTATAGATATAACACATATCACAAATGTATATGTGATACACACACACAGATGCAACTATATTATTCAGCTTTAAGACAATTTCAAAAAGAAGGAAGTCTTGCCATTTGAGATAACATGGATAAACCTGGAGTGCATTATGTAAAGTGGAATAAGCCACACATAAAGAAAAATACTACATGATATCACTTATATGTGGAGTCTAAAAAAGTTGAACTCATGAAAGCAGAAATTAGAATGTTTGTTATCAGGGGCTGGGGAAATGTTGGTCAAAGTATACGAAATTTCAGATAGGAGGAATAAGTTCAAGAGATCTATTGTAATTGTATTCTGAAAATTGCTGAGAGTAGAATTAAAGTGTTCTTTCCACAAACAATAATAAGTATGTGAGGTAGTATGTTAATCAACTCAACTGAGCCAGTCCACATTGTATACATATGTCAAAACATTATGTGTACATGATTAATACATACAATTGTTATTTGTGAATTAAAAATAAAGTCAACATAAATAAATAAATACATAAATAAATAAATAAGACAGAAACATGAATTCCAAGTTCTGACTTTGCTAATTTTTATGGACTTAACAGAGGCAAGTCATGCTTGCTTAACCCTAGTTACTTATTTTGAAAAAGTGGAATAATAGATGTAAACCTTTCATAAACTATATAAATATATAAGCATATAAGTTATTGTTGATTTATCAGTTTTTATGTCTGATTGGTTAGCTAATCTATTATAATATTCAGGTATTAAATCACGTTTTCTGTCTGATTCAATTAGCAGTTATCTACGTAGTTTAAAAGGCGTAAATCACCCACCTCATTTTCAAGTGAATTGATTTCTTGAAGATAAACTTGTAAACAGTCAATCTAATTGATCTTGGAGAATTTGCCTACAGTACTGTCTAAAGGCAGAGTATGCTTAGCATGTGTTTGTCCATTTATTCATTTCACAAGCAATCATTCAGTGTTCATTGTCTTTTAGAAGACATGTGCTAAATCTAAACCAATGCCCAATATTGTGGTATTCTGGTAAAAGATAAACCAAGGTTATTGCTTGTAACATTCACTCTAATTAACTAAAAAAACAGAAATAATAGTAAATTACAAATATGTGTATTCAAGATATTTTAAATACAAAGATATAATTCTACTCATTTATGTTGTTATACAATTATCATTTTTTTGTACTTCAAGCATCATTTCTAGAAAACACTAAGACCTCTTATTTTTTATTTCTCTTCAAATTTGATTTGTTATATAATGGAATGTCATTAATGTAAATTAAAAACAAGCTATATATGTGCATGTATATATAAACATATTATCTCTAAAGCTTCATTAATTTCCCACTAATTGAAGCTGTAACACTGTCTTCAGAGTAGGGTCATATGATAAAGAATTTACTGTAACACTTTGGTGTAATTTTAAACAACTAGATTAATTTATCTATTCATCCATCATTCCTTCATTCAATATATAATGTTTTGTTTTCTTCTCTGTGTCAGCTCAATTCCTCAGAATATAAAATGTGCTTAATACTGCTTTGTCTTCCCTTTCTGAAAATTCTTACCTTGGAGAGAGAAGAGACAAAATTTGAGGGATGGCAGGTTTTTTTTTTTTTTATTTTTTCTGTGTGTGTGATTTTGGGTTGGTCCTAAAAGTAGAGTTATGTAAGAGGAGAGTTCCTTATGTTCTCCATTTGGTTTCTAAGCTTCTTCATATATTGTTTATTGAAAGCTGGCCATTAAAATCTGAATGTGATGTGATCCTAACTCATTTTTCCAGACTAGAGTGTATTCTCTTGGGATGAAATAAAATTGATGCTTTTTGGTAGGATTCTGCCACTGGAGGCAGCTCTAGATGAGAAATAAATTCTCTAGGCATCTATGGATTCCCTGTGGCTCTTACATTTATGAGTGTACACTCATTTGTTCAGACATTTCTGGATTTCTTAGAAGACAGCACAGCAGTGTAAAATGATTCTTAAACTTATCCTCGTGTAATGCCTATATAAGCTGGTGGTTTAAGAATTTTGGAAACAATTAGAGAAATCAACCTTTCTTACACAATATAAAAATGGTGACATAATAGTTATAATAAAAAACCCTCCAGATTGATAGTCCATTAATTAAAAAGTCCTTTTTATTTTCATTAGCATTACTGCAATTTCTTATACACCAATAATCTCATTTTATGTAAAATAACAGTTCAGTCTCTCAAGCCAAACTGAAATATAAAATCCTATTTCACAAACCAGAAAATGTTTACCAACCTCCCGGGTGAAAGAGCTATATATTTTGAATACATTGTCATTAAGGAAAGTTGCCACACATATACAGCTCGAATGTTTGTACCATTTTAGCTTGGATTTATTACTAATTTTAATGAGACTTTGTGTAATCAGAATAATGCCAAGGTATAAACTGAATATATTTCTGTAATGAAAATCGAGATAATGATTATGGCTTCTGATGCATTTAATGTGATAAAGCCAATAATGAGTAATTTTGTAGGCAATTACTTTACAAAATACTTTTATTATGCATTATCATATAGAATATTTGTTGAAATAAAACAAGTACATTACCAATATCAATGCTGTTGTGTAAACAATATGTGGCACAATATGGTATAACATTTTAAAACTAAAATAATAAGACTACTGTTGGTTTACTTTAATCTTAATATTCTCTAAACAGTTCTGAAATCTAAGGTTATAGCTGTATAAACAATGGTTAGGATAATAATTTTAGTGCTTTTTTGAGTCTTTATATAATGGCTACTTATTAAAAGAAAGCTTTTTTGAAATCTTAAATCTTAGTTCTCCAGGTGAAATTGTAAGTGTGCAAAGGCCAGGATAGAAAAACAACCAGATTTGTAGTATTATAATGATGTAATAAGAAAGAAAAATATATAGACTTCCACAAAAATAACAGCCTGGTTCTAAAATCTGAAAGCCATCAGAATCATGTAGAAATCTTATTAAATATTGATCCTTGCCTGGCCAACCCAAAGATGCCTATGTTTAACTATTTTAACATATTTGTATCTATATTCCTATATGATATATGATAATGACATATGATTTCAACATGTGATATGTGACATATACACACATATACATATATATTTAGTTTTGCCTATCTTAAATGTTACATAAATGAATTAATGCACATACTCTTCTAACATCTGTTTCCACTTTATTTTGATAAATATCATATTCATTCACTTCCATTATCATATAGTATTCATCTATTTGAACATGGCACAATTATTTAGTCATTGTCTTCTTCATAAACATTTGTGTTATTTTATTTTACTTTATTTCACTATAGCAACAATGCTGATGTTGATGATTTTCTCATGCCTTCCGGTGAATTTATATAGTGTATCTGTATAGAGAATTAATATTTATATAAAGAACATTCTTAGGAGAATTGATGATTGTTAGGTTTGCATGTATTCAATTTTAATAGGTAAAACTAAATTATTTTCCAAAGGTTTTGCACAAATTTATATGCCTACAAGAAGTAGATGAGAATCCTGATTGCTCTATATCTTTGCCAATACTTATTTTTATGTGGTAAATAAAATAATTAAAATTATATTTTTAAACTATTTTGTGTTTCCCTGACTGCTAATGAGATTACGCATCTTAGTTATGTTTGTGGACCATTCTTGTTTCCTCTTTTGGCAATGCCAATTCCTGTTTTTTGCCTATTGGATTGTTTATTTCTTATTGATTTATAGGAAGTTCCTCAACAAAATAAAAGCTGTATATGGCAAACTCACAGCTAGGAAGCTTTTCCTCTAAGTACTGGAACAAGACTAGAATGCCCACCTGTACCACTCTTATTTAACATAGTACTGGAAGTCCTAGACAGTATTGGGCAAGAGGAATAAATAAAGGGCATCCAAAGTGGAAAAGAGGAAAAAACATCAAATTTTTCCTGTTTGCAGATGGCATGATCTTATATATCAAAAAACCAAAAGACTACATTACACCTCTTAGAACTGATAAATTCAATAAAGTTGCAGAATAGAAAACCAACTTAAAAATTAGTAGATTTCTATACATGAACAACAAACTAGCTGAAAAAAAAAATCAAGAAAGCAACCCCATTGACAAAAGCTACACAAAAAATACCTAGTAAGAAATTTAATCAAGAAGGTAAAAGACCTGTACAAGAAAAACTTCAAAATACTGATGAAAGAAATTGAAGCAGATACCAAAAACTTGAAAGACACCTCATGCTTTTGAATCAGAAGAATTAATATTGTCAAAATGATCATGTTACCTAGAGCAATCTACAGATTTAATGCATTCCCTATCAAAATACCATTGACATTCTTCACAGAAATAAGAAAATAATCTTGAAATTTGTATGAAATTACAAAAGACCCCACATAACCAAAGCAATCTTGAGCAAAAAGACCAAAGCTTGAAGCATCACACTACCAGACCTTAAAGTATACTATAAAGCTGTGGTAACCAAAACAGCATAGTACTGCCATTAAAACAGACCAGAACAATGGAACAGAATTGAGAGCCCCCCAAATTAACTCACATATCTATAGCCACCTGATTTTTGACAAATGCACCAAGAACATTCACTGGGGAAAGAACATTCTCTTCATTACATTGTGCTGGGAACACTGGATATCCATATTCAGAAGAATGAAACTAGACCATCACCTCTCATCCTATACAAAAATCATCCCCAAAAGGATTGAAGACCTAAATGTAAGACTCAATACCATAAAACTACTAAAAGAAAACATAAGGGTGATGCTTAGAACACTGGTATGGGAAAAGACTTTATGAATAAGACATCAAAAGCACAGGCAACAGAAACAAAAATGAAAAAGTGAGATTTTATGAAACTAAAAACCTTCTGTACAGAAAATGAAACAATCAACAGAATGGAAAGGTAACCTACAGAATGGGGGAAATATTTGCAAACCATTCATCTAATGAGGATTAATATACAGAATATGCAAGGAAGGCAAACATTTCAACAGCAAAAAAAAAACAACAACAACAAGAAAATAATATGACTTAAAAAGTAGGCCAAAGGAGACATACAAATGGCCAACAAATATGTGAAAAAATGCTCAATTTCAGTAATCATCAGAGAAATGCAAATCAAAGCCACAGTGAGGTATCATCTTCCCTCCTAGTTAGTATGGCTATTAACAAAAAGACAATTTTTGTTATTATCAAAAAAATAACAAATGCTGATGAGAATTCACAAAGAGCAGAACCCTTACATACTGTTGGCAGGAATAAACTTGTACAGTCATTGTATAGAATGATATGGAGGTTTCTCAAAAAACTACACAAAACTATGATGTGATCCAGTAATTCCACCACTGTGCATTTATCCAAAGTTAAAAAAAGAAAATCACTGTATCAAAAGGACATTTACACTTTAATGTTTATTTCAGCACTATAACAATAGCCAGAATATGGGATCAACCTAGGTGTCCAATAACAGACGAATAGAAAAAGAAAATGTGGTTAGAATATACACACAAAGGAATACTATTTAGCCATAAAAACAAATGAAATCCTGTCATTTGTGGAAACATGGATAAAACTGGATGAAATTATGTTAGTTAAATAAGCCAAGCACAGAAAGACAAATATCACATTTCCTCACTCACATGTGGAAGCTAAAAATGTTGATATCATAGAAGTAAAAAGTAAAACAAAAATACTAGAGGCTGGGAAGGATAGGAGGAAGGGAGGATGGGGAGAGATTTGTTAAAGGATACAAAATCACAGCTAGATAGGAGCTATAAATTCTAGTGCTCTATACCACAATAGGACGACTATTGTTAACAATAATATATAGTTTCAAATAGCTAAAAGGAAGATATTGAATGTTTCTAACACCAAGAAACAACTGTTTGAGATGATAGTTTTGCTAATTACCCTGATCTAATCACTATGTGCCCCTAAAATATATATGATTATATGCCAATTAAAAAATTAAAAATCCTTAGATTAAGTATTGGTAGTATGTCTCTCATTTTGTTTTCTTTTCTTTTTCTTGTTTTCTTTCTTTTTTTTTTCTTTTTTTTTTTTTTTTTTTTGTCTGTTTGTTTGTTTTGAGCTAATGGAATCTAGCTCTGTCATCCAGGCCGGAGTGCAGTGGACCATCCTAGCTCACTGCAACCTCCACCTCCCGGGATCAAGGAATTCCCTGCTTCAGCCCCCTGAGTAGCTGGGATTACAGGCCCACACCACCACGATGGGCTAAATTTTTTTTGTGTTTTTAGTACAGACGGGGTTTCACCATGTTGTCCAGGTTGGTCTCAAACTCCTGACCTCCACTGATCTTCCCGCCTCGGCTTTTCAAAGGGCTGGGATTACAGGCATGAGCCACCTCACCTGGCCTCTCACTTTCTTATTACACAATATTGATTTTCACTTTTGTGTCTTTTGATGAATTGTAAGCCTCATTATTTATGTAGTCAAATTAATCAGTCTCTTTATTTGTGGTTTATAATTTTTGTGTCTTGTTTAATAAATGTCACCTCTAAAGAGACTCTAAAATATAATTTATTCTTTCATTTTATTTACACAGTATAATTATTTATTTTTCATTTAATTCCTTAGCCCTCTCGAAATTGATGTTTTTGTTATTATTTACTTGGTGAGAAACACATTCAAAATCTCTCTCCTTTTCTTCCTTATAATTAACCAGTTCCAACCACATTTCTTGTATAATCCATTCTTTTTCTTCTTTCCATCATTGAGTTGTATTTACCCATGTATTAAATGTCAGATTTTCAAACACAAGTCTGTTTCTGGCTTAAAATATTCTATTGGTTAATTGTTTCTGCACATTCAGTGGTACACTATCTTAATTTTCATAATTTCCAAGGCAGTCTTTCTAGGCAGACCCTCTCAAATAATTTTTTTAAAAAATCAACTTGGCCCTTATTAATCTTCTGCTTGTTCATATGACTTTTAGAATTAAGTAATCAATTTATAAGAAAATCCTGGCCAGGCGCAGTGGCTCACGCCTGTAATCCCAGCACTTTGGGAGGCCAAGGCGGGCGGATCATGAGTTCAGGAGATTGAGACCATCCTGGCTAACATGGTGAAACCCCGTCTCTACTAAAAGTACAAAAAATTAGCTGGGCGTGGTGGCGGGCACCTGTAGTACCAGCTTCTCGGGAGGCTGAGGCAGGAGAATGGCGTGAACCTGGGAGGCAGAGCTTGCACTGAGCCGAGATCACGCCACTGCCCTCCAGCCTGGGTGACAGAGTGAGACCTTCTCAAAAAAAAAAAAAAAAGAAAGAAAGAAAATCCTTACAACAATATATCAGAAATGATATTTTTTAATAATTGAAATTTTCTACCTGTCAATGTCGATATAATATTTCATTTATTCTTACTGAATACTTTCAAAAAAGATAATTTTTTCTCCTTAATAGTCATAAATTGTATTTTACTTATTTTCATGTGCATTATGTTTTTGTCACTACATAAATGGAATTTTAATTTTTTTAATTTTGTGTATAGAAATGCAATAAACAACTTTTTATTTTTACTTTTTTATTTGTTGAGACAGGGTTTCACTATGTTGCCCAGGTTGGTCTTCAACTGCTGGGCTCAAACAACCTTCTTGCCTCAGCCTCCCCAGTAGGTGGGATTATAGACATTAGACTCTGTACCTGATCAATAAATGACTTTTAATGTTGATTTTATGCTAGAAATATTGGTGAAATAACTCATTTTTTTCTTATTTCTTTTCTGTAGATATTGTAATGATTTTTATACAGATCAAACCATATGCAAATAGTGACACTTTTGGCTTCTTCCTTTTCAATACTGATGGTTTTTAGCCCTTAACTTATGACCTATAACTGTTGTTCAATGTTGAATGAAATGGTAGTAGCTACTGTGTTGTCCTAGTTCTAACACTAAAATAAATGCTTTTTACTTTCCACCATTGAGTATTTTGTTTCTTGTAGATTTTTTGTGCTCTTTATCCAGTTTAATAAGTCTAATGTTAGTTTTCAAAGACATATATCTAATGTTTTTAACTGTTATCAAAAAGTGTTATTACATGCATTGAAAGAGTTCTATCTACTTCGTTTGTACAGAATTGATTTGGAAATTTACATTAATCAACTTTCTAATAATGAACCAGCCCCATGGTCCAAGAATAAACCATTTTTGGTCATAATGTTTTTCTGTCATCAGAGTAGTAAAGTGACTTGCTAAAATTACTTTTTAAGATTTGCTCATCATGTTTAAGATTTGACATTAATTTCCCTGTCTTATTTTCCTTTTTCTGTGTGTTTAATAGCAAATGTATATTAACTCTCTGAAAAATGTATTGGGGTTATATTCCTACTCATTATTTGAGATATTTTTATAGCTTTTAAATTTTATGTAATATTATAGTCATTTTTTCTTTGTTTATCTAATACAAATCCCCTCAAAATCCCTCTTGGAACATGGGTTATTTGTAGGATTATTTTAAATCAAAGATTTCACTTATAGTAGTTATAGTACTTATGATATATTTTTTAAATGGTCTTTGAGTCCTGGCAGAAGACTCTTAAAGCCCTCGGTATTCTCTGAGTAGTAAGAGTGGCAGGAGAATTTTTTGTTCTAATGAGGATGATTCCTGGTGGGCCCTTGATAGTGTCAGAATGGATTGGTTGGAGGAAAAGACCAAACTTTGATTAGAAGCTTGGAAGTTTTAGCCCTACTCCCTGGTCTGTGGGAAGTGGGGAAGAGGTGGAGATTAAGTTAATCAGCAATGTTCAATTATTTGATCAATCATGCCTATGTAATTAAACCTCCATTTAAAAATACTAAAAGATGAGGTTCAGATAGCTTGCAGATTGGTGAACACTGAGGCAGTGGGTGGGTGGTGCTTCCAGAAAGGGCATGGGACTCTGTACCCCTTCCTTCCCACAACCCTTGCTCCATTCATATCTTCCATTTAACTGTTCTGTATAATAAACTGGATTCTCGTCCCAGCAAAATCTGGAAGGGCCTTTAGCCATTCCCACTGTAGCCCTGTCCTTGTTAAGTAGCTAGACAGAGACTAACCCTGCCAGAACCTCTTCCCTTTAGATGTTTCTTCATTTCCCCCAAATTATTCCTGGGCCCACATGCCAAGCTCTCTGGATGATTTATGTGCAAGCCCTACTCATACTCACTTGTAATAAGGTGAAGGGAAACCTCTTTATCACATAGATATAGATTGTACAGAAACATATAACACCACAACAATTCTCTAATGACTTATTTTTTTCTCCTTAGAGCATCTTTAACTTTGTTGTAAAGAAGATAAGAGGTGATTAATAAGCTAATCAATACATGTCAAATTGTTCTTTATATTCTTTGAGGATATACTACTTAAGTGATCCAGCACTTGATTTGAGAATGTGGGGACACTTGCACTTACTTTGCTATTCTTTGTCCCTAATAGAAATGATTACATTTTATTTGTTTATTTTTTTTGAGATGGAGCCTCACTCTGTCGCCCAGGCTGGAGTACAGTGGCATTATCTTGGCTCACTACAACCTCCGCCTCCCGGGTTCAAGTGATTCTTGTGCCTCAGCTTCCCAAGAAGCTGGGAATACAGGCACACACCACCACAGCTGGCTAATTTTTTGTATTTTTAGTAGAGACGAGTTTTCACCATGTTGGCCAGGCTGGTTTTGAACTCCTACCTCAGGTGATCTGCCCACCTCGGCCTCCCAAAGTTCTGGGATTACAGGCATGAGCCACTGTGCTCTGCCCAATGATTAAATTTTATGCAATCTATTAAAAATTAATTAAAATCTATTAAAAATCTATTTAAAAACATTAAAAATATCACATATGCCTCACACACTCAAAATGTTTATAAGATCTGAGGTAAGAGCTCTTGCAAAATTCCTTTTCACTCTCCCATGACCTGTTGGCTCCTTAGGGTGTTAAAATGCTTCATTAGAAAAGTAAACAATCTTTTTTCTTTCTGTCCATACTTTTACCTTTAAAATCAAATAATTTGTTTATTTGATTACTCAAATACATGTGCAATTTTGATTAGTTTTAAGCAATAAAAGAAATTGGTTTATGCATTATATCTATATTATTACCTGTGACTTAATTGTACCACACCTTTTTCTTGTTCTTTTTCAAAACTGGTATTATACTGTTTTAACATAGTTGTATTTGTTAACTACTCCAAAGACCTTTTTTGTAATAAAGCAAGTGCTTTTGTATCTCATTGTTCTTTTGGTGACCAAGCAAATATTAATATCTACTCAGCTCCTTCCCTGATATCTATTTGGTGGGGAGTTCTTCTGCTTCCATGTTCAAAATAACTTCAGTATAACCTCCTTTTCTTTGTTTCAAATGCTGCTAGCCTATTCACTTATTCATTTGTCTAAGACTATTTTATCATCATCCTCTTTTTTTTTTTTTTTTTTTTTTTTTTGAGACAGAGTCTCGCTCTGTCGCCCAGGCTAGAGTGCATTGGCACGATCTCGGCTCACTGCAACCTCCGCCTCCCAGGTTCAAGCGATTCTCCTGCCTCAGCCTCCTGAGTAGCTGGGACTACAGGCACGTGCCACCACGCCTGGCTAATTTTTTTGTATTTTTAGTAGAGACGGGGTTTCACTGTGTTAGCCAGGATGGTCTCGATCTCCGGTCCTCATGATCTGCCCACCTCGGCCTCCCAAAGTGCTGGGATTACAGGCGTGAGCAACCGTGCCTGGCCTCATCCTCTCTTTTAACAAATATACTTTAGCCAGTCTCCTTAGCTCTAGTTTGTCCTCATTCTGAAAGGACATTTGCATATATTATGTGACTGAAGAAGAGGGTCAATAAAGAAACCCCAAAGAAAGGTAGGAATGCAGTTGAGCTACAGGAACAACTATAAACAAGAATGGGCATGAATCATGAATTTATCATTATCTACTTTCTCTGTATTTATTCCTGTTTAGAGCACACTGCGTTTCTCAGATAGCCAAAACATGACTCCTGGAAAGCAATTCCCAAGTTATACATATGGACATTTCTTCAAGTGGAGAAGAACATAAACATTTTCTCAGTCCTGAGTTTAACTGACAGCACCAGTTGTAAGAATACTGAAGCATTTCCATACACTTAGATGAATAGCTACAATTTGTCACCCTTGTCACTCCTGTGCCTCCCTGGGACCCACCTGAACATCAAGCAAATGAAGTTTATTCCTCATTCAGCAGGGGTCATTCTGCATCCTGTTTCCCTGTATATTCTGTTTTTCGGTGTTCTTGACTAGAGCTCATTAAATATGTTAAAAAAATCATCTCTAGATTGATCTTCCTAATACAAGGGAAGAAACTAGCTCTCCTAGTTCATATCTATATATGTAAAATATTATATATATGTATAATCTAAGTGTGACCCAATATATTTTATATTTTATATTAAGCTTTATTTTTATTCAGTTAAGACAAAATTTACTAAAGATATAATAATATGATATATTTTACAAAATACTTGATATAGTATTACTTCTTCATTCCCCTTTCCATTTCTTCCATTTCTTTTCCTTTTTTTAAAATTGCCTTTTCTATTTAAAGAAGATAGAAATTACTTTTGATTTGAGAATTGATTGATAGTCAATTCTGAGGTATTTCCTGAAAGGCATCTCTCTCTACTCGTCTGAAACTTTAGTCACTTGATTTCAGTTTAGAGGATATTTCCTTGATCTCATTGCTACTTTAAAAGTCTTATAATCAAAAGAGACATTCTTCCACTTCACCTTGAGCACATCTTTATAGTAATTCATCTGACCACTCTTTCTATCTGGGAAAGCTTTGGGTATTTTATTGCACTGATTCTTTATAAGACATGTCCCAAGTACATAAAAGCTAAGTGATACCAGATATTGCTTTAAAATTAACTAAAATGCATGTAGCTGCTGCCTTAATTATGATTATTCAGTTAGTAAAATGACACAGATGAATATCTTTTGGAAACTGCAACTCATAGAAAGACAATTGGACAGATGGATTCTACAGGAGGTACTGTTGGCAAAACATACTTTTTTTAAACTGTAAGGGTGATAAGATGACAAGCATATTTGGTTACAAGTTTTATCTCTCCACGAGTAAATAGTGAGCAGTTCATACTACTTTGATTCTTGTTGCTCTATAAAGTTAATGCTTTTTCTTTTTTAAATTTGCTTCTTTGAACTTCTCTTTCTAAATTGCAAAAACAAACAAACAAAAAAAGGCAGCTCTTTCCTAGCTGGTTCAAGTATATTGGATGTTATCTACAGATTGCAGATAAAAAGGTCTTTAAAAACAGAAAGACCATTGTATTAGTCTGTTATCATGCTGCTATGAAGAAATACCTTAGACTCGGTAGTTTAAAAAGAAAACAAGTTTAATTTACTCACAGTTCTGCAGGTTGGGGAGGTCTCAGGAGACTTATAATCATGGTGCTCTTCACATGGCAATAGGAGAGAGAAGTACCGAGCAAAGGGGGAAGCCCCTTATAAAACCATCAGATCTTGTGAGAATTCACTCACTACCACAAGAATACCATGGGGGAAACTGCCCCCATGATTAAATTATCTCCACCCTGTCCCACCTTTAACTCGTGGGGATTATTACAATTCAAGGTGAGATTTGAGTGGGGATACAGCATCAGACCATATCAAGGAGTTATGGTCAACTACTACATATCTTTATCATATTTCTAAATTGATTTTGTTGATTTATCCAAGCCTATAAGCACATAATTCAGTATTTGGGATCCAGAAAAATGATGAACAACACACTAGTCAAAGAAACTAGTCAATTTAATATATATCACTTGTTATGAACTAGATTTCATATTTTTCATGTTGAAAGATGAAAATCTTGTTAAATAATCTCAAAACTTTTCAAAACCATATTTTTCCCAGTAGAACAGTAAACTCAACACGTTTTTTTGCTGAAATTTGAAGCATTGTGCACACTCTTCAAAGGAATAAAAAATACCAGATTAGCCATTGATTATGAGATAAAGGATTTTTGAAACTCATTTAGGGTTTGATTATATGGGATTTTCTTTAAAAATATTTTTTAAATTTTATTAAATATATATCTCAAAGTAAATTAGAACATAATTATTGAAAGTAATTATTTCTGTGACTTGTGAATAGATCAAGAAGCTGAAGAGCAGTAACTTGGTTACTACTTCTCATATAGGCAAGATCATACACTGTCAACAACACATTATATATAATATTGACATTCTACTAACTTAATCTGATCATATTTGAAGGTCTGTTTTTCTCATTTTTTTTACAGTTTGTTCATACATGTAGTTCAGAAAAGACCTTAAACAATAAATGTATAATGCCAAAAATTTCTTTCACAATTATTTGAATAATAGTTTTGAATATAAATGACAATATCTAAAAACTCTTAAGAGAGATTGTTTCCATCTTTGAATATCATATCTTCAAATCATCTTATTAATGTATTCGTTAAATGAGTTTTACCTCAAGTTCCTAATATATGTTGTTTTGTCATTGATTATTTAAATTCAAGCACCATGATGGGTACTTACCTGGGAAGGCTGCATTTCTTAATTCACCTTTGACTCACCTACAAATTTATAGACAAGTTGACACTTCATTAAGTATAAAGAAAGATACTGTTTTGATGATATTATACAACCTTTTCAAGTAAGGTAGAGGTGAGCTATGCTTTTCCCTAAATAACCTTAGTGGCTATAATTTCTCTGAAAATAATTAAACATCACATTTTATCATAAGCAGTACATCATATAGAGTAAGTAGTATAATGTTCATGCTCTTCTGTGGACACTTTGTTTTATTTCAAAGAATGTCCTCTAAAACCATTAGTATCTGTTAATAATGGAAACATAACTAATTTTTCTCTGCTAATTAGTCAATATGTAGATTCCTTCATAGAAAAAAAAGATTGAACAGATACACCAAGCCTACACTAAGTTGAATTTGACTTATCAGTTCTAACTGATATGGAGTTTACTTTGAACTATTATGTCTCCAATTAAAACGCTAGGGAAAATGCCACGAGTGCATTCAAGCTTTTTCTAGTCAGTCAATCTGTCATCATAGTAAGCATGGCTGTCTGTTCTGCTATTTTCCAGCGCCAGTGTGATATTCACACACCATCTGCCGACTTCCACTTATTGCTATTCAGGCTCCATTGCTGGTTATTCATTTCTCATTTTGGTCATCATAAGTCAGCATGTTTGTGAAAATCCAGTACTGCTCGCTGAACTAATACATGCACAACTGCTGTTGAATTTAGGCTTCGGGACTTATATTGCTGCTCTGATAATTTCCTATGGATTCATCTTCTGCAAAATTCATGGACTAACATATTGTCCTGAAAGCACCCAGTAAAATAAGACATTCATTTTTCAATAGAAAAGAATATGAGAAATCATCAGACATAATTTTTCTTGTTTCATCACTATTGTAAAAAGTGCAATTTTACTTTAACCCATTTGATTTTTTACTTAAAGCTCTTTTCTTTTTTTTTTTTTGTGAGATGGAGTTCCGCTCTTGTTGCCCAGGCTGGAGTGCAATCGCGCAAACTTGGCTCACAGCAACCTCTGCTTCCTGGGTTCAAGTGATTCTCCTGCCTCAGCATCCCCTGTAGCTGGGATTACAGGCCTGCACCATCACACCCAGCTAATTTTGTATTTTTAGTAGAGACGGAGCTTCTTCATGTTGGTCAGGCGGGTCTCGAACTCCCGACCTCAGGTGATCCGCCCACCTCGGCCTCCCAAAGTGCTGGGATTACAGGCTTGAGCCACCGTGCCCGGCCACTTAAAGCTCTTTTAACACTATCTTTTATTTGAATGATCTATACTTCTTAGTGTTTTACCCTACAAAAATACATATAAGAAGCAAAGTTTCCAAAAAGTCAAGGAGAAACACCTCAACTTTTACCAAAGTTCTGACTCTAAAGGTAGAAAGGAAAAAGCATAGTTTCTCATTGCTATGGATAATTATCATTTCATAGCATCCTTATGGAAAACACCTCATGTAATCTTTTTTCTCTCCTAAATTCAGACAGATACATTTAATACAAATGTGAAATATCCATCACTTCTTCTTACAAGACTCCACATGACATGCCATTCTTCAAGCAAACCTTTTTCTCTCCAAACCCACAAAATCTCTTAATTCTCCTTTTTAAACTCAAATGTTCAGGTTAAGTTGATGCTTTGGAAATTCAGATGCTAAGGTTATGCTCCTCAGATTCTGGCATCTATGCATTGCTTATTTTATTATTTCCTCTTTTATTTTTTATGCTCTCTACTGGCAGGTATGAAGAGAAAGTCCACAAATTTTTCATAGTTGAGTAATAAGAAGAAAACCTGAGAGTTTTGGATGTCCCATTTAACAGCACCCTTCCTTTGCGTCTGAGACTCCATAGACAAATGTGATTATTTTTTAGAAGGCCAATTTACCTTCCGTAACTCACCACCACTCAGTGTCTTGTGACCCTCAATACTAATCTCATTTACCCTCTATTCTTACATTTTGTGAGAAATTATTAGAAGCCCAGGGCTCCAGTTCATCTCTCTTCCTCCAGAGTTATTTCTCCTATAGAGGTCTGTATATCCTTGTGAGCTCATCTCCCTTTCTTTCCAAGCTCCTGAAATATTTTCTGAGCATTCTCCCCATGTGCTCTATAACCTCAACCTTCATGTTCTTGCTCTAACTGAAAATTAGCTCTCACTGAAGCCCAATACCTCTTTTGCAGATGGTTGCTGTTTTCTCCCTCACATTATTTTCCATTGTATTTGGATGTGGGGCTGTATTAGTTTCCTACTGCTGTTATGATGGTCATGATGAATCATGACAAATTTAGTTTCTTAAACCAACCCAAAGTTATTATCTTGTAGTTTTGCAGCTCAGAAGTCTAAAAAGCGGTTGGCAAGTCTGGATACCTTCTTGAGGCTCAAGGAGAGAGTCCATTTCCTTTTTTTGCAGCTTCTAGAGGCTGCCCACATACAAGACTCAATATGACATGCCATTCTCCAAGCATGCTTTTTTCTCCCCAAACCCACAAAATCTCTTAATTTTCCTTTTTAAACTCAAATGTTAAGGTTAAGTTGATGCTTTGGAAACTCAGATGCTAAGGCTGTGCTCCTCAGATTCTGGCATCTATGCATTGCTTATTTTATCATTTCCTCTTAATTTTTTAATGCTCTCTACTGGCAGATATGAAGAGAAAGTCCCCGAGTTTTTCATAGTTGAGTAATAAGAAGAAAACCTGAGAGTTTTGGATGTCCCATTTAACAGCACCCTCCCCTCTTGCCTCTAAGACTCCATAGACAAATGTGATTATTTTTTAGAAGGCCAATTTGCCCTCCTTAACTCACCACCACTTCTTCACTCTGGCTTCATCACTCTGACCTTTGCTTCTGTTATCATATCTCTTTCATAGGCTCTGACGCTCCTGTCTACCTCTTATGAGGACCTCTGTGACTTGGCCCACCGTGATAATCTGGGAAAACTTACCCACTTCACTAACCTTAATTAGTACATCTGAAAAGTCAATTTAGTCTTCTAAGATGATGTATTCACAGACCCTGGAGATTAGAAAATGTGCATCTTTGAGTGACCATTAGTTTATCTACTCTTGCTTTCCATTGCAGCTTCTAGACAATGATGTCATCATCTTGAAAATCAAGTATTTGACAAAATTCAACATCTTTCATAATAAAAACATTCAACAAATAAAGTATAAAAGAAATAGTCCTCAATACAATAAAGGCTATACATGAGAAGTCCACAACTAACACCACCCTCAACAGTGAAAAGTTGAACACTATGCAGCCATAAAAAAGGATGAGTTCATGTCCTTTGCAGGGACATGGATGAAGCTGGAAACCATCATTCTCAGCAAACTAACACAGGAACAGAAAACCAAACACTGCATGTTCTCACTCATAAGTGAGAGCTGAACAATGAGAACACATGGACACAGGCAAGGGAACATCACACACTGGGGCCTTTTGGGAGGTGGGGGGCTAGTGGAGGGATAGCATTAGGAGAAATGCCTAATGTAGATGACGGGTTGATGGGTGCAGCAAACCACCATGGCACATGTATACCTAGGTAACAAAACTTGTATGTTCTGCACATGTATCCCAGAACTTAAAGTATAATATATATGTAAAGTATTTATAATACCCAAAGCAATTTATAGATTGAATATAATCTCATTCAAAATTCCAATGTCATTTTTAACAGGAATGGAGAAAAACAATTCTAAAATTTATATAGAACCACAAAAGACCCCTAGTATCCAAACCAATCTTGAGTCAAAAGAACAAAGCTTGAGGCATCAACTTACCTGACTTGAAAACATATTACAAAACCAAGGTAATCAAAACAGCATGCTACTAACATTAAAACAGACACATTGACCAATGGAATAGCATAGAGAGCCCAGAAATAAAGCCACAAAATTACAGTCCATTAATTTTAGACAGAGATGCCAAGAACATATAATGCAGAAAAGACAGTCTCTTTAACTGGACCCTTTTCTCTCACCATATACAAGAATCAACTCAAAATGGATTAGACTTTTACATGTGAGACTTTTAACTTTAAAGGTACTGGAAGAAAACAGGATAAAAGCTCAATGGCAGATATGTGAAAAACTGAAGTGCTCATCCTTATTAATAATCAGGGAAATGTAAATTGAAACTACAATGAGATATCACCTCACATTTATTAGAATGGCTATTACCAATGGTGAACATTGCTAAGAATTGTGTTCTGTACATTTCAATATCACAAAGAGAGTAAACTTCTAGTGTTCTCACAAAAATATTAAATATTTGAGGTGATGATATGTTAATGTAATTAGTTTAATATTTCCATATGTATTTCAAAGTCGTAACACACTTTCTACCCTGTAAACATACATACTATAATTTGTCAATATATAATTCTTAAAATGAGTAGGTTTTTCTCTGTATATTGAGTTAAAGTATAAGAATTAAAACAAGCTATAACATTAAAATAATCATCCAACAGTATCTCTAATCTAAAGATCCATATGACTAATACTCAAATTCCTAAACTTTCTCTTTTGAAATCCATGCCCTTCACTCTGCCTAGTCTACATTTTGAAATCATTGGTTTTCCAGGGACCACACTTTTGCTATCTTGCAGCTGAACAACTTCCACAGGCAATAGACACTTGAGTTATGCGATTTTTCTTCAAAAATACCTTACTTTTACTTAAACAGAACATTTCCTGCTTTTCATAATGGCAGGGAAGAGAAAAATGGCATAAAAGTATTTTGCAGGAAACAGATGAGAAACATTAGTTTTGAACGGGGACTAACTGAAACACAAGGCAACACATGTCCCTTTATATGGGCAGTGGTTGCAGGAAGATACATAGCTTTAGAGATATAACCCAGAGGACAGGAACAAAAGGCACAAAGATATCATGCATGTAGATATTGAAGATATAATTTTAAAATAGCAAGGATGGTTATATCTAATTAGTTTCACATGGCAGAAAAGCAAGGTACTAGATTTCAGTTACTGAGTAGGAGCCAGGTGGTATTAGTTGATTTTGGAAGAAATGGTCTGTGATACAGGGTCTCTAATATTTTATGTACTTGGGGCACAAGGACAGAGTATGCTGCCCCAGAAGGAAAACTAGAATATGTGGGGAAATTTGGTCCCAACCAATAGACTTTATATAAAGCTGATTTTTGAAACATAAGAGAAAAACACTTCAAATTTAGTACTCCATGTGATCACTGATTATTTTCAATGGATATCAAAAATTAATATTAAATGCAAAATCCATTTATATGCTATATGAGAAAATGTATTCACCATTTTGTTAACATTTGTTTCATTATTACACAGTGCAGGGCTGACCATGATTATGAAATAGCTATCAAGTATTTAGTGACAATAGTTATCATATAATGTGATGAATGTAACACTTGCTTATAACTTTCTGAGTATACTGGCCAGAGATCTTCTCTAATTCTATTATCTCTAACATTTCAGAGCAAGAATAAAGCTAAGTGAGGTTTTTTATAACAGTAGTTATGAAAATATGGAAGATAATACATAAATTAATATAACTGTGTTGCATTGAAATTTTCTTAAAGCTTCAGCAGATATTGCTTCTCCCTCCCCTCCCACCTCACCTGGCAGTCTTAAAGTAAACTTGTCTGCTAAATTAACTTTCAATGAGAATATTTCAAATGAAGGTTCGAAGCCATTATGCTAGAAATAAAATTACCATTATTTTCTAATATTAAAAGTTTTACTCTTTTGAAACACATCCTATTAGATATTGCAATTTCATTTTTTTCTTGTGTAAAAATATCCAATTTTATTTTATCTTTGAGACAGTGTCTTACTATGTTACCCAGGCTGGAGTGCAGTGGCCTGATCAGGGCTCACTGCAACCTTGACCTCTTGTGTTCAAGTGATCCTACCACCCCAGCCACCTCAGTAGCTGGGACTATAGGCGCATGCCACAGGCTGGCTAATTTTTTAAAACTTTCTGTAGAGATGGGGTCTCACAATGTTGCCAAGGCTGGTCTCAAACTCCTTGGCTCAAGTAATCTGCCTGCCTCTGCCTCCTAATGTGCTGTGAGCCACCACACCCGACCACAAAATATCCAATTTTAAGACTTTGTTTCATTCCAAGAAGCATGTGTTGAATGCTTACTGTGTACTCAACAATGTAGAATAATACATCTTAAAATAAACAGCATATATTGGAAAGCAATTTTAAAACTGTAACTCATGCAGTTTTTCTATATGCGTGAAAATAGTTGTATTTATTCTTTTATTTCAAAATTTATGTTTTATTGCACATTTTATCATATATATTTTAAAATAATTTTAGCATTTTTAACCCATTTAAACTTACCATTTACTTGGAATTTAAAACGTATGTATATAGTCTGCATTTCTGAGAAGTTAATCTCGGGTAATAGATCGGTGAACGAGACTTTTATAATACAAGAAAGGTACTGCATCGTTACACACATCCACACTTACATACAATATTTGATCTCTTTCATACTATAATTCATGAATTGTGTGTAATGACACATATAACACAATGAATATCACTGTTTAATTCTTCCCAACTCCAAAAGCAAATCTAAGATCTCATATTGTTTAAAAGAAAGTTCACCATACTTTATAAAATAATTCAAAGTTATTTAACTTTTTTCCACTTGAATTGAGAAAAAACTGATTTGTCTTTTCTTTCACTGTTAATGTTGTGTCACTAAAGTTATTTCACAAAACTTAAAGTAATTAAGCTTATATATGTAAAATGCAAGCAGAATTACTCATCCATACCAACACCACCAGAACAAAATATTCAAAGAAGTTTTGCTTTTGATTGGATTTTTGTCTTTGAATTATCAGTGCCAGCTTATACACATCTAGTCTGCAGGTTTACTTGCACATAGAAACATAAGAATTCACATAGATGGTAATTTTTAAGGTATAATAAACAGATACATGAATATGAGCACAGTTGGATTTCCAGCTGTGATATTACAACTTTTGGTTAAAATCCCTTAATTGTATCCCTTTTATGTCCATTTTTTAGCAATTTAATACTCACCTCGTCATGGATGTGGCTTAAAGACGGTGTGGACTGGCTTTATATATGAAACAAATTGTAAATAATCTACAAGTAACTTAAAGTCCTGAGCAAAAGCAGCTACTAAAGCACCACCTGGCTATGCAACTCAAGAACTATGTGTTTCCTGGGTAAGTGTGTATTTGTCTTTTATTTTTTTTTTAACATTAAGTACCATCATAGACAGACTTACACAGTATTAATTTTGGAAAAGTTTATGACTTTTTATATAACAACATTTAAATGATCTGTTATAGGAACAAACTACTCATAAGGGAAAAAGAAAATTCTAATAAAATAATTCTAGAAACAATCATTCCAAATCCATTGTGTGTAGAAAAATCTAAAAGTAATAGATACACAGAATTTCTATCTTTCCTTTCCATGTAATATTGATTAAAAATCATTAGCGATGATCACTCATAAGTTCTACAGCAAAGCAAACTCTTAACGTTTCATTTTCTTTGTTTTTTTTCTCTTTGTGGTAATGGGAATCAAACTCATACAGCAGAAGAATAATGTGCCCATAATGTGACATGATGTCCTGAAAATATGTTATTACATTTCTAATGATATGCTTTTCAAAGCTGTCGTTACTATGCCATGGAGAATCCTGCCCTTAGAGAATGCATCTGTGGAAGTGGATAGGTCATTCTAATAGCCTTCAAATTATAGATTTGTAGATTATAGTGGTAATATTAATACATCTCCTCTATCAAGGTGAAACAAACAATAAAACTAAGCAGCGGGAAAAAAAACAGCATTTAAAATAGAACTAGTAATTTCTCTCTCTATCTTTCGCATGTACTTTTGCAAATAAAAACAGTCATATTCATTACATAATAAGATGCATTGTTTTAAATATTTTAAATACATATAAAATTAGTATATATAATAATAATTTGGCATAGCATAAAATCTACTTTTCAAAGTAATACAAAGACATTTTTTGCTGATTATTAAACTATTTTCTTTCTGTGTAATGCCCATCTGTCAACACTCTGTTAATGCTGGTGAAGATTCTTTTTGTTTTTTTTTTTTTTGCTAGTGACAGAGACAGAAAATCTGGAGGGTTTGAGTGACCATAATATTTGCTCACTACTCTTAGCTTCACCCTAGTGCCATGAATAGGTAATAAAAATGGCAGCAGTTTTTTAGCTTCCTGTTTATTTTTTTCCTGTACTTCTAGCTAGCCTCAGTACAACCCTTTTCGGGCATTAGCACTAGTGAGCAAGGGCCTTGTCCTGAGAGGTCTAAGTTCTGTCTCCACATGGGCACTCCTCTTAGCTGCTCAGAAAACAGCACCTGCAGGGTAGTGCCATCTACTCCTAGCTCTGAGACCTGTAACTGTTAGACCACTTTCCCAAAGTTCTAGATTCTAATAACCCCAATCTCTTCTTTTTTTTCCCCGAACCCTAGATGTACAAGCTATTTTCTGAAGTCATTGCCTTTTGTTGCCTCATTATTTCTACTTGCTTTTCTTTAATTTCAATTTTTAAAATCATCATATTATTTTCTATGTCGTGTTGGATTTGTAGAGAGTTGGAAAGAGAGTCTCTCCAGCCCTTGTAACAGGAAATGGCTGAACAAGCTGAACTATAGACACTTCTTTGGACACTTGGGAGAACTGAGGTTGTAGGGCAAAAAACAATGTTGAAATCTGCAGGGAGAGAGATGCCTGTAAAGAAAACCATATTAAGAGCACAGGATAATCTCAGACAGCCAGTCACTGGATGCCATATAAATTGATAAAAAGATTCAGGAAGAAATGATTAATAAGTTGCTAAATATTAAGTATGGATTAATGTGTAAGAATGTGAAGTTGCTAGGGGCCATATTTATAGGGGATTTACTTGCTCTCGCAACCTCTTTCCCTAATAAATTTTCAAGGTGCTCACAGAAATGATCATGAAACCCTAGTGACATTTCTCTAGAAAGCTTAGGTCTGGCTAAGGAAGCAAAACATTGCCACTATCAGAACGCCACCCAGACTCATATTCCATGTTGTCAAAAAAAAAAAAATTGCTATGACCTTTGTTAAAAATGACAAAGTCTTTATTCAGAGCTTTTTATTAAGACTTTGTCAAGACTATTAAAACAAGAGAGAAAGAATTTTTCTCCACTGAAACAAAAGGTGGGAGGATTTTTAAACATTGGATGAGCAAATGGAAAAGTTCTGGAGGACTTTAGAGGGATGGTTGCTCAATGTGATTGGGTTATTTTTGTTTGCTAATTGGTGCTTATGGAAGTTAGGCTCCTAACCTCCAAGAGAAACTGGGGGATAACATTTCTACCTTTTCTGATGGTTACATTTCAAAGAAATGCCTCCTAGATCCTTGAAAAGACATTCTTGGGTTATAAAACTGGCAAGAGTCTAGGAGATTTATATCTCAAAGGAGAAAAAAAGAATTTACAGCTACAAGTTTTCTAAAGTAAATTCTCTAAAAAATGGGGGAGTCAGGGACCTAAAATCAGAAAGAGGACTGTTTAAAGTTTAGACAAGCTGAGGACAGCCTAAGGCTATCTCGGCCATTATAGTCTTCCCTGCATGAAACCAAAAATTCTTCATCTAAAAGGAGACAAGCAAGAAACTTTCTCTCTGCATTAATACAATTTCCCCCAAAAACGTCCATGCAAGGGAAAAGCTATACTTGTTTTTAAGTCTCAACAATTTTTACCTTAGTATCTACTGTTTGATAAAAAAATACTTGACTTCCAAGAAAAAAAAAGCAAGGCACATAAAGCACAGTCTGAAGAGAAAAAGCATTCATCAAACCAGACTGAAAGATGATATAAATGTGTGAACTATCAGAGATAAATTAAAATAGCCAACATTAATATGCTAAAAGCTATAACACAAAAAAATAGATAACATGCAACATCAGAGAAGTATTTTTATCAGAGAGAAGGAAACTATAAAAATGAATCAAATGGGAATGTTAGAAATAAAAACAAACAAACACAAAGAAACTGCACAAGATTGAAAATAAAGAACATTTTTGACAGGATCACTAGAGGATTTGACATAATGGAGAAAAACATTAGAGAGATTAAAGATAGATCAACAGAAATTACACAAGTGATAGATAAAATGAAAAAAGTGGGAAAAAAACAACATATTTAAGATATGTATATCAAACTGTATAGTATATGTATAATTGGAACTCCAGAAAAGAAGAAATGTGAGCAGAAAAAATGCTTAAGAAATAGTGGCCAAATTTTTTTTCTAAATTATTGATGTATTTCAACTTACATGTTTAAATGTCACAAAACACCAAAGAAGGACAATTTCAAAAAATACATAAATAAACAGAAATAAACAAACTAAAACCTAAGCATGTCACCTTCAACCAGATGAAAATCAACAACAGAAAATATTGAAGGCAGACAAAGTAAGAAAAACACATTACCTAGAGAAAAATAAATATTAATTAAAAAATCTAACACTGTAAAATGTTTTGAAGGAGTTTATTCTGAGCCAATATGAGTGACTACTATGGCCCTGAGAAAACACAAACCCAAGAAGCCTTGAGTAAGAGGTTCCAAGGCAGTCCAAGGTTTCGTACATTTTAGGGAGACAGGAGTTACAGGCAAAGACATAAATAAAAAAATGCTAAGTATAGATTGGTTGGACCTGAAAAGGTGTGACATCTCATCTCAAAGTGGAGAACTTACAAGTCAAAGGTGGGTTTGGAGATTCTTTGGCTGATAATTGGTTGAGAAAGTTGAGCTTTTGTCTAAAGACTTGAAGTCAGGGCCAGGCGTGGTAGCACACGCCTGTAATCCCAGCACTTTGGGAGGTCAAGGCGGGTGGATCACGAGGCCAGCAGATCGAGACCATCCTGGCTAACACGGTGAAACCCCGTCTTTACTAAAAATACGGAAAATTAGCCAGGCATGGGGGCGGGCGCCTGTAGTCCCAGCTACTTCGGAGGCTGAGGCAGGAGAATGGCATGAACCCAGGAGGGTTGCAGTGAGCCAAGATCACGCCACTGCCCTCCAGCCTGGGCGACAGAGTGAGACTCCGTCTCAAAAAAAAAAAAAAAAAAAAAAAGACTTGAAGTCAGTAGGAAGGAATGCTTGAGTTGAGATAAGGCAAGTTGTGGGGGGTCAAGGCACTTGTTACGTAGATGAAGCCTCACAGGCAACAGCCCTCAGAGAGAACAGAGATAAATGTCTCTTTTCAGACCTTAAAAGCTCAGGTTCTCAGTTAATCTTTCCTATATCCTGGAAAGCTCTAGAAAGGGAAGGCCTGGTTGCTTTAATGGAGATTCTCTACAGATTCAAATGCAAACTTCCCCCACAAAAAGCAGCTTTACAGGGCTATTTCAAATAAATATGTTTTGGAGTAACATATTTTAATTTCTTTCATGGTCTGCTGTCTGTCATGTGATGCTATACCAGGGTCAGGTTGAAAAGTAAGCCACATTATACCACGCTAATTAAAACAAAAAACAAAAAAGAACAAAAAAAAACCCTTTATGAGATTTCACAGTTTATAAAGCATGACTGAACCCATGCCTTGCATGACTTTAGGTCATGTTTATAATTTGATATATTACTGTCACAAAGAGTCTGTTTTGTCAGTCTTATGATCTCTATTTTAATCATAATGTTTGTCAGTTGTGACTGAACTCTAAAAAGAAGGAAGTGTAGTGAGGTGTATCTAACCTGCCTTTCAGTCATGGCCAGGAATTTAGTTTTTCAGGTTACTGCACGGTTCCTTTGGCCAAGAGGGTGTCTGTTCAGTCAGTTGGGAGGCTTAGGGTTTTCTCTTTGGTTTACATAAGCTTAAAACTTACAGCAGTCTTCTTGTTCAGGAATCACTCAAGCAAGATGACAAAGTAACAAGTTTAAGAGCTTAAGAAAAACCCTGCAATCCAGAATTGCATAGTCAGTGACAATATTTTGAAAAAACAAACCAAAAAAAAGATGGAGAAATAAAGATTTTCTCAGACAAGCAAAAACTGAGGAAATCTATTGGCAACAGGATACCTTTTACTAGAAGGAAGTTCCTTGGACAAAAGAAAAAAAATCATATAAAATATGATTATTTTTCTCAATTTTTAAAAATTTTTCTAAGCAATAACTGTGTGAACCATAAATATCTGAGACAGGTCTCCATCAGTTTAGGAAGTTTATTTGGCCAAAGTTAAAGATGCACGCCCATGAGACAGACTCAGGATGTCCTGATGACATGTGTCCAAGGTGTTCAGGGCACAACTTGGTTTTATACATTTTAGGGATACATGAGACATCAATCAATATATGTTAAGACGAAAACTGGTTCCATCTGAAAAGGTGATACAACTGGAAGCGAAACTGTGGGGGGCTTCCAAGTCATAGGTCAATGAGAGACAAATGGTTGCATTCTTCTGAGTTTCTGATTAGCCTTTCCAAAGGAGGCAATCAGATATGCATTTATCTCAGTGAGCAGAGGGATGACTTTGAGTTCTGTCTGTCCTTTTTCCACAAGGAAATTCCTCATGAGGGAGATATGTAGCTTTTTTATCTTAGTAGCTATCTTTTTTAGGAATAGAATGGGAGGCAGGTTTGCCCTAAGCAGCTCCCAGCTTGACTCTTCTCTGTGGCTTAGTGATTTTGGGGTCCAAGGGCTTATTATTCTTTGATAACTGTTTAAAACAAAAAATGTAGCAGTGTATTTTGTGTTTACAGCGTATTTAAAAGTGAAAAGTATGAAAAACTATAAAGAGGGGAGAGGAAAAGAGAATATATTTTTATAAAGATCTTACCTTCCTGATGAAGTATAGACACAGATTATTTAAAAATGTATATTGTAAACCAGGGGCAACCACTACACAGTTTTCTAAAAGAGAAAATATTAATACATCAACAGAGAAGAGAAAATTGAATAATAAAAAATGCTCATGTAAACCCAGAGAAGGCAGACAAAGAAGATAAAACAAAGAACAGTTGGAAACAAAGAAAAAAATTCCTGGCAAGATGCTGAAATGGGATAGTTCCCTTGACCTCTTTATGGGACTCACAAAAGTCTTGGCTCATTTGCTCAGCTCGCAGCTCTCAACCCCTTGCAGGAGAGGGAGCGTGCAGGTGAGTGGGGCAGAGGCCAGGAGGAGTGCTTCTGGGCAACCAGCAGGAGCAGAACTCAGTGTGGGCCTGCAGCAGCATCTACGGGTTGCCTGCAACCCCAAGAGCCCAAGAGGACATGTGTTACAATGTGCTTTTTTAGCGTTGCCATCCATGGAGTTAAGTGTTAAACAGTGGAGGGTCAATGTGTCAATGTTACAGTCCCTTGCACCCACACTGTGTCCTTGTCCTGCATCGGGGAAGAATCAAGTCAAGCATTGAAGGGTGTTGAATGTGAAGGATTTTACTGAGTGGTAGAAGTGGCTGTCAGCAGGATGGGGAGCTGGAAACGGGGATGGAGTGGGAAGTTGGTCTTCCCCTGAAGTTGGCTGTCCCCAGCTGAACTCTTCTCTGAGGTCCCACCATCGAGTCATCCTTCTGAAGTCAAGCTGCTTCTCTCTGACACCTAGCTGCTGCTTCTCTTCTCTGCTCTGTCAGTGGGATCTGGGTTTTTTTCAGGCAAAGGATGGAGGGTGGGATGGGCCAGGAATGCATGTTCTCACTTTGGGCCACCAGTCCAGGCTTGAGGATTTGGCCCTTGTTGAGGACCACCCTATTCTACCCATATTTCCCTGCCTCCTGTTTGTCTCTTTCCCCCTTTTAGAAAAGCACATCTAACTGCTGTTAGAATATGGATGACAACCACTATTAGCTACTTCCTGCTGACAAGGTGGTATTGTTTTGGGGAAAATGGCAGTCAGATTCCTCCCAGAGATCTACCCTAACGGTTCCTGGCAATGGGAGCCATCATACAAGGCTCTGGTTGTCTGACCATTTGGAATTTGATGACCTCTAGGCAAGAGAGGAAAAAAACAAGTTTTACAAGGTTAAATATGCATGGGTTAAGTGTGTATTGAACAAGGAAAGAATCTAGTGCCAAAGATTACCAAAATAAGAATTGAAATATACTAACAACATTGTACCCCAAGATGTTTCACCCTGGTGAAAGAAATTAAAACTTGTATGGGAGCAGTTAAACTTTAGAAGAGCGATAACTGTTCTTGCCACATCTGTATCAGTCAACAGGTCCACCCTGGGAATTCTGGGATTTGAGGGCTTGCATGGTGCCCATTAAAGCTTCTACCTCTTTTATGTGTCTCTCTATTTCTATTAGAAAAGACCAAAGTGGCCAATTTCAGGAGGTTCTCTAAAGTACTATCTGGTCCCAGGGCCTGTTTCTGCAGCTTCCTCCTAATATCAGGGGCTGCCTGAGTAATACATTTATTCTTTGAGATTAATTGTCCCCCGACTGAATCAGGAGATAGAGAGGTGTGCTTTAACAAGGCCTCTCTTAGCCTTTCCAGGAAGGCAGTGGGATTCTCATCCAATCCCTGGTTTATCATGGATATCTTGGTATAATTGAGGGGCGTGGTCCTAGTCCTACATAAGCCCTCCATTAGGCACACTTAAAAGTGTCTCCTCTTCCATTTTCCCACCTCATCATTGTGATCCCATTTAGGGTCATCCACTGGTGCTGCTTCTCTTCCAGTTAGATAAAGTTTGGCCCCTTCTCTGATGCTATATGTGATACAAAGCTCATCCCCAAATCTCTCTGCCACTTGCAGAGAGGTATGCTTCTCAGTGTTACTCAGGGTCTAATTCAAAGTAACATAATATCTTTCCAGGAGAGTTCACATACTTGGGTTAAATTCTGAAAAGCCTCTATATATCTGACAGGGTCATCTGAAAACTTGCCAAGATCCCTCTTAATTTACCTTAAGTCCTGTAGAGGAAAAGGAACTTGGACGTCATGGGGGTCAAAATCACCAGGCATCTGTTGGAGGGGCAAGAGTGAGACTGGGTCTTACCCAGGGTGAGGATTTCCAGGAAGGGGCAAGCAAGAGAGAGAAACTAGATAGGGAGGACAGGGTGGACTTGGAGGATCAGGGCTGGAGGGACATGGCTCCCCGACCAGAGGTGCCTCTGGGTTTTTTTTTTTTCTTTAGTTCCTTAGGATTGCCCCTTGCAGCCTCTCCTGAGATGGCCAGCAGAAGGGCTAGATCAATCCTACACTTTTTGTAAAGGTCTAGACTGCCCTGCAAGGTAATGAAAGCCTGCACATATGGGGCCTCAGACCATTTGTGTTTTTGTTTACAGAGAAGGTGCAACTGCTGGATGGTATTGAAATAAATGGTTTCATCCTGAGGCCAAGCCAGTCTTTCGTACTTTGGCAAAACCTTTGTGCAGAGGACTATGAAGCATTTTTCCTCCAGAGTCTGAGGGTCAAAGCAGTCTCAGTGATTCAATACACTTCAGAAGAGTATAAACTGTGGGTGGTGAAGATAGCTGGTTGCCCATTCTGAAAGACAGGGAAATAGGCATCCCTCATTTCCCTTCCTTCTATTAGTGAAAACTCGGGGTGTGAGGGAATGGGAAGGCAGGAATCCCCACTTTCTCTTCTGTCTTTTTGTCCCTGAGTCTCAACAGCCTTGGCAGGTGCCATCCATGGGTGACAATGTGGCTTGCACCCATGAAGCAGGAAGGGCCTAGAGAAAAGGAATTATCTCTACTAACATCATGCTTCCATCCTCCCTACTGTTAACAACTTTTGAGTTCCCTGGGCCTTATCTATGCCATGGAGCATGGCCTCCTTTCATGGAGTGAGGTTTTAAATGGCAGGAAGTAGTCCTGCCCATTTACATTGTGCCTGTTGCCTGGCTTTGAATCCCTGAGATCTGGTTTTCCTTTCTAGGGCTGCAATCTGAAGTTTAGAATTCAGTTTAGGACAAAAAGTTGTCTCAGGGGGGTGCATGGATTCATTTAGATTACGTCCCAGACAGGGTTTTCCAAATTTGCAGTCATCAGCAAGCAGGGGTCTCTCTTCTGTTGCCTTTTTATCACAAGCAGAGTGCTGAGGTAGAAAAAGAACCCTCTCACTTAGAAAAGGAAAAAGAAAGCTTATAGTGCAAAAAGTTGGGGGGGCTGGGGGAAGAACCCGTAGCTCTGTCCAAATGGGTTCCTTTAATCACTGTATCCTTCTCCCAGTTCAGACCAAGTTGAACTCCTTGGCCTGCGGAGGAAAAGCTCAGTGTGCATGTGGCAGGAGGGGCGGCATATGGGAGACACTGACCAGCTGGCTGCACAGGTGCTCTGGCCTCCGAGATTGCCCTGGGGCTTGGGGGCCTGTGCAGCTTACTCTCACCCCACTTGGCCATTGGGCACAGTGCACATGTGTGGCAGACATGCCCTGGCACCCAAGTTGGGAGGTGAGGGGGTGAGAAAGGGAGCCGCTCTCTGCCACGTGCACCTGTGGCTGTTGGGTTGGCTGTGGGGATGGCCCCTCTAAAAACAAACGAAAATCACATTGTTCTGAGTTGCATATCTGATTGCTGAAGCAAACACTCATTCTACTTAATACCTCTGCATTTTGCAGCAAATCGCTTAACATTATAAAGCAGATAGGAACCATTTCAAACCATGAGGGAAGGAAGGAAAGGTACCACAGGAAAATCTGGGAGTCTTGGCCGATTCTTTTAGTTGCCCGAGGACCTTGTCCTGGTCCCACATGATGGCTAAAGCTCTGTGAAGGGAAACCAAGCCAACATTCCTTTCACCTAAAAGAAAGAGAGACGTGGCAGAAAGAGAGATCTGTCTCTTGGAAAAGTGTCAGATCTGTCTCTTGGAAAAGAGGGCCTGGGGTTTTTATGGATACAGGATGGGAGTGGGACAGGCCAGGGTGGTTTTGGAAAAGGCAACATTTGTGAGGGAAAACAGGAATGCATGTTCTCAGTTTGGGCTGCGGGTGCAGGCTTGAGGGTGTGGCTCTTGCTGGGGACTTCCCTCTTCTACCCAGTGTTTTAGTGCCTCCTGTCCATATCAGTGCTACATTTCAATATAGCTATGCTAAAAAGTACCTTAAATGAGCATGCTCTAAATACATTAGTTAAAACACACATATCTTGAGATTAAATAAAAATGTAAGACTCAGGTGTATGCAATCTACTAGAAATACATTTCAACTATAAAGACATAGAGATGTTAAATGCAAAAGATGGGGAAAGATACACCAAGCAAGCACTAATTGAAGAAAACTTGGGTAGATATATTAATGTCATAAAAAGAAGACAGACAAGTAATATTATCAGGAATATTAAGGTATATTTCATACTGATAAATGGGTCAACCTTGTTAAATCTCTATACACTTAACAGGAAAGACTCAAAATACATTAGACGAAGGCTAAAATATCTGATAAAGAAACATGCAAATGGATAATCCTAGCTCAAAACATAAGTACATCTCTCTGAGCAACTGATAAAACACGTGGAAAAATATAGGTACAGCTATAGATAAATTGTATAAGATTATCAACCAATATGCTGAATTGATATGAATAAAGCACTGTACCCCACAGCAGCTGAATATGTATTATTTTTAAGTGTATGTGTAATCATAACCAAGATATATTCTGGGCCATTAAAACTGAATATGTATTAAGTTATAAAAATCAATGAAATAATTTACCAGAATATAAAATAATTAAACTAGAAATAAAAAAATACCTGAAATATCCCGAGATATTTGGCAGTTATACAATACACTTTTAAATAACCCAAGGTCAAGAAGGATATCTAATGAAAACTACAAAATACTTTGAATTAAATAAAAATAAACACATAGCATATTGAAACATATTGTATGAATCAGTGCTTAAAAAGTGATTTATAACATTAAGTGCTTTATATTAGGAAACAAGAAAGATTTCCAATTACTAACCAAAACTTTCTCCTTAAAAAATGAGAAAAGGGAGAGCAAATTAAACCCAAAGGAAAGCAGAAAGAAGAGAATAAAAATTAGAGTAGAAATAGATACAACTGACAACAGAAAGAAATAGAGAAAATTAATAAAAAAAACTAATCATTAGAAAAGAGGAATAAAATTGATACACATCTAATGAGGTTGATTAACAGTACCAACATGGCCACTACCACAACCACCACCACCATCATAAACAAATATGTATTTTATGGTATCAGATTTGAAAGAAGAAAGAGCACTACTGATCCCAAATATGCAAATATATGATAAGGAGATATGATGAACAACTCAACTCCATGCTGGTAAACCTGAGAAGCTGGATGAAATATACCAAAACTTTGAATACATTCACTTCCAAAAGGACATTCAAGAAAGAAGAGAAAATTTGAAAAAGCTTATACAATTCAACAAATGAAAACAGATAAATATTCAACACCAAAGTTTTTTAACTTTCAAAAAAATTCATATATTTTAAAATATCAAATATTTTTAAATTTTTCATATTAATGTATTTTATATTTTAAAAAATATTTTATATCAAACTATTTTAACATAAAAATGTAAATGTTAGTAAATCAAATTCAGCAAAATATAAACTAAATAATATATTACAACCAGTTGGGTTTTATCTGCAGAATGCAAGACAACTTCAACATTTGAAAATCAGATGGGTCAGTCCTCTGATGATAGTTCGCCATTTTAACAGACTAAAAATAATCATACAAACGTTTCAATTGATGAAGAAAAAGGATTTGGCAAAATTAAACAATCATTGATTAAAAAAATCTCAGCAAATTAGGAATGAATGGAAATATCTTTAGTCTAAGAAAGGGAAACTAGCAAAACTAAACAAATATACAAAAAAATCAAACTCAATATATATCTCACGTATTATACAAAAGTAAACCCAAAATAAATCATAGACTTAAATATAAACATAAAGCTAACAACTTCTACCAAATAAAAAAATGAAGAAAAGGAGTTTTAATAACCATGCTTCCAAGAAAAAAAACAGCTGGATCTAGGACTGGAGCTGAAAAGCACAAGATAAGAATGAAACATCTTATAGCAATGAAAAATAAGGACATGATAAAATAATACATACATACATAAAGGGGAATGCCTAAAAGCGTGGATGGCAAGCTGAAGAGATCACAATGAACAAGATTTGAACTACTTGAGCAAAAATAAATATTTATGAGTTCATACTGATATGAATAAATTAGCAAATGTGAGAAAGAACAAATCTTTCTTATAGAAAATTCTTCTCAAAATGTAGAAAGACTAGAAAATCATCTTCAGAAATCTACTGCAATGCTTGTTATATTCAAGATGCTTATTTATTAATGACTGTGACTGCTTTTAACATAGTTTTACAAATTCTTTAATACTCTTCTTTTACTAGGTGAGGTTTAATTCCCCTCTTTTTGACTCTTGGTTGAAATTTTATTATATATGGAGAGATTATGGAAAAGGAAAAATGGTAATTTTACAGTGCATGATCCTAGTGGACATTACCTTATGAAATGATCAAGATTAACATCATCAGACTGTGTTGATATCATGTGTCCCTGTTAAAAAGCTATAAAAAGGTACATAACGATTTGTATCCTTCCAAAAATCATGACCCCAATCTAATCATGAGGAAATATCAGACAAACCCAAATTGAGGGACATTTTACGCAATAACTGACCAGTACTCCTCAAAAGCGTCGAGGTCATGAAAACAAGGAAACACTGACATGTTAAAAGTTGGAAGAGATTAAGGATCCATGGCTAAGGACAGTGTGGTATTTTGCATAGGATCATGGAAGAGAGAGAAAAAAAAAAGACATCAGTGTTGGGCAGGGAACAAAACTAATGGAATTCAAAAACAGTCAGTGGTTAGGTAACAGTGTTTTGTATCAATATTAATTTCTTAATTTTGAACAATGTACCAGGGTTACATAGATGTTAACATGAGAAGAAGCTGGGTGAAGAATAAACAGAAACTCTCTGTACTATCATTAGCATTTTTGCATAACTAAAATTATTTCAAAATGAAACTTAAAAAATGGAATTATTTCTGTTTTCCTGACTTAATGAAATACTTGGTGTTAGGTCCTGTCCAAATGCTCCGACGCTCCTAGATGGGATTCTGGGAAAATTTTTTCTTACTTGTTGAGTTTTAATGCAGTGCTTATGTCCTCTCCTTTGGTCTCTGCCAGAGTGTCCTTTTAGTGCTTCAACCGAGGAATGCCCTATTTTGCAACAGATAATTTGTATGTTAAATTTCTTAACATGGAATTTTGACTGTTTGACGGAAAGCAGAACTGACAGGACCTAAACAAGAGAAAAGTTTGTCTTTCTCACATATCAGACCAGATATCAGAAGTTAATGGCTGGATGTTTCAACCACTTGTCAGGCCAAAGCCCTTTTAGCCTCATTCTCTTCGTATCTACAGGGTTGCTCTTACTTTAATGGTACTTGAGAGGTCACCCTCCCATCCTGCCCTTTTTGCCAGAAATTGGGAACTAGGGAGAGATGAGGGCATGCCCTTCACCCTTAAGGTTATTACATAGATTCTGCAAAAAGCATTCCATCTGAAAATATCATATTGCTTCTTTGTGGCTACATATGGCTGAAAATATGGATTTAGGTTGGTCATAGTTAAGATTCTCTTAAATGAGAAGGGGATAATATTATTCACTTCCTTATAAATACAATATCTGTTTATAGATACCTTCTTTAGATTATTTTATTAATAGTTGTCTTCTCAAAAAATGCAAAAATATGTGATATGAAAGAATGCAAAAATTTCATTTTCAATGTTGTTTTTATTATCATTATTAATTGTTTCACAACCTGTATCCCTATCACTAAAGATAGATTCTGGTGCTTTTTATGTGATCAATTAATATCTTTAACTTATAATTTTATTTTAAAATGAGATACTGACAAGTAAAACATTTTATAATCTAATAATACATTTAAGTATGTTTCCTTTCTACAATATCATAATGGTTGAAAAGTATTGTATCTTATATGTATTCTATAATGATTAACCAATTAATTATTTATAGATACTTTGTTTCCAATTTATCACTAATCTAAACAATGCTGTAATAAATGTATTTGTAGACAAATCTTTGTATAAAGCTGTAAGTATTTACCCGTGATTAAATTCCTGGAAGACCATTTCTCAGCCAATAGATATACACATTTTAATGAATTTGATGTAAGAAGGCCAATTGCACTTCATAAATTCTGTACTCATTTATATATTCCCCAGTGCTGTTTCAGTGTATCCATATGCTTGGCAGTTCTGAAAAATAGTACCTAATAGAGTCAAAGCATATAAAGCATTTACATTTAAATTGATTTCTCTTTATTGATAGTTTTATATACTTATGTTAATTTTCTATACTTATAAAAATGTTTTGTGATATTGCATATTTAAAATGTGAATTCCTCTATTACTGGAAATATTAAGTTAGATGAACAAATTGCAAATAACTACAGTCTTCTCTCCATATCTATTGGTATCTATGAGTTACACATCTGTGGAATTTGGAGAAAATAAAATAAAAAATAATAATGTAACAAAAATAATACAAATGAATGAAAAAATACAATATAACAACTGTGTGCATAGCATTTACATTGTATTAGGTACCATCAACATCTAGAGATGATTTAAAGTATATGAGAGAATGTGTGTATGTTGTATGCAAATACTATATCATTTTATATCAGAGAATGGAGCATCTGAAGACTTTGATTTCTGTAAGGGAGTACTAGAACTTATTCCCCACAAATACTAAGGGAGGATTGTTCTGTAATTCTAGTTCACCTTAGAAAAATCAATATATTGAGAAAATACAATCAGAAAGTGGTTTCTAGGTATAAGATACTATTTCATCTTGCTACTTATTTAAACTTTTATATTGTTACTCCTCATTTTCTGAAAAGGAAACCATTTCCATTTCTTTTCATTCTCTTATGATATTATTAGGGAAGAAAATACTTGATTTTCTATATACCTTATATTCACATCATTCACATGTGATTTGAGTCTTCTAAATTGCTTTTGTTTCAATAGTATAAAACAATTAGATTACTGGCCAGGCGCGATGGCTTATGCCTGTATACCCAGCACTTTGGGAAGCCGAGATGGGCAGATCATGAGGTCAGGAGATCGAGACCATCCTGGCTAACATGGTGAAACCCCGTCTCTACTAAAAATACGAAAAAAATTAGCCAGGCGTGGTGGCGGGCACCTGTAGTCCCAGCTACTCGGGAGGCTGAGGCAGAAGAATGGCATGAACCCAGGAGGCAGAGCTTGCAGTGAGCCGAGATCATGCCACTGCACTCCAGCCTGGGCGACGGAGCAAGACTCTGTCTCAAAAAAATAAATAAATAAATAAAATAAAAATAAAAATAAAAACGATTAGATTACTATAATAAATTTACAGTTACTATTTGTAAATTGAATTATATAAATCTTTTAATTATTATGCATATTAAAATGATTGTAGTTGTCCTAAGAATTCGAAATATATCTTATAATTTAAATGTTAAGCAATCAAAGCATTTCAAAAATAAATCCACAAAAAATTAGTTTCTTTATCTTACCAGCCATGTTTGAATATAAAGACAATTGTTTTCTTTTCAGTGAGTATCTTATGTATATGTTTATGTGATTCTTCAAAAGATACTGATGGAGGTTTTGTTTTAAAGATGACAGAAAAAGGCAATTTTATTCTCCTCTTATTCTAAACCACTGAGAATATTGAATATTATCAAAAAATAGAAAAAATATCCATTTTTAATTTAAAAAGAGCAAAGTCACAAGTCACAAATGTGCAAATGTAGAGAAACAAGTTCTATCAATCTAGTATTAATCAATAATGGAAGTGAGAGAGATAAACACACCCTCTCAGCTCTGGGAAATGTTAGAGATTTTCCTAAAGAAAATTGACACATTTCTAATTGCTTATATAGCGATAACTAATTAGAGAGATTAAATATGGAGGCAAGTACCGGGACAACATTAACAATAATCAGAAAGGAACCAATATAGCAAGATCTATCCATCAGTACTGAAAGAAAAAAAAAAGAAATGAACAAGAAGGAAGAGACAAAGAAGGGGGAGTAAAAAAGTGGAAAACAAGAACAAGAATGAGATAATAATGAATTTAATGGGCATCAAAAATCATGTATAAATAAAATCATCATGAAAAATCTAGAAACAAATGCTCTCCTTGTTCCTTAAAGGCGTTAAGAATCAGCATGACTTGTCTGAAAATATTTAAGGGAAAGATGCAGCTCTGCATTTGGTTTCAAAATGGACCTGCTACACTATAGTTCTCTTGAACCAAAATTCATCATTAGTGAAGTTAAAAAAATATATTAAATACATAAAAATAAAATTTTAATTATTTTTTAAGAGAAGGAAAATTCTTAGAGAAATCAACAACTAATAACAGAAATGGTCACACCCAAGAGGAAGATTTATAACTCAAGATATGCAAAAGAGCGCACTTAAAATGTAGATGGCAAACTCCAAATGTATGATGCAGCTGGAGTTGGAAGGATATGGGAACAAAATGCCAAGGAGCAAATCATTAGATTAGTTAGAATCTCAAAGCAGCAGCAATCTTGATGCAATTCCCATCTCATAAAAGTCACTAATTATTGTAAAGGTATAATGCTACAGAAAAGCTCAATGCCTCCACATTTCACAACTTTATGATACATTTTTCTTTGTGTACCTTCTGAAGCACCACCCCAAGACTGAAATATAAATACTGCTTCCTGGAGTTATGAAGTTCAGTGACCTTAAACTGAGGTGATTGCATAGATTCCTGAGTCAATGAGGAAAAAAAAAAAAAGGAAAAGATTAGGAGATAAACCTACAAGAAGAGTTTGCAAACTTCCCACATTTCTTCCATTTTCAACTTTTATTGAAAACAGCATAGACCAGTACTTCTCAGTCATTAATGTGTATATGAATCAACTGGGAATTTGCTAAAACATATATTCTGTTTTGGTGGGTCTAGGACGGGGACTGAGATTCTGCATTTCTAGAAGTCTCTGAGGTGATATTAATGCCAGCTCATAGACAATGCTTTCAATATCAAGGGATATATTATAAACATCAAGCATTGATTCTCTTCCTGTCATAGCTTATATGATTATGTAGGCTACCTTAACTCTAAAATTGAATTGATTTATAAAATCACCAGATATTTAAGGAGTATTCTACACATGAAATAGAGTACAACAAGAACCAAAGTTAGTAAAACAAAATTTTAAGCATGTATAGAAAAACAGAAAAAGAATGATATTGAACTCATATTACCAAACAGAAGCTAGATTCCTTAAAATAAAAATAATACTTTAAAACATTTTCAACAACTAGGGTGAATAGCAGATTGGACACAGTGGAAGAGCAAATTGATAAGCTGGAAGAACAATCAGAGGAATTATTTGAGAAGGTAGGAACACATATTAAGAAAATAAAACATGGAGGAGCATCTGATTCTGCCTAGGGTGTAAAAAGCTGGAAGGAGCATCACTCCTACCAAAGAACAGAGGAAATTATAGAACAACTACAAAATCACATACTTTCTTCAGACTTAAGTTATAAGAGCAAAAAGAAAAGTGTTTTGGAAATTAAATTTCTATTAACTTGCAAGGAAAATTAAATGGTAAAAAGAGCCTTTTTTCATTTTGTTTATTTTGGTTCCATTTTCAAAAAATGCCACTAAGACAATTTGATATCCATATGACAGAAATAAATATTTGACTCATACCTCATATCCTATATAAATATTAATTCTGAATGTATTATAGATCTAAATATAAAAGTTGAACTATAAAGTTTGTAGAAAAAAACAAAGTAGAAAATCTTTGTGACTTTATATTAGGCCAAGATTTTTTATATAGGATTCAAATATTATAAATAATTATTTAAAAATAAATTGAGCTGTATAAAAAGTAAACATTTTCCTCTTTAAAAGACACTAAAAAGAAAATGGAAAGACCAAACAGAGACTAGGAGAAATGTAATAAAACACATAGGTAGCCATGTTATAAGTATAAGAACACTCACAACTCAATGATAACAAAATCAGCAACCCAATAAATAAATGACCAAAAGATTTGAATAGACACTTCACTACTGAATAGTTACTGATGGCAAGTAAGTACATAAAGAGATATACACAGCATTTAGTCACTGAAGAAACAGAACAATTTAAAAAATTAGATTTTACTACAAGTTCTTTACATATAAACGCAACACTACAAAATCTGACAATATCTGCTATTGTCAAGTATGCAGTGCATCAGTTGCTCTCCTACATTGCTCTTGTTTAATGCTCAAATAATATGCAAAATAGCACAGCCACTTTGAAAAGAGCTGAAAAACAGTTCAGCAGGTTTTTACAAAGTTAAACATACATTTAGTATTCAACCCAGCCACCCCATTCATGAGTATTTCTACATACGTCCATAGGAAAAAACTGTACCTGAATGTTTTTATCAGATTTTTAAAGTAACTTCTAGAATTTGCAGATGGCACAAGGTTCAATGTTTGGTGATTAGATAATCAAACTGTGGTACCTCATATAATGGGATATTATTTAGAAAACCATGAATGTGCTGCTGACACAGGCAACAACATGGATGCAACTCAAAAGTATTATGAGGCGTGAAAGAAGCCAAACTCAAAAGAATATATACTATGGGACTCCAAATACATGATAAAAACTTCTGAGTTTTTTCTAACTTGATGTGTAAAAATGGTCATTTACCAGATTTTGTTCGTCTTACTATGTGTGAGGTTATCTTTTTACGTTACTATTTCATTTTCTGTCTATTGCCAGTACATATCTTCTGTCTCTACGTATCTTTTTCCCATTTAATAACTCGAGTTGTTTGCTTCTGTCTCTTTAATTTTATTGTGACGTGTATAAAAAATGTATATAGTAAATTTATCCTGTACAAACATTTGTCTATGCAAAATTTTCTATGCTAAAACTTTTGTGATAAACTTTTATTAATATTTTGACATGATACATGGCAAAGAGCAAGTCAAACATCATTGCCAATTTGTTTCACAATTAATAAGAGTTTCATGATCAAATAAAACACTGCAGTGAGTGCTCATGGGGTATACGCAGGAGGCCTTTGGTGAGATTAATGTAAGACAGGCACTTTATCAACTCTCCATGGTTAGAAATGCTTTCTCTAAGGAACTGATACATAAAGTATCTGTTCCCTTTCTATTCAAATAGTAAAATCTCTAAAGAAGATATTCTCTTCATCAGAAAAATACATAATTCAACTTTGGCAAGTGTCTAGCAGATGGGAAAGTAGTTAAGTAAGAATCTTTGCTTCCTCATCGAAAAGTACTGTAGCATTCATTCCTGTAAACGAGACTCAATCCAAACACTGGCTCTGCAACTCATGGATTGCTACTACAAATGCACTATAAAGCCTTATTCTTTGCCAACAGGAACATTTTAATGTCAGTGAGATATTGAAGTAATTAAAATATAAACTCCATGTTGTTCATCTATCTCTATCCAAATGGCAAGTTGATTTTACTGAATCTCAATTATTGAGTGCTAAAATTGCCCATGTGCTGTATTAGTTATTTAGAATGATAGATTCCTCATTTATTACTAGCTACAACATAAATGGACTAATATATTTGACTTGGTAAACTATAATTGCTTGTAGTTAGATAATGCATTTCTATCAACAATCCTTTGAACATAAACATGCAATCTAAAATAGCAAATCAAACTCTGCATTACATATCCTGTTAGCAGTTTAGTATTCCTAACACTCAGTATATAACCTATAGTTAAATATTAGTTATTTCAACATTAATTTAGAAAAGCTTTCAAAGAGACATCATAACGATATTAATTATTATTTTCTCTTTAGGAACAATCCTGCATTTCTCAAATTATCACAAGATAATGAGCACATGTTTTTATTTTAAGATGTGAGTAAATATCTGCATGTTATAAGTTTGCAGATAAATATGCAAAGTGGTTGATATATATATGTATTTAGTTATACATTTCTAATTCATTTTTATTTAATGGTTTAGTGCATTCCATATTATACACATTCTGAAGCATAATAAAAATTAAAATACAAAGTGTAAGTATGTAATACTGTTTGGCCCAAATCATTACCATATTAACATTTTTAAGGAAAGTTCTTTAATATTGAACGTATTTAACAGTAGCTGGAAACAATTTTTTCCCCTAAACATTATTATGATCTCAAAGTTCATTTCCTTCTGATCAGGTTGACATCAATTGAGTCATAATTAGTTTTAGTTTGCTATTTTATTGCCACCTGATGGCTACTTTCACAATTTTGCAATATTACTGAGGATGTCTAACTAGGTAAAATTAAGAATTATTTTGTGTGTGTGTTTTTTTAATTATACTTTAAGTTCTAGGGTACATGTGCACAATGTGCAGGTTTGTTACATATGTATACATGTGCCATGTTGGTGTGCTGCACCCAAAAACTCATCATTTACATTAGGTATATCTCCTAGTGCTATCCCTCCCACCTCCCCCGACCCCACAACAGGCCCCGGTGTGTGCTGTTCCCCACCCTGTGTCCAAGTGTTCTCATTGTTCAATTTCCACCTATGAGTGAGAACATGCAGTGTTTGGTTTTCTGTCCTTAACTATAGTTTGCTCAGAATGATGGTTTCCAGCTTCATCTATGTCCCTACAAAGGACATGAACTCATCCTTTTTTATGGCTGCATAGTATTCCATGGTGTATATGTGCCACATTTTCTTAATCCAGTCTATCACTGATGGACATTTGCGTTGGTTCCAAGTATTTGCTATTGTGAATAGTGTGGCAATAAACATACGTGTGCATGCGTCCTTATAGCAGCATGATTTATAATCCTTTGGGTGTATACCTAGTAATGGGATGGCTGGGTCAAATGGTATTTCTAGTTCTAGATCCTTGAGGAATCACCACACTGTCTTCCACAATGGTTGAACTAGTTTACAGTCCCACCAACAGTGTAAAAGTGTTCCTATTTCTCCACATCCTCTCCAGCACCTGTTGTTTCCTGACTTTTTAATGATCGCCATTCTAACTGGTGTGAGATGATATCTCATTGTGGTTTTGATTTGCATTTCTCTGATGGCCAGTGATGATGAGCATTTTTTCATGTGTCTGTTGGCTGCATAAATGCCATCTTTTGAGAAGTGTCTGTTCATATCCTTCACCCACTTTTTGACGGGGTTGTTTGTTTTTTTCTTGTAAATTTGTTTGAGTTCTTTGTAGATTCTGAATATTAGCCCTTTGTCAGATAAGCAGATTGTAAAAATTTTCTCCCATTCTGTAGGTTGCCTGTTCACTCTGATGGTAGTTTCTTTTGCAGTGCAGAAGCTCTTTAGTTTAATTAGATCCCATTTGTCAATTTTGGCTTTTGTTGCCATTGCTTTGGTGTTTTAGTCATGAAGTCCTTGCCCATGCCTATGTCCTGAATGGTATTGCCTAGGTTTTCTCCTAGGGTTTTTATGGTTTTAGGTCTAACAGTTAAGTCTTTAATCCATCTTGAATTAATTTTTGTGTAAGGTGTAAGGAAGGGATCCAGTTTCAGCTTTCTACATATGGCTAGCCAGTTTTCCCAGCACCATTTATTATATAGGGAATCCTTTCCCCATTTCTTGTTTTTGTCAGGTTTGTCAAAGATCAGATGGTTGTAGATGTGTGATATTATTTCTGAGGGCTCTATTCTGTTCCTTTGGTCTATATCTCTGTTGAATTATTTTCTCATGTGTCCAGAATATTTTCTACTTTTTCAAAATACTTAAATCATCTGGTATTGGCAGTATTAACTCTACCTCAATATTAATATACCATAACACCAAACCAAAATATATCAATTAAAATATATAACTCAGAAGAAATAATTGCATGTATTCAAAGAGTGATTTATAATTTCTAGCATTTATAATACATATTATTGTATTTGATCCTTAAAACAAACCTTGTATAATTAGGGAAAAAATGCATTCATTGCTTTTTACTTGGAAAAATTTGAAATCCCAGAAATGCACTGCCTTGACATAGATCACTGATTATTAGAGTATAAGACAGAAGCTCCAAAACAAAGATCTGACTCCCTAATCAGGGATCTCCTTTTTTGTGCCAGCCAGATGATATGAGCCACATGCATTAATATAAAACAATAAGGCTTTTTATGGATTTGCCTGACATTCTGTGTGGAAAAATTTAAAAAGTAAAAGTTGAAGGAAATTCATAATACTGTTGTTTTTGAATAATGCAATACAGGCTTTTGTATGCCAAAAATTCCATATGGTAAACTTTTTTCATTAATTCTTTGATAACTTACAAATCAGAAATTTATGTTGATCTATTGTTTCACAGTAAACTACATATATAAACTATTGATACTTTATGAAACTGATGACATACACAATTTGGGCTACTGTCAATTAACTAAATTAACTAAAAAGTGCTGATATCCTAAACTTATTAATTATAATTCCATAAATCATTATTCTCCATAAATATATACCTAACAGTACATTATTCTCTCTCTATATATACCTAACCGTACACTATTTCAGTACTTGATAAAAGGATACCAGTCACCAATTTTTGATGATGATTATATACCATTTCAGATATTTTAAAGGTGTTAAATCAAGTTTAGCCTAAAGCAGGACTTGGGACTTGCAGCCCACCATGCCCAAACCCCCCCTACCCCCGTGGGCTCCAGTGTGGCCTGTTCCATGGCACCCAGTCCCATTGACTGCCCAAGGGCTGAGGAGTGCTGGAGCGTAGTGTGGAACTGGCGGGCAGCTCCGCCCGTGGCCCTGGATCCACTAGGCAAAGCCAGCTGGGCTCCTGAGTCGAGTGGGGACTTGGAGAACTTTTATGTCTAGCTGGAGGATTGTATATATACCAATCAGCATTCTGTGTCCAGCTCGGGGTTTGTGGATGCACCAGTCAGCACTCTATGTAGCTAATCTGGTGGGGACTTGGAGAACTTTTATGTCTAGCTAGAGGATTGTAAATGCACCAATCAGCACTCTGTGTCTAGCTAAAAGATTGTAAACACACCAGTCAGCATTCTGTGTCTAGCTAAAGGTTTGTACATGCACCAATCAGTGCTCTGTGTCTAGCTAATCTAGTGGGGACTTGGAGAACTTTTATGTCTAGCTAAAGTATTGTAAATGCACCAATCAGTGCCCTGTGTCTAGCTCAAGGTTTGTAAACACACCAGTCAGTGCTCTGTGTCTAGCTAATCTAGTGGGGACTTGGAGAACTTTTGTGTCTAGCTAAAGGATTGTAAATTCACCAATCAGCACTCTGTGTCTAGCTCAAGGTTTGTAAATGCACCAACCAGTCAGCACCCTGTCAAAACGGACCAATCAGCTCTCTGTAAAATGGGCCATCAGCTCTCTGTAAAATGGACCAATCAGCAGGATGTGGGTGGGGTCAGATAAGGGAATAAAAGCAGGCTGCCTGAGCTAGCAGCGGCCACCTGCTGGGCTCCCCATCCATGCTGTGGAAGCTTTGTTCTTTCATTCTTTGAAATAAATCTTGCTGCTCACTCTTTGGGTCCGCACTGCCTTTATAAGCTGTAACACTCACTGAGAAGGTCTGCAGCTTCACTCCTGAAGCCAGCAAGACCACTAACCCACTGGAAGGAACAAACAACTCCAGACGCGCCGCCTTTAAGAGCTGTCACACTCACCACGAAGGTCTGCAGCTTCATTCCTGAAGTTAGCAAGACCACAAACCCACTGGAAGGAAGAAACAACTCCCAACATGCTGCCTTTAAGAGCTGTGACACTCACCGCGAAGGTCTGCAGCTTCACTCCTGAAGTCAGCAAGACCACAAACCCACCAGACGGAAGAAACTCCGGACACATCTGAACATCTGAAGGAACAAACTCCAGACATACCATCTTTAAGAACTGTAACACTCACTGCGAGGGTCCACAGCTTCATTCTTGAAGTCAGTGAGACCAAGAACCTACCAATTCCAGACATGCACCTCCTGGGTTCAAGAGATTCTCCCACCTCAGCCTCCCAAGTAGCTGGGACTACAGGCGCATGCCACCACGTGTGGCTAATTTTTGTATTTTTTGGTAGAGATAGGGTTTCATCATGTTGGTCAGCCTGCTCTCGACTCCTGACCTCAACTGATCCCTCCGCCTGGGCCTCACAAAGTGCTGGGATACGTTTCGCTTTTGTGGAAATACCCCGGCCCCCGCGTAGCCTAATAGAAAGAATGGAAATACAATGTTGCTTAGGGCCCCTTGGCCTTCTGGCCTAAGTCTACTTTTCCTGCCTCTTCCCTTGCATCTTTCCAATAGGTATTCCTACTTTCCAGTCAAACCAAATTATGTCCAATTTCCTGAGCATTCATGCCCTTTCTCATCTTTGCTTCTTTTGTGTGGAATGCCTCTTTCCCTACTTTAGAGTTCTACTTGTCCTTTGAGGCTCTCTGCAACTGGCAGCCCCAAGAGGTCTTTTCTAACCACTCCCGTCTAGTGCAGGTCCCTTCCTTGGTTCTGCTCTAAACATGACCCTATTAACACACTTAACAGTGTTTGCATATGTCTCTTTATTGGTGTGTGTCACTCACAGGATTGGGAGCTCCTCCAGTAACTAGCAGTAGCCGTTGAATGAAAGAATGATTAAACATGCTGCGCTACGCTGCTTCCTTTTCGACATATTCTCTTAATTATGTATGTGTGGTGAGGGTGAGAGGGGGTAGAGACGCTTATAGATAAATCATTTGTGCATAATCATCTTCGTATGAAATAAACCATTAATAAAGTTAATGACTGCACTGAGACATTTAATAATCTCATTTAATCCTCACAACAAACTAATGGAGATGGTCTATCATGTCTATTTCAAGGATGAGGAAACTGAGACAGAAATGTTATGTAAGTTGCCTAAAGTCTTACGGCTAATGAGACCAGGGCTAGGGCTGGCTTGCAAGCATGCTCATGGTCAGAGTCCATGCTGTGAGCCACCATATTACACTGCTACTTATTTTACTTCATTCTCTTGCAACCATGTTACTTTTTCTTTTTACCGTGGCTACATACTTTTATTAAATATTGACTAAAAGGAGAAAAGCAGTGTTTTAAAAAATGTTTTAAAGTAACATATAGATCATTGAAGCCAAATTAAGTGACCCATTAAATTCTTACTTCTGCCAATTTGTCAATACATTGTATGTATAAATCACTATGTTAATGATCACAATGTTGATAATCACAAGTTGTTTATTCAGGTGACATTTGAGTATAGTCAAGCATTTCCTGAATGAGAATCACAGTTTGTTGTGTCATTGCCATTAGAAAAAGATAATTTCTAATGGTAAGTTGTGTGCCTGTACCAGCATGTGACAACATCCCCTGAGGTTCAAATGATCATCTGCTTGATTATTTGATCCAAAGGGTTGGGAAGAAAAACCACAACTGCAACCAGAGGGATCTTTCCTGCTCTGAGCTGGAGCTGGAGCTCTGCTGTTGAATCTCTTTCAAAACTGGTTGTCTGCCAGTACTTGGTTTATGGTTGCTCTGAGATGGTGAAACAAAAGAAAAATACAGGAATGAAGTCTGATTTTCCTATCTTTCATTTTGAAGATTTGTATGTGTGTCTGTGTGTGCATAACATATAAATTTATCTATATTATATATAACTTAATTTATATATTTATAAAATATAATTTATATATAAATTATATATAATTTCTCTGTATATATATTTTCTTATTACTGAATAAACTATTTTACTTTAGAATTGATTTAGATTTATATGAAAGAGATAGATAGTAGAATTATTATACACTTTGCACCCATTTCTTTCTATTATTAACACCTTGCATTAGTATGTTACATTCTGTGCAAAATCAGTATCAATACATCATTATTAACTAAAGTCCATATTTTATTTAGTTTTTTTTTTTAGTCTTCCTTAATTTCCTTTTATAATTCTAGGATCCCGTCCACGATATCACATTACATTTAGTTGTCATATCTCCTCACACTTCCCTTGGCTGTGACAATTTTTTAGTCTTTCCATATTTTTGATGATCATGACAATTTGAAGCAATACTGGTCAAACAATTTGTAGAATGTAGCTTAGGTGGTATTTTTCTAATGTTTTCTTTATGATGAGACCAGGGTTATTGCTTTTTGGGAGGGGAGGGAGGAGGAAATGATCAATGTAAAGTACCATTTTCATTAGGTCATATAAAGATAACATGTACTCAAGATGGCTTAAAATAGTTGATGTGACCTCGATCACCTTTCTGAGGTAGTGTTTGTCGGGTTTCTCTATTGTGTAGTTATTTTTTTCTCCCTTTACATACTGTACTATTTGGAGGGCAGTCCCTCTACAAAGCCCACATTTAAGGGTCAGGAATTATGCTCTATTTCCTTGAAGGAAGAGTATCCACTTAAAATATTTTGAACTCTTATTCAGAGGAGATTTGTATATTCTCTCCTAATTATTTATTTAATCTGTGTTCATATCAGTATGAATGAATGGATATTTATTTAATACTGTGGGTTAAAACCAATACTGTTATTTATTTTGTTCCAAAAATTGCTCCAGATATGGCCATTGTGAGCTCTTTCAATTGGCTCCTGTATCCCTTTGATATTCTCCCATCATTTATGCAGGTGTATTTTTATCACTTCCTTACTTTTCGACACTGAATTAGCCTTTTCTTTACAGAGATTTTTAATTAGGGACTCAAACGAAAGTTTATATGATTAGAACAACCTGTATTTTGAAAACTTGCAATGTCATATAAATGAGCACAATGTTCTTCTGAAAAAGTTTTGACTTTTTGAGTGGTTTGGGATGGATTATGAGCCATAGCTTTAAATGCCTTTGTAGAATGTGGGAAACTTATCCCAATAAAATATTTTCAAAATTCCTAGAAGTGTTTTAGAAAAAATTAAGTATTGTTGTCAGGAAGGTAAATACATTAAAACTCTTTCCTCTGAAGTTCATTTGATACTGAGTGAAGGTAGAGGTAGTTCACTATTATGCACTAAGGCCTTATCTAAATGAGACAGAAAATGCTCAGAGCTAAGACTGAGACACTACAAATTAAATCTAAAGAAAATACACATTGTTTCTTACTCAACATAGTTGAAGGATTAAGCAAGGCATTACTTGCCAACTGTGACACACACACACACACACACACACACACACCGCCATCATCTATCAATCAGCCAGAAGCTGCTATACTACTAACCTAATAATTTTCACTTCAGGTAGATAGTAATACCCCTGAGAAGATATTTTTAATCCTTATTTAATGATTTATTCTCATTTGGAAATTGAAGAAAAGTAAAAATAAACTAACTAAAAATTATCCTATAGAAAGAAGTAAAATTCTCCTCGTGTTAAGATAATTATCTGGACAACTGGAGGCAAATACTGAATGATTCTCTTGTAGATGTAATGGACCTGGCTCTTGATTTATCTTTCTCTGTCTCTATGTCTTTCTAAACATGCCCCCCAATTTCTTTCTTGTACAAAAATGGAATTATGCTGTATTCACCAGCCCTAATGTAAAAGGTGATATATCAAAGTGTACAAAGAACAGCAATGGAGTCTGAAAGCTCATAGCATCTCGGCCAAGCAATAAGTTAAGCCCTCCATGACTCACTATGCTCATCTGCAAATGGTGGTTAAAAATCATCAAACTAATCAGAATGCAGTAAGAAGTACCCACATTTATACATGTAAAGTGGTAGAACAATTTCTAGCACACTTGAAATATTTAATAAATTCATCCTCTTCTATTTTTTTCTTTCCTTAATCTATCATAGTCTTCCAAATCAGTACACATAGATCTACTTCATTATTTTTAATGACTGCAGAGTATCCCAGAGTAGGAAATTATCATATTTAATACATTTGTTCTCCAGTTGAATGACATGAAGGAATTTTTTCCAATATTTTGCTTTTGCAAACCATGGGGTTGTGAATGTATTTTTGAATTTTTAAAATGTACTCCTCTCAAATTCTGCAGGCTACATTCCTACAAGTGGGATTCTGAGTCAAAGATAACAATATTTTAATTTATGTCAGCATTACTATTTATAGCTTCTAGTTCTAGCAACTCTCAACATTTATGACTGCAGAGTTTTTCAAAATTTTTATTTAATATCATTGATTTTCATGACTTTTATCATAACTATGATCTACATTTATTATTAAAAATTCAAACAGTACAAGTAAGAAAAAGAAACCTGCCCCAAGTCCCTTCAGTTAGAAATAGTTTAAATACATAGCAAACATTATTTCAGATATTTCTCATTTCACTCATGTCATACATAAAAAAAACAGAGTAAAAGAAAGACTAGATACAGACAAATTATTTAAGATGGTAACATTTTACATATTATGCTTAATTTAAAATTATTAACTTGAATTTTACTTGAAATAAGCAATAAAAAAGTGAAACTGAAGAATTTAGTGAACTTCTGATAAATGGTTCAAAGAGTCAGAAATTCACTGGTCCCACAAATTTCGGATAAGGGATACTCAAATTGTATCCCTGTTTCTTTTTCCAGTAATAGTTATCTGAAAGTATACTTTTCTGAAGTGTCCAGGACATTCTTACTTTTTTAATGTACAGTATTGGTAAAACTGAATATAACCAAATGTAAAATTCACTTTGATTTGCGGTTTTGCTCTTATCAAGCCCCCCATTAAACTGACCTCTAGTGTCAGTCCAAGGTAATGACATCAAGGTAAATATTTTCTTAAAAAAGTGATCAAGCACAAATCTTTATGCTTTCACATACTAGTAATAGAGTTTTACACATGTAAGAACCCATTACTAGTTCTCTAAAAATGTACATTCTTTTTTCTCTATATTCTCATTTCTGAAGAACAACTGTTGTCCATCAAGTTCATTTCATCTATAAATTCATCATATAGGCTATTCATGTCTAAAATGCCCATCATCTTAAAACACATAAACCATATACCAGAGACCACCACATTGACAAAAGCCATCATCATCAGACAGAATCAGTCACGTCACCATCCAAAAGTGAACTGGGATTTTTAAGTAACTAGCAGCAAACAAAAAACTATGAGATCTGCTGCAGATATATTTACTACTCATGGGGGAAGATATGTTGACATGAGAAGGTGTTTGGAGAAAATAACTTCATTTCAATGAATAAATTACATACATAGTTGAATCCTCTTGTATTTGAATCTTTTAGTTAGATGTTGATTTCTACAACCTTTGTGGTTCTTTGTAAGGACTACAACACATAGTTACTCAATTTTAGACTGTATCCATTTTCACATACAGTTTCTGAATTTGTAGTGAAAGCATAAATTTCAAATAGTATAAATAGCATGCAAATTATATTTATTTACAACAAATCAAGCATATTTTTCCTATTTTCATCTCAAAGCATTTTATGTATATATGTCAACTATTATAATTATCCCCATTTATATGAGAAACACTGATATTACAGAAAGGTAAAGTTACCTGCACAAAGTCACATCATTTTTAAGTATCATATTTCCAATTTAACCAATATTTATTAAGTGGATATTTATATTCTAGGCATTCTTCTAGGGGTTACATAAAAGCTATCCTCAAGATGGACAGTATCCATGCCTTCATTGAATTTTCATTGTTTTAGGAAAGAATAGTAATAGTGTCAGAAATTGTGATTTAATTCATGTTATTTTATAATTTTGAGATATATTCAAATAAAAAGTTAGTCAAATGATATAAAAATATTTGGAATTATGTTATACTGAGTTATTTTAAAAGGCCTCTCTCTGCAAGCAGTTATAGTTATCATTTTAGTTGAGACTTCAATGAAATATAAGGATCTCGACAAAATATCTGATATACATATTCCTTGGCTGAAAGTATGAACTTTGCATGGTTAAAGGACAAATAAAATACATCTGTGCCTGAAGAATATTGAGCAAGAGAAATAGATAAGAGAAGATGGAACGCTGACGGATATATCAAGTAAGTTTATGAGATTCCCTCTTTCTAACCTCTCTCCTCCTTCTACTGGAAGTATGCACTGATTAATTATATCCCTCAGCATTACAAAAACGCTAAAAGAGTCTCTAGGGAACATTTTCATACTTATAGTTATTATCTTTTCTTTATTTACATTAAACTTCCCATTCTAATTGCTGCAATCAAACACTCAAGGGATTCTATGTTTATCTCAATTAAATAGGGGGCTAGAAGGCAAAGGTGAGTGAAGAGCGACTCAGGAATCAACAGCACTGATAAGCACATTGAAAGTCTGTAAACACAACCTTGATTTGTCACAGAAGCATGACACAAACACTCTGCCAAAATAGATGGAACTTTGTCTGTCTGCAAGAAATGTCTACTTTTAGTAATCACATATCAGACAATCATAATACAATAGACGCGATGTATAATAGACAATATTTGGTTGGAAAATAGAACAATATTTTGCTTTTAAGATGATCATTTTTAAAATTGTAATATAATTAAGAACAGAGAGCTTGTTTTAAAACTGTCTGCATCCACTCTCCTCCACAAAAGCACAATTCTTACCATCTTTATTGAGAAAAATGAATATTCTTCCTACTTCTCTGAAAGAGCCACTCCCCTCCCCAAGGCCATCACTGCTCAGCTGTCTAATTAAGCACAATATTTGATGAAAGAAAACTTAAAACATAGTAGTACACAAACATGATAAGAAATCATGTTTGCTCCAAATATGAATATTGTTCCTATTATATTATTCATATAAATGTTTACAAATTATGACAGAAACATACTTTTTAAAAGTATAAATATAAAAAGTTAGAATATTGATTCCAAGAATTACTATATAGGTGCAATTATCACGACAGCGTTGGTATAATAATAGACCTACAATTCCTTGGAACAGAATACAGACTCCAGAAATAGACCTGCATATATAAGAGTAATAAAATTTCACCAAAGCTACCAGGACAAATAAAAGGAAAATGAAATATTTTAAAAATAAATAGTGATATAACAAGTGTATATCCCACTAGATTTTAAACAACTCAGCTATCATCATAAAAATTAACCTGAGCTTAAACTACAAAACACCTAGAAGAAAACATTCACAAACTTGGAGCAGACAAAGATTTCTTATGTAGCTCACAGAAAAGCACAAACCTTAAAGAAAAAAAAAAGTGCAACATTAAACTTTATAGAAACTTTAAAAAAATATTGCTCTTTGAAATAGATCATTTGGAAGGTGAAACTCAAACTACAGAATGGGGAAAGATCGTATGTGTACCATTTTGAGATCATATATAGTATTAGAACAATAAGCTTCTCAATTCACTAATAAAAAGATAACCTGGTGTGAGTTGGCTGAAGATAAAAAGAAAAAAAAATGAATAAAAGAAGATAACCTACCCAATTAAAAATGAACAAAATATTTGAACAGAAGACCAACAAATAGCCAATGAACACATAAACATTTTCAATATTGTTAGTCACTATTGAAATGCAAATTAAAATCTCAATGAGATACCACTACATAACCACTACAGTGACTAAGATTAAAACTTCTGATCATATCAAACTCTAAGGACATGTTGGACTAGAGTTCTCATACACTGCAGATGGGAAAACAAGATGGTGCAATGATTTTGAAAAAGTTTCAAGTTCTTAAAAAAACCTGCATATACCTATGTTTTAATTTCTGTACTCCATTTATAGACATATTAAGAGAAATAAAACATATGTCCAATAAAGAATTCTATACACATGCTCATAATAACTTTATTCATAATAGTGTACAACTGAACACAACTCAAATAAGCACTGACAGATGAACGGATACACAAATGACACATAGTTGACAATGGAATAATATTACTAAGCAATAATAATCCTAATACAAGAAACAACATGAATGGATAAAAATCATTTTAATACATGCAAGAAGATAGACTCAAAATAATAGAAAAGTGAATACACAAATACTAGAAAAAGAAAGTTCTAGTAAGTGCAAACTAAATCCTAGTTATATCAGGAAAATCTGTGTTTGCCTTATGCCAGGTATGGGAATAAGAATGCAATCCAATGAGACATGGGAAATCCTTTGCAGTTGATGGAAATCTTTTGTATAATATTTAGTTTCCAGCAGTGGCTTATGGGTATGTAGATCTTTCATATGGCATTGAATCAGACACTTAAAATGAATGTAGATTAATTTACCTAAATCATACATGAATACAATTAATACAAGAAACCTAACCATATGGGAGTTCTTTTACTGGCCTGCCAGAGAATACTCTTACAAAAAGAAAAAAAAATGAGAGACATTCACATACGTAGCAATTATAAAATCTAAATGACATGGAAAAAAAAAATCTACCTGAATGCAGAGCAGAAGAAATCAGACAAATTCTGCATTGGCAGAGATTCCTATTTTATCTTTTAGTCAGAGGATAGATCACAGCCATTGCTCTTTGCTGTGACTGAAAACTTTGGTTCAAAATCTGCAATCTTTCAGGTCCAAAAAAAGAATTGAATGAAAGTTGTGGTTATCACAGCCATTAATAAAGGGACAAAAATAATAGATGTTACTTATTTAATGTTGTAATTTATGCAATAATATTACTTATGTATTATTGTTATTTACATAATAATAGTCAAGAGACAAAGAGAACACCAAATCTCTGTATAAACTGATAGAGAAATATTGCATATTTGGCTGTCTTACTAAATCCTGAAACATGTATTCTTCTAGTAAACAGCCAGCACGTGAATCAGAGCTACAAAAATTGAACAAAAATATAAGCTACAGACCAATATAATTTAAGTTCAACCAAGAAGATTGCCTGCTAAACAAAAACAATCTAGTAATATTGAAAGATTAAAGCAGAATTTAATATTTTCACAACATTTCCATTACAATGTTGAAGATACAATTATAATTTCCAGTTATATGTAGGACCATCCACAAAAGGAAATTCAAGTAACAGAAACTGATCATAAGAATTCTTAACAGAAAGCAATTTTAAAGTAGCAATCCTAATTATCATCAGTGCTATAATGTAAAGTGTGATCATGATAAATACAAGGACAGGAAAATTCTGTGTAGAAGTAGAAACTATAAATTTCAAGTAATTGGAAATTTTAGTATTGATAAAACATCAGAAAAAAATTGGACTAGCTGTGGTAGACAGATTAATTTCTTTCTTTCTACATCCCATGAAAATAATTCCAAGTTTTAATACTATAAACTGTGAATGTTATATTACATGGCAAAAGATAATTTGCAAATATAATTAATTTTATAAATATGATTCTTTGTTAGATTGTAATCCATAAACACCCATAATAGATCACATGCAGAAATTATATTTTAATATTCACCAAAATATGGTATCACTGAAAGCAAGACCTGCTATATAATTTTTTGGCCTAGAGCAAATTGAGAATGTGGGTCTCTTTGTTCAAAAATGATTAAAAATTTTAGTATGACTACAGCATAATGTTAAATCAAGTGCAGGGTACATCATAGCACAGGGTCTTGTGGAATGCCAGGGATCAGTCAAATGCCTATGAATCAGCCCTGATTGAAAACCTTTCATATCTCACACTCATAGCTCACTGCATGCTTCCAAAGCTTCTCTGCAAACTGCATGAATCAGATCAACATTAACTTGCTTTTCGTCCACAATTTTTAATTCAGTAATCAAGGTGTAGTGGCAAAACTGGAAGGAGGTGTGAGAAGAAAGTAAAAATTATGCTTATAGTACTTAGCAAGATTGGTTCTTTCCTCCATGCTATTTCCTCATCACACATCAGAGTCCTAAGTGCACTTTCCCAGATTCTGTGACTGTGTCCATCTGAAGGGCTTTTATTTTTCTCTTCTAACCACACTACATCCAAACGAAAAAATAGAATCACTGCTCCAATTGAACTTGAAATCAATTCAATTTTAAGAACAGAGGAGGACAGAAGGAAGGTAGGTCAACATGGTGAAAGATTAGAAGATTGTCATGGTAATTTGAAAGTCGGAAGTCCTGTAAGCTGTAATATAAATTTATGAGCAAAAACACTTAAATTAACTCTCCAATTGTCCCTTTGAATAAATGCAATTATGTGACTTTATGCTGAATAGAAAATTAAGTGTCATGCTTTTATTTTTTCTGCAAGTGATATATATACTGGTTCACCACTACATGAAAAAGATAACGAATTCAAACAAAATACTGAAATAATTAAAGACTTGAAACTGTGGATCCTTTTAAAAAGATGAACGAAGTGAGAGAAATTGTTCTGATAAGATTTAAAAAAGGAATGACAGAGGAAGTTATTTTTGTTATATTATAAGACAAGGTCTACTTTCATTCCCACTGAAAGAAGTGCAAAGTAAAACAGAACATAGTATTTAAGTGTATACTCTAACTCCTAAGATTTGGCGGAATGGGAGAGACCTGCAAAGAAACATGAACTTTCTTTTTATTATGCTTATTTATTTGTATTAGTATGGTTCAGGCAATTCTGAAACTGTAGTAAGTGTATTAATTAACGGAGAAAATGAGCAAATGTACTGAGGTTGTTAGGAGTTTGCACTATAGAAGAAGAGAAACACAAATATGGAGTAGAAGGCAAGAAAGAACACTGAATTTTCTGTTGTGATTATGAATGAAGTTATTCATGTAAATTCATTATTTCTGATATGCCTATAGTATATACAATTATATATATAATATACATGGAGAGACAGACAGAGAAACAGAGACAGAAACAGAGACAATTAATAACCTGTCTAGGATCTCTCTATAGTTGTAGATCTATCTATATATCTATCTATTCATATGTGTGTGTATACACACACATATATAACCTTATTGTCACATTTGTATGCATGCATTTGTGTCATATAGGTATGAATCTGCATTATGAATGTGTATATGTAACCATGTATATAAAATTATTTACTTTCCAATTCCATCTGTTGAAAGTTTCAAGAGCAAATAAACCTGAATAGCAATGAACACAGCTGTTGCTCAGATATTGATGTCTAATAACATTCTCCCTTGAAAAGAACAAGAAACTTTTGGAGAGATTATTGGTTTTAGGACTGGTCACAGTAGGTTTAAAATAAGTCTCAAATATCTTCTTTTGTGACACTGTAAGGAAGGAACATCAAATAGCACTGACAATGGGATCCAATCATAACAACTGATCCAACTCATGAAGCACTCTTCTTCCCCATGGGCCAGAAATTCCCTTCCCCCACTTGGAGGCAACAGGTAGCCCATCCTGGATAAATGACTTGTGTGCCCTTGAGCAACACCAGTATGGAATCATGAGAGGCTTAGTGGAACCAAATAAAACAAGCCGAACAACATAACACCACAAAGATTCTGAAAATTAAACAAATATTAGAACTAAAGGAGTCCAGAAAAGTAAACCAGGACTCTTGTGCTAAACCTAAATGAGGCTATTACTTGCTAAAATACAAGATTTAAATAGGATCATGAGTTTTCTAACAAATAGAAACAAATGTCTAGAATACAATGCCGATTATACTAAAAACAGAAATTTACAACTTCAATGAGAAAAGACAATCTGCTGACAAAAAAACTGAAGTGAATCAGATGTTGGAATTCTCTGACAGAGATTTTAAAATAGCCATTATATATACAATAATAGAAAAAGATGACAAATTATTTTTAAATAAAGGAAAATCTCAGTATAAAATTTTATATAAAATAACGAATTGAAATCATAGAACTGGAAAATATATTAAAAATTATTGCTGGATGAGCTCATTAGTAGAGTGAGGATAATAGAAAATAGAATCAGTAAAGTTTAAGAGAGTGCAATATAATTTAACAATCACGACAGAGAAAAAAGTGACCGAAAACAAACAGAGACTATAACCCAATGACCAATAACAAATTATTCAACATTTTTACCACTGGAGTTCTAGAAAGAAAGAAGAAAGAGTGTATACACTGTTAGCCTTCAGGTAGTATCTAAATTTAAAATAGTACCTATTTGGAGTACATGATTTTTTAATGGTATGTGAGTATAAAAAGCAAGTAATTTTCTCAACTGGAAAAAACTAGAAAGAATGGCCCTTTTCAGGTCATATAATAAATATTTAGGCAATCTTTGGGTAAATCAGTTTGCATGCCACCATATGGAGGAAAAGGAGTAGAAAAAAAGAAACACTCTAGTGAAAGTTAAAACGTCTTAAATTATTCATTAACAACACATTTAAATCTTATTACAACCAAAAATATCCTAGATTACCTTAGAGGAAGGCAAGAGCTAGCTAAGCATTTAATGCTGAAGACAAAAATAGGATTGTCCTACAAAATTGGTAAAATGGTGATAGAGATAATAAGCTACAATAGCTATTTTAATTAGCTTTTATAATACTCAAATGACACAGATCTAATAAGGCAGCTATCACAAACGTCCAGTACCATGTAGCCCAGCTTTATTAATTTAATGACTGAGCTAAATCCAAATTTAACTGTCTTTTCTATTTTTTTCCTTTCATTTTTCACTTTCAAACTCTATCAGGCAATATTTTCAAATTAAATAATGTTTGCAGTTTCTAATGGAGAAATCTGTAATAAGTTCAACAGACCCAAAAATTTAAAAAAAACTCCTAAATTGTTAATGATATCAATAAATTTACATAATCTCTGATAATTTTGAATATTTTCATTCAAATTGAAAATACCAATTGTGCAACTGACAAAATTTTAAAATGGCTGTTAAATCTGACACATTATTCTGTTAGGGACCCTGTGAAATATAATTTATACTCTTTTTCTTCTCTTTACATAAGCAATTAAGCATCTATTCAACAGGTTTAAGCTTTAGAATTTTTTTCTTCATTATTATTATTATTTGGTTTGATTGTTTCTTGTCTGAATAATTTCTACAGTTTTATAAGTGTCTTCCTGCCTTCAATCTTGCATACATATTCATCTGCTCTCTACAAGAGATCTAGTTTCAAATATTTACCTCATTACTTACTGTATGTCATCTAGAACAACTCTTTTCCCCTTTAGTATCTTTATTTAAAAAATAAAAATCATAATAGCACTAGCCTCATGTGGATGTTTAGTGCTCAAAATAAGACTTGCCACATTGTAATCATTTAATAAATATAAGCTATTATAATTACTGCTATATTTTGTTTTTAATTAAAAATCCAGTTATTCTACTGAGACAGCCAGGTGGGCGGGGAGCCTCTGGAGAAAACTCCAACCTGCCTGCCCACTGAGATGGAGCCTCCTCGGGAGGTTCAAGACGTTTGCAGCAGGGAGAAGCCTGAGCTGGCCCCTCCTTTTCCTGTGTGGAACCTGAGATTCAAGATGTGGTCAGGAAGTATTCTAGTAGGGCCTCTGGCCTAGCAATAGTCCCTGTTTTCTCCTTTTCTTCCTTTTCACCCAATAAAACCCTGCTTTACTCAATGTTCAAACCATCTGTGAGCCTCAATTTTCATGGCCGTTGGATGGACAAGGACCCCATCTTCAGCTGAACTAGGGAAGAGTCCTGCAACATGTTTGGCGTCCAACATGGGGCCCTAATAGCAGTGAGTGAAATGGGGACTCAAAACCTCTCCACTGTTGCTCCTAAGCATTTTCATCTTTGGACATCTGAGCATGGAGGAAACATGCCCCAAACCCTGTTGGGGTTGGAGGAAAGGCACTTTCCTTCCTTTTTTAAGAAGGACAGGCAAGCAGGGACTCCTTGCTACCCCTCCCCTCTGTGCAGCGGCTGGGATGCATGGCCCAAGGGTCCTGCATAGCTGGCTGGATGGTTCCCAGCCACATGCTGCTGACACAGCCTTCCTCTTACCTGGCCAAGGGGTTTAACTCTATGGGATAGTAATTAAGCTTAAACTTGTCTCCCTGGTGGAGGAACCACTTGCATAAAAATAAGAGGTTCTTCTCCAGGCATTTTTAAACTGTTTATTTTCTTTCCCCTTCTGTACCCCATCAGCAAGTTAACGTTTAATGTTTTTTCATTTAGAAGATCTTTTATTAGGCTAGGTCTCCCCGACTATACACAAACTATCACTATATTCCCTGCAAAGTTTTGGTTGTGAAATCAAGCCTCCATCTTGTTGGACATCCTGGGGGCATGGCTGGTAACTGCTTGGCAGGGCTTCGGTTAGCAATACTGCCTTAGGGGATGAGCCCTCTTAGGTTAGATATCTGCAGGTTCTCCTAGCCCTGTCTCTTATATAACCCCACCCAGTGACTGGGTTTTATTCTGCCTGTCTGTGTATGCACTGTGTGTGATGTCTGTAAAAAGAGCTCTAATTAATTTGGCCTAAAGAAAGACAAGTGCTTGGATGTAATATTTTTTAAAGGGAAGATACAAGCTGTGGTACCTTTTAGTTCACATGACTTTAATCACATGATTAAATAAAAACAGCCTTAAAGACTATTGGTAAAATGCAGGTCAGATGCAAGGTTTGCTAAGTGTTTTGAGGTTACAAACTGCTTTTTGGGTTTTGAGAACTGTCTGACTTGCCTGCTTCACAACTGGTAATGCCTGGGTACATATGGAACTAACCACATCCTTAATTAAGAAGGCAAGCCTTGGCTGCAATTAGCACACAATTAAAGCAACTTATCAAGTTTTACCTTAAATTTAAAAATTGCTAGGAGTTACCATCATAATGTGTAATTGAAACTACTTAAAATAGATTTACATGCAAGGTGTGTAAGAACAGTAAAATATGATTTTTAGTAAAAGGTTATAAGAAGGCATGAAAATGTAAACTTTTGCCTAAGGTTAAAGAATTGTTTTAAACTAGGAAAAAGCTGAAGATTCAAACAAGTGGGGGAAGAATTGTAGAAATTAATCTTGCAGAAGAGGTTCTCTGTGTGAACATACTGACTAAATTCAGAAAAGGGTATTATACATTTTTTTTCTGTAAATTTAGCATTAAAATAAAAGCACAACAAGGTATTGTTAAAATGCTAATCTGCTCTTAGGCAAAATTTATAAACGGTTTTGCTCCTTTAAAATTTCTGAGTCATCATTTTAGCAAAATAAATAACTAATGGTAATCTGGAATTCTATTGCACAGTATCAAGTGTTTTAAACCTCAAATATTTAACAGCCTTCCCAAAAGAAAACTTTAGCTTCAAAATTGTCTTTCCTGACACCTGGCTTTTTGAATATTTCAGAGGGCCCCTGAAATGTCCAGAAAAGAGAGGTAAACAGAATTATTTGACATTTTTATGTACATGGGATTGCCAAAATGATGCTCAGTCTTCTTTAGGTTATATCTTGGTGAATAATGCTTATGTATGTTCCAAAATTGTATGGGACTTCTAAAATTCTAATATCTGAGTACATGCTGTCAATCATAATTAAGACTTTTATGTTGTTATTGTAAACCACAGAGATAAACAAACTTCTTTGTCAATCGTATTTCTAACTGTAACCACCCTGGATATTTTGCTTTCACAGACAATTGTCTTGTTTTGATCCTTTTCAAAAGATAGTTTATAATAGACTATAAGACTCTGACAGGTGCTCTCAGATACAATTTCTGATTGTATTTGAGACAATCTGGTTTCTGATAACTTTGGAGTTTGTGATATTGGAATAAAGGAAAATGTACAAGACTCATGAAGAGTTGAAATTTTCATGAATATCAAACAAAACCAGAGTTAACTGAATGGACTGAACTCAGAAAGTTGAAGCCTTTTTGACTTTTGCTTGGAATATTGCTGGTCCTTGTTTTGTTTTTCAGAGTCAAGGAAGCTTACTTTGAGCTATTTATGGCCTTTAATAATTAATTAAGGTAGACTCCTATGAACAAGATTTGGGGTGTGTTTATATCTCTCTGCTTGGTTCCTCTAGAATTTGGAAAATATGTGAGTATTCTTAACTTATGGCAATGTAGTTGTTTGCATCAGTGCAGTAAGAATCCATGTTTTTCTTTTGCAACAGGACACAATTGGAGAAAGTGGTTATTTTACCAAGGCTTTGACTAGAAGGATATGCCTCCCTTTAAGGAGTCAATCTTGACTTGCAGAGGCAATAAAAGCCCGGTGGAGAAACTGGCCTCATACTCACATCTATGCGGTCCCTCTACAGGGTTCCTGACCTGTGGCCAGTAAAGAATGTCATTTTCTAACAGGTCTAGGAGCTCCAAGTTTATCTTGGGCCTTAAGAGGAGAGGATCACTCAACTCAGGTATTTGAGGATACCAAACCATGGCTGGGCTCAGCTTTAAAAGGTCTCATCTGAGACTCCTTATGGAACAGACTTCCATCAAAGACAATCCAAAAGGCCTATGCAGAAATAATTATCTTTGCTGCACTTTATGCAAATAATCAGGCCAAAGCATGAAACTAAAGTCTATTTTGCAAACCACTCAGTCCTATGATGATTTTTTTAACAAACATGAAGACTGGAAACAGAAATCTTCTTTCAAAACTGATCATATATTTGTAATTAAATTCTAAACTCATGAGTTTTTCTTCAGTTTTTGACTACATTTTAGACTAAACCTGCTTGTTTCTGTGAACCATCCAGCAATCTCTGGTTTCAGCTCAGAAAGAACAAGAGGGATGGGTAATGTAGAAATCTGGATCAATATTCTAGTTCTGTGCAATTATCCTGCAAATCCTGCCAGAAGATGGAATAGAGAATAAACAGGGTACCCATCACCTGGAGGTTTCCTTTTTGGGAAAGTCAGACAAAGGGAAATAACCAAAGTCAAGCACCATGCATCCAAATCCTAGCAGGCATAATTATAGCTGCCAGTTATCTGGATGTGTTGCAAGACATCCTTTTCTCTCCCTTGTTGGAGAGAGTTCCACAGTTTTACTGTAGCACTCAGCTTATAATGAGGAGTCCATGCAATCCCCCCAAGACACGTTTTCATCTCAGACTCAATTTCAAGCTTCAGGTTAAAGCCCTAGAAAGAAAACTGGATCTAAGGGATCCAGAGGCAGATGGCAACAGAGGTTAAAAGGCACAGCAGTGTGGTGAGTGAAACTGATTCCTGCCGATTAAGCCAACCCCAAGCTTCCTGTTTCTCATGGATAAAGGCCACATGTATCCATGGCAAAAATGAGGTTTGGGAACACCAAGGCTTCTGACAGTAGTGAGGACAGAGGCATAGGTGAGAGCGGATAATTCCTATTCGTTAGGCCCTCCCTGCTTCATGGGTGCAAGCTGCTTTGGCACTCATGGTGGTGCCTGCCAAGGTTGCTGGGACTCGGGGATGCAAGGACGGAAGAAGGGAAGGAGGATGCTCTTCCCTCTCTCCCTCACATACCCCAGGTATCTGCTAGGAAGAGAAGGGGACCAGGGATACCTGCTCCCCTCTTTCTAGATGGGTAGTCATTCATCTTCAGTCTGCAACCCTTTAGAATGCATCCTGAACCCCTGGGAATCCTTTGAAAAATGCCTTCTTTTTTTCTTTCTTCTCTCGGTTCTCTCTTCACTAATAGGTAATTGTGTCTCCATCTTATGAGACACTCCCCTCAGACACATCATCCAAACTGGAAAGAGTTAATTTCCCAAGTCTTAAACTGGCTGGCCTAGGATTGGGCTAGGGGGAAGGGCACCCACAAACCCAATATGCCAACAAAAGGGTAAAGTTTTTAACCAGTTTGACTTTTGGTCTCCCTCTCACTGTGCAAACTGGTAAAAGGCCTTCAAAGTTTTGAGCCATCCTTAACCTTCCCCTTGTTTTGTTTTGATACATGTTTTCTAATAACCCGGTTTGCCTATTCCTGCCTTCAGGCCATTGAACACCAAATAGTCATGCAGCTGGAACCTCTGATGATGGCCCCTTCTGCTGGGAAGGCTTAAATAGGCCTTTGAGGAAGCTCTGACTGTTGTTTTCCCAAAACAGTGCCCCCTGTCAGCAGGAAGCAGTCAAGATCAGTCTTCATCCTTATCCTTATTCTAACAGCAGTTAGAAGTACTTCTTTAGGGGGGGAAATGAGACAGCCAGGTGGGAGGGGGCTCTTGTAGAAACTCCAACCAGCCTGCCCACTGAAGTGGAGGCTTGGAAAATTCACAGTGTTTGCAGCAGGGAGAAGCCTGAGCCTGTCCCGTCCTTTTCCTGTGTGGAATCTGAGACTCAAGCTGTGGGCAGGAAGTGCTCTAGCAGGGCCTCTGGCCTAGCAAGAGTCCCTGTTTCCCCCTTTTCTTCCTTTTCGCCCAATAAAACCCTGCTTTACTCACTGTTCAAACCACCTGCGAGCCTAAATTTTCATGGCCGTGCGACCAACAAGGACCCCACATCTTTAGCTGAAGTAAGGAAATGTCCTGCAACAGCACTGTGTCTAAATCTTCAGAATTTTCTTTTGTTCTTTAGGTAAAGTAAAATGTATTCAATATAACCTATAAAGCCTCCTTGTTCTGGCTGCTACATCTGTCTCCAATTTATCACTTCAAAATCCTTAGTCTGAAACTTCATCATTATTCTATTACTGAAAATTCTACATTTTCTTGGGCTTTTCTCTATCCTCATATTAGAAGAACTTCATATATTTTCCAAAGTAATTCTTGCATGCTTTTTCAACTCAAGTTATATTCAACCAGAATTTTCTTGAAACCCCCCTTTTTTGTGCGTGTTCTAGGTGTTTTGTTTCATGCGTTCCTCTAGTAATCTGTAGATAGGTCCATTTATGTCCTCTTGCTCAGTATCTTCCAGATGCCGTTTCAAATCCACATTCCAGCCTGCTGCAAGGACCAGGAGGCTGACCTGCATTCTACCACTCCATTTAGGTTCAGCTATTGGAAGCATTGCTAGGTGTAAAAGAGGAAAGAGTAGGATTGGGGTATTAATTCCCTTAACTCCCTTCCTGCAGAGGTATCATGAAATGGATGCATCCGAAGAATACATTCTCTCTTTCTTCAAGTTCTGGTATCCCTTTACTCACATTTTCAGGCCTGGAGATATTAATCATGAAAAATATTTTTGGCCCTGATTTATTGCACTACAGACTATTTAATATTTCTTACACCCAGTACTCATGTTTGTAAATGGTTTCTTTATTAAACTTCTCTAAATTTCTACTTTGAGAGTGCCACATGTTTCTCACTAGGACCCTGCAGCACTTACCAGGTTATCAGTCAGAATAGTTTTGGTTATACTGTGGTAACAAATAATGCCCAATATCTCAGTAACTTGTCAGAAACCAAAACATTTTTCTTCTCATAAGGGTTCTACTACAAAAACTATGGAAAGCTTCATGTCTATATTCCTCTGATAGTCAAACAATGAAAAAGAAAATGAGCAAATCCCACATGAGGTCTTGAAGTTTCTGCTCAGAAATGATACCCAGATTTCCAGCTTATGGTTTACCAGCCAGGGCAAGGTCCCGGCAATATGTGCACTCAAGGAAGGAGGAAATTTCATGAAAGGAGGATGAGAAATATTGATGAAAACATTATGACATCTGTATTTATAATATAATAACTTTTAAAACTCTCCATATAAAACAGATGAGCTTTTTAAAGAAATGGCCTTTTTCTTCAGCTTCATATCTACATGACTTGGCATTGTACTTAGAAAATAGTAAAAAATTAAATAAATTGTTCTTTGAATGAGTACATATTTTTTGTTCTATATAATGAGAAAAGTAAATGAGAAAATAAATCAAAACATAGTTACTTTTGACTAGAATCAAACAAGTTAAACTATCCTGCCATTATCATAATATAAATGAGCCAAAATAGCTCCACTAAATCTTATGATTCAGAACAGAGAGCATTCTCCAGAGATTGTGATATTCAGTGAGAGAAGCTCTGGATTGGTGTTTAAGAAATATGGATTCTATTGTCAGTTCAAAAATGAACTACCATATGGTTTTAGACAAGTCTTTACATTTGAGTCTTTACACTTTTAAAAAGTGACTATTAAAAACATTAAATACTTTCAGATTTAACATTGAGTTTTAATATGCTATTATAATTTTCACAGAACATAGTAGGTAGTAACCAACTTGGAATCTTTTCATTTTGATGATCCAAATGATGGACTTGTACTGCTTTCAAACTCATGTATCAGATGAGATACAAACATATTAAATGAGTCTACATTACTGTTGGAAATAAGAGCTCAGAGTCACAAAGAAAACAAGCACTCGAACAAAAGATTTCTCAGCAAAGCAAACTTACTTCTGCAGAAGGGTGCTTCTCACTCTTCTGGTCACTGCAAGAGCACACTGAGCAAAGGAGGAAAGGAGTTTTTATCCCTAAAGCAGTTAGTCTCTGATGCTGTGTCCAGTCCCCATTGGCTGGAGTCAGACCACACAATCTAAGCTGACCCCAATTGGCTACTTCAAATGGAGCAGGGGTGGGGGCTACAGTGGTGGGAAGAACAGTTTCAGAGTGAAGGGTGCTAAATGAGGAACATCTGTGAGTCGTTAAGACTGGGAATGGATGTTGATTACAGATTGGGAATGGATGTGAGTTACAGATTGGGAACAGCTGGAAGGTTTACCGTAACTAGGTGCAAGGAGGTAAGGAAGTTAGGCTTTGAAAATAGAAGACAAAGAACAAGGGAGTTGAACAAGCAGAACCTTTGAAGAGGAACTCACTGTATCCAACAATTTCCCCTTCTTGATTTTCAAAATTCTTCCTCTTCAAACTTTTTAGCATGTCTTGACTCTGCCGTTACACTTGGTTTTCTCAAAGTAGGAGCTTATCTGAGTAAGGTGGAAGAATTAAAGGTTTTGACGAGAGCTGTTTCTATAAGTTTCTGCACTAATCCACAAATACAGAGTATAATGCAGTATCCTACAGTAATAAGAACACCTACAGCAATTGCGAGAGGTAAGGCCTCGTAAGGCCTTTCTAATTGTTCCATTGGGGGCTGTGTTATTAGGGATGGAATAAAGACAGACTGGTTGGTAAGCTCTTGGAAGGGCTTAAGCTGACTGCATCCTGTTAGGTCTCCAAGGAATGCTAAGGTTTCCCCCTGTCGTGAGAGACACGAGGTAAAATTGGCATTGTGAGATGGAGGCTGGATGGCCCTTGGGGGCTGACTTGCAGGGTGTCAGATTTCAGGGAATAGCAGAGAAAGAGACCTCAGCAGAATTCATTACCCCAGGCTCTGGGGCCTTAGAAGAGAACTACCATACAGCTCATGCCCAGGTGCCTGGAAGACCATCCAAGTGGTCATTGGGTATGGAAGGGATAAAGGAGGTATAAAAGGGTTAAATTTTTCTTAGCTTTAGTTTGGTAGGACTCTTCCCTGGAACAATGTCCCACGACTGGAGGTGGTGACGCCTTCTTGACTCAGGTATGATGAGTCCATCCTCTTTCTGCTGTTCAGACTGCAGTCTTGATGGTTAGAAGCACTAGGTCGGGTCCTTCCCAAGCATGTTCAAATTTTCCTTCTTTCCAGTTTTTGAGGAGGATGTAATCCCCAGGCTGATACTGGTGTGCTAGGAAATCTAGGGGTGGCACCTATTCTAAAAGACCATTAGTTCTGAGTGGAGAGAAAGAAGAAGATAGATGAAGTATAAACTGATCTTTTGTTTAGGAATGTCAGCAGTGAAGTGTAAATAGGGCAACCCATATAGCATCTCATAAGCGGATAAACTAACATCTTTCTGAGGGGCAGTTCAGATTCTTAACAAGGCAATGGGAAGGTATTTAGTCCATGGCAACCGAGTCTCTAAGACTGATTTGGTTAAGTGGCTGTTCAAACGTTGGTTCATTTTCTCCACTCTGCCTGATGAAGGTGGGTGCCAGGAGTATGGTATTCCCATGTTATGTCTAGCACTTGGGTTAATTTCTTAATGACATGCACAGTGAAATGAGTCCTATTATCTGAATTAACATTTTCTATTACTCCAAACCTGGGTATAATATTTTCAATCAATGCTTTAACCACATTATTAGCAGTTGCACTTGAAAAGGGAATAGCTTCCACCCAGTGAGTAAGGTGATCTACCATCACTAATAAGTATTAATTCCTTGTAGACAAGGTCTTGGCCTTTGCTATTAATGAGACCTCGTTCAGTCCAAATTTTTCCAAAGTTGTGAGCTACCCTGAAGGCATACTTGGAATCAGTATAAATAGTCCCTTCCTGGTTTTTGCAAGTGTTTCAAAGCCTGATTTAATGCAAACAATTTACAAGTTTGGGTGGACCAGTTATTAGCCCATCTTCCTGACTATATTTCTGCGAGAGCTTCCCCATCAACTACTGAATACCCGTTATGTCCTTTTCCTTCAGTTACCTGGGAAGAGCCATCCATAAATAAGTGCTGCCCTGTTTTGAAAGGGGTCTCTCTTAAATTGGGCCTGACTTTTGTATAATAATCAATTAAATCTAAACACTGATTCTCAGGTACTTTTAGATTTGGATTCCCTGTTAGGAAACTTGCTGTGTTAAATGAATTATCAGTGGTTAGTATTAAATCATCTCTTTCTAATAGGATAGTTTCATGCTTTAAAATCCTTGAGTCTGTGAGCCATCTTCCTGCTTTCTGGTTTAAAATATTTCTAACTTGATGGGGCATGCTTACAACCAAATTTCCCCCAAAGGTTAGCTTTCTGCTTTCTTCAGTTAATAAGGCGGTGACTGCAATAGGTTGAACACATTCGGGCCATCCACAGATTACTGGGTCTAAAACCTTTGATAGAAAGGCTACAGGTTGCCAGTGGCCCCCCATGTTCTTGGGAAAGTACCCTTAAGCTACCCACTTGTTTACATTAATGAAAAGGTGAAACAGCTTTTCTAGGAAGGTAAGGCTAAGGGCTAAGACAGGGGCAGTTATGAGCTGCTCTTTTAGTTCTTCAACCTGGTGGATCTCTTCAGAAGTCCACAGGAGAGGGTCATGTTTTTCTTGGGTAAGCTTTAAGTACGGGATTTTGTCTTTGGGGCATATGAGTCAATCCATAAGTGGCAATATCCAGTTAATCCTAAAAAACTCCTGAGTTCCTGCTTCGTTTTAGGCAAAGGCAAGAACACAATTCCTTCAACTCGCTCAGGTCCTATTATTCATTTGCCTTTACTTATTGAGTGCCCTAAGTATTTAACTCCAGGCTCTACAAATTAGAGCTTTCCCTTTGAAACCTGTAGCCCTTTTTCTCTTAAATGGTTAAGGAGGCCCATGGAGAGTAATTTTGGTGGACCTTATCCTTTGGAGCCCCCTGCTGGAAGGTGGATAACATAATTTTTGCTTTTTGTTTTTGCTTCTCTTCATCCCTCCTTATGTATACTTTCTGAGCTTCTCTAAGGAGTTAGTTCACAGGATGATCTTTCCAATTCTTTATTTTTTGTAATTTCCTTGAGATGTCTGCCCAACTATTAGTGACAAAATGAAGCTTTAGCATTCCCTGCTCAAGGGGATCTTCTAAATCTAGGCCCACATATTTTCTCATTTGCTCTTTTAGTCAGTCTAAGAATCCCATAGGCCCTTCATCTTTCCTTTGTTGTATGTTGAATGCTCAGGAAAGATTTTGTGTTTGGGGTACTGATTCCCAAATTCCTTTTATTATCATTTCCCTAAGGTCTTGCCTATTTTCCTGGTGAGCTGCATTGTTATTGTCCCTTCAGTGGTCTTAGGTGGGGAATTTTTGGTCTGTGGAGAGAACGTTTTGACCAGGAGAATGTTCACGTTCCCAAATTACCATAGCAGCCCTATGAATCATGCTCCTTTCTTCCCCTGAGAAGAGGATGTCCAGGATGGACGTTAACTAGGCTCAAGTATGCAACTGGATTGGACAATTAGATCCACCACTCCATAAGGGTCATCTAACAGTGGCTTGAGTTCTTTTTTCAAATTTTGAACTTCCAAGCTCGTTAAGGGGAAATTCGTGAAGCCAATGGCTCCCCGTCCTAGGGGCACCTCTCTTAACGGGAAGAGGGTGGGAGCTGATTCCTTAGAGGTAGAAGGGAAAGGGAAGCTCTGAATATCCTTTTTACATTGCTCTACCTCACATTTAAGTCCTTTTAAGGAAGGGTACTTAGGTGGTAATGAGCAGGCTCATGAGACAATAATTCCCAAGAGTCAGGGTTGTAAGGAGGAGGAATAACATGAGTAAGGGAAGGATCTGGGGTGGGGTCTGGGGCAGCAGCAGCTGCCTCCCTGATGCGGTGGGAGGTTAGGATCAGGGGTATTAAGTGGGCAAAGGCGTTCTAGGGGATCCCATACACCTGTAGTTTTCAGGGGATAAAGGAGTCTTGGGGTATTTCCCACCCTAGAGATTTGACCTGAGGCTCAATCCCTCACCCTAGAGATTTCCTACCTTTCCCTTCTCTAAAGGCTCAACCCCTCTTATTGGAGATTTCTTGCCTTTATCCCGACCACCAAGGAAATACTTTGTTGCCCCCCTGATGTTTCTTACCTTGGTCTGCACAGAGAGTTACCTGGTCGCCGCGGTATGTGAGGATCCTTTCTGCCTGCATTGCTGAGAGTCCAGGTTTATTTGTCACACTGGGTGGGTCCCAATTCCTTACCCTGAGGCCACTGCAACAAGGCAGTGAGATGCATCTTCTCATGAGAGGGGACTGGAAACCTTTCCCTGGAGGAGAATGGGAATCCCAGATGAGCCCCCAAATTGTTGGAAATAAGAGCTCGGAGTCACAAAGTAAACAAGCGCTCGAACAAAAGATTTCGCACCTAGGCAAATTTACTTCTGTAGAAGGGTGCTGCTCACTTTTCTGGTCACTGTGAGAGCACACTGAAGTAAGGAGGGAAGGGGTTTTTATCCCTAATGCAGTTAGTCCTTGCTACTGTGTCTGGTCCCCATTGGCTGGAGTCGGACTGCACAATCTAAGCTGACCTCAAATGGCTACTTCAAATGGAGTAGGGATGGGGCTGCAGTGGCAGGAAGAGCAGTTTTGGAACTAAGGGTGCCAAATAAGGAACAGATGTGAGTTGTTACAGATTGGGAATGGATGTGGGTTACAGACTGGGAATGGATGTGAGTTACAGATTTGGAATGGATGTGGGTTAGAGATTGGGAATGGATGTGGGTTACAGATTGGGAATGGATGTGGGTTACAGATTGGGAATGGATGTGGGTTACAGATTGGGAATGGATGTGGGTTAGAGATTGGGAATGGATGTGGGTTAGAGATTGGGAATGGATGTGGGTTACAGATTGGGAATGGATGTGGGTTACAGATTGGGAACAGCTGGAAGGTTGTTTACCATAACTAGGGGCAAGGAGGCAAGGAAGTTGGGCTTTGAAAATAGAGGACAAAGAGCGAGGGAGTGGAACAAGTGGAACTTTGAAGAGGAACTCACTGTATCCAACATTACAATACATCTTAGTCTATACTGGATAGCAGATGTCAGGTGGTGGTGTTTTATAGGGGAACTCTTTTCTTCCTGTTATGTCTTTTTCATGAATGGGAAAAGTTATAGTTGACTTTGATAATTAGTTTTAAGAATATAAAATTGGCCTGAAAAATTATTTCAAAAGTGGTTTGATAATAGACTTCTTTCTTTATGTGCTATTTTAGAATGTAGCGTACCTGGATGAATGTATGTAAAACACAATATACTCCTGCCTTCTTACCATGTAAGACATTGGCTTATTATGATTGCTATGATATAACTTTATCTTTTCAGAGCAATAGCTGTGTTTGGCTCATGTGTTACGGAATACCACATCTTCATTTAAAGATTCATCATTGCTTCTGATTATAGTCCATTACAATGAAGAAATTCCACTTGACTTAAGAAGCAAGATTTTCCCACTAAGCTACCATGGCTGCAAAGGGTTATATGAGCTTTGGTTTCATATAATCCTGTACTCAATTATCTTGCACTCATCATTCTTAACATTTTCAAGCCTGTAACATTTTTTAAGCATATGATGGATACATTCAAGAGCACTTCAGTTTTATTTGAAGTGTTCCACCTAGGTTTACTAAATGGAAATTATTTTTAGAATAGATGTTTTAGTTAACTGTGATGTTTCTCAGATTTTCAAACTAAACATTTGATTGTAATAAAATAAATTCCTTGCTTTTGGAGTGAATAAATGTATATCTTCACAGAACAGTTTATAACAAGATTGAAATTTAGTGTTGCTTTTCAGGGACTCAATTAGAATTAATACATGGACACCAAAAAGAACCAAAATATTTCTAAAATAATAAATATTGCATTGTTTTAAGAATGAATAATATGAAAATTCAAAACAATCATGTAAAAATATATGCTTTTCTAGGCATTGCAGAAACTAACAAAACCTTGCCCAATTCATGCCACAGCTTCTTCTCATCTTGATGAATTATAAAAAGAATCTGGTTATATTACAAGAGTAACATGAAAGTTCTGCCAACATATTAAGTTTTACACCCTAAAGAAGACAAGAGATCATTGCCAACACTTTTTGTAAGGACATGACATTTATTATGAATGTTTACAGCAGGAAGAGCCTGCGGGCTGCTAGAGAGCGTGTTGTCAGCTGGTACATGTCACTGTTTCTTTACTATGCATTCTCAGCCTGGCAAGGGGAACAATTGCTTCAGAAATCACTTTTCTGTAACATTTCATATGACAGTAACTAGTTAGTGTATAGATCACCATAAATAGCATCTTCAGCTTATTATCTTATGTCTTTTTTTTTATTCCATATTTCAGTATTATTCTCAGTGCCTCCCTTTGGCTGTCCTATGGCTCTGGCCTTAGCACTATTCTCTTCTTGCTTTTTTCACTCTCCTATGATGGCAAACAAATCTCTATTTCTAACTCTAATCTCCTTCCTGAACTTGAAATATATACAAAACTAACTTTATGCATCTGTCCTTGAATATCCCACAGGTATCTCAAAAATATATTTATCTTCATGTCTTTTAAAAAGATCATTTTATTGTAAAATAAAATATAGATATATAAAACCATAAAAGGCAAATATATAGATTACTGAACAATATTATTAGGCAAAAACACTGTACAATGACCACCTAAGTCAAGATAGAACTTTGCTACGTACCCCAAAAATATCTATTTACACTCTTTCAATCTTAGTGGTCTCCTCTCTTCTACAAATAACCACTGTCCTGACTTTTATATTGATTACTTCCATACAATGTTTTTGACGTTATCAACCACATACACATCAATAGGCATTGTATGGGATGGATTTCTATTGTGGTAATTCTCTTCCCTGTGTAGTTAGAAGTTAGCATTAGCCACACGAGACAAATTGCATAAGGTTTAGAAGCAGAAAGTAAAGAAGTAGTTGTATATTTTACAATAGCAGAGTCAATGGGAGAAACAAATCTTTTTGGCAAGATAAAAACCTTTTCACTAGGCTTCCTCATTACTACTTGCTAATTGGTAGAGTGGCTATTTCTAGACATTTTAAGTGGAGAAGCTAGAAAAAAAAATGATAGCTAATAACATACATTAATCATGCTGATATTTATCAATTTTGAAATTTCAGGATGTATACTTAATCTCCTGTGTATTACATCTCTATCTTCTTTTCCCATACTAAAAATTTTAGTTTTTAATAGCAAAAGGGACATCATAATAACGTTTCTTAAGTACTCATTTGTTGTATGCAAATTTACATGGACAACACTCACAATGTAACAATACTGTTGTTGCCACCACTAATTTTACTGATGGAAAGAAAAATAATGTCTTACGTGTGCTATTTCCATCTCTCTTTTGTTTGTGTGCTATATCTACATTGTCAGATCAAATGGCCATTATACAGCATATTGCCATTCTATAAATCCTCATTTAATCTTAGTTGTAAAAGTAAGCATATATGTATTGCTCATCACCATTTCTTATGTCAAAATCTCTGTATTTTGGTTGTCTGGAGTTCATTTTGTAGTAATTTTCTTTATTAATTTATATTTTGATCTTTATAGCAGCACCACAGTATCTTGATCACCATAGGTATGTAATAACATTAAATGAAGCAATTTGAGTCCTCCAACTTTTGTTATTATTTTCAACATTGTTTGGTTTATTCTGGATTCCTTTCATTTCCATATGAATATTAGGAACAACTTGCTTGTTTCTCCAAAAACATTGCAGCTGAGATTTTGATAGGGTATGTGTTGAATCATTAAATTGGTTTAGAAATATTGCCATCTTACCAACATTAAGTTTCCAATTCATGAATGCGAAAAATTTGTCCATTTATTTAGGTCTTTGAAAATTACCTTTAATGCAGTTTTCAGTTTACAAGCCTTGCACTTATCATGTTAAATGTATTCTTGTTTTGAATGCTTTGATATCTTTTGCAAATGGAATTGCTTTCAATCTGGTCTTGCATTGTTAATTTTTAGTGTCTACAAGGCAACTTATTCACAATGTTGCTCCAGAATCCTTCAACTATATTGAACATGTTATTGAGATATAGCTGTATTTGTGTGTATTCTTTTGATTTTTTTCTATAATGTTTTCGGTATTCCCTTATAATTCTTTGCATTTTTATAGGTTAGCAGGAATGCCTTCCCACTTATTTCAGATTTTAGTAGTTGGATCTTTTTTTCTTGTTTCTTGGTCAAATTAGCCAGTTCTCTAGTAATGAAACTTTTGGGTAGCTACAAACTTATTATTTCTCCTCCAGTGACTGATAGATTGCTTGATATGACTGCTAATATAGTGGAGAGGTTGTTGGTTTTCAACGCTTCTTTGGAGCTAGAGAGAGAGTGATGGGATTAGAAAAGGTAAAAATATAATAACATTTACTCTCCTTACCAGATTCAGCAATTATTCTTGAATAAACTTTCTTACATGGTCATAGCTTTTTGTTAATTTCTAAATTTAAAAAATGATTTTTGGCGATTTTGCCAATGTTATTGCTTTTAAATACACTTAAATTTTCAGAGATTAATATTCCAATATTCCACAAGTTGCCATCCTGGTTTTTTTTTGAGGGGGGTCAAATAACCTCTATTTTCAATCTATTAGTATTCGTTTTCTATCATATGTATATATATGTGTGTATGTGCATGTTATTTCTTTTGTAAAATATAGAAAAAGTATTGGTGATAGAATATACAGTGAAAGGAGAGAAATATGTAATCTTGAGGAAATAGTTTAGTTAATAGGTATAGGAAAATTAAAAGCCCAAAGTAAGAAAGAAGATGAGCTCATAGAAGTACCCACAGAAAGAAGATACGCCATCATAGAGACCACAGGAAGACAGTCAATGTGAAAAAGGGTCAATTTTGTAAATGGCTCTGAAAAATCAAGTGAGACGAGTTCTGAAATGTTCATGGACCTGTGAACATGCAAGTCATTGAACATAGTGAAAACTATTCTTATTGAATGGTGGCAGGTGCCATATTGGAGTGGGTTTGTTATTGAGTGTGGCTGTAAAAATTAATGGGTGTATAAACACATCTTTCTAGAAAATCAACTTTAAAGGACTAGCAAAAAACAGGAAAGTGTCTGAGACATTAGGTTCAAATATTTATACTTGTTTATGTTTTAAGGTTTTGAAAAGTAGCGTTAATATTAAGCCCAGATCTACTGAGAATGTATTTTGCCCTGTTTTTCCCTAGATACATATACCCACACACCACCCCCTATTGATTAAGCTGGGTAGTGAAATGTACATCTTTTATTTTATTTCACATGTTTTTCTGATTACAGAGTGATTGACTTCTACTATAATGTGGATTACGTACCTGAGATGCAAAAAATTAGAGATGCTTTTGGAATTTCTAACCAAAAATAAAATTAGGCTTTCATGTGACTTGAACTCCGTAAAATACCCATACATAGTGCTTAATACTATATTTGATACAATTTCCTATAGTTAATTGATCTACTTGTCAATAAGCCCGTGCCTAGGCACACCTACATGCCTTTAAACAATGATTTTCATGGTGGGAAAGTTAGGAGGAGCTTATTAGGGGCAGAGAGTTAAAAAGTTATTGTTTTGAATTAATATACCTACAAAACTAAAATGTCTGAATTCCTTGCAGGAGATCATTTAACATTTTATATAATCTTTCTTTCTGACTCTCCAGAAATATTATGTAAATCTTTTATGTTAAGAATAGTTGGCCTCTTCTAGTATCTAGCTGCATGACTGTCCTTGAGTTACTTTATACATTTATATCTCAACATACTTAACATTAATATGGAAATTATAATTTTCTATTGTGTTCTTTCATAGATCAAATATTATATAAATGTTAGGCATTTTTATCACTACCAATATAATAGAGCCCTATTACCACCACTATAATAAACCTCTAACATCAAAAGGATATTTACAATGTTGCGCCAACTTATTTATGACTTGCTATGAAATTATTTTGGTTTTCATAATAAATATGGATACAACCTTACCCAGCCACGCCATCAAGAACTCTTGTTTATGTTTACAAATATTAACTAGCCATAATGCATAATACTTGAAATCTGAATTTCTAGAGTCTGATTCAGGTTATAGTTGAAACTCTCGGACGTAAGTCCTAATATTGCAACTGATCAAGCTACCTACCTTCTCTTTGCCATAATTTAATAATCTATAATATGGGAATAATTACATCATATATCCTATAGGGTATGATGAGAATTAGACAGTTGAGTATATATGAAAAAGAATTTACAATATATCAACAATAAATGTAGCAATGATCACTTAAAAACACTTTGAACAGAGGAGTAAATCCTTGGCACGAGAAAGTAGTCAATAGTTTCTCAATACGATAGTAATTTTTCCCTATTGGGAGTCTTAGACAAGAAGGTATTATTTCAATATAATGATATTTCTCCCTTGAGTCTTAAACAAGAATATAGACTTTGGTCAAAAACTGTGATCATTTGAAATAAACCTTATAAACTTGACCCACATTGGTAAATGCTTGGAAACGTAACCCATAAGCCATGATAATCGAATATGCTCAAAATTTGGAATTATCAAACCATTCTTATAGAATTGTTTCATTCATGGTAATTATTAAATTAACTATTGAAAAGTAAAAGTATAATTTTTCTCTTTTTATTTTGTAGGCTAAAATTTTAACTGCTTTACTAAGATATAATTTATATACCATACAGTTCATGCATTTAAAATGTACAATTCAATTGTTTTTACTATATTCAGGGAGTTATGCAACCAGCACCACAATCAATTTAGAACCTTTATCACTCAAAAAATGAAACCCTGTATTTTGTACCAGTCACTCTTATTTCTCCCCAACTCTCCCTTCAGCCTTAAATGAACAGTAATCTACTTTCTCTCTCTATAGTTGTACAGTAATTTTATTTTAAATAGCAGTGAGCTACATTTAAAAAAAAATCTTCAAGTAGTAAAAAGCTAGATATTGCAAGAACCTGAAAAGAGTAAAATTTAACTAAAATCTACCTCTTGCCTATTTTGAAAAATTATATATATTCTCTTAATAAAGAAACATATCAAGTGTAAAGATAGGGTTTGGATTCTGGGTATATCTGAATAAATCTGGAGCAGGTTACTTCATGACTGCATTTAACAAATAAATCAATTTTGGCATTGGATTTGATTTAGTATTAAAATTCAAATGTGGATGGCTCATCTTTCAATGAAAAATATTGAGAGCAGTTGTATTTAGATAATGAAATGCAAGCAGCAATATAAGTGGAATCAAATCAAAATCTATCTTAAAAAATTTTTCTGAGGGACCACTAATTGCCCTGAGTTTGGTAGTCTGTCTTACTTTACTTTCAGTCTTTTTGGAGACTATATGTGACAAGACAGATTTGGTTAATTATATATCATTTCATCCTGTACAATAATTTATTTTTTATTTTGATAGACGTTTATCTCTCTGAAGAATCAGTAATCTCCAATAGTTTATGTGTATATATTTTACTATTACTTGAATGACTCATTATTGCTTTACTTTTTAAAGATTTTAGATGCAGTCGCACACAACTCCATTAACATATATTTTATGTACTTAAATTATGTAATAGTGCATAAATAATTTTTAGCTAATCACCCATGCAAGCATATGCCATATTAGATTGTCGCACATATAAGATTAGTAGTGCCCTACTCCTAAAATGATTAATCAGAGTCATCTTACCTCTAAAAAGAGAAGTGCTGTAAGTATGTGAAAATATATATAGCTTGTAGGTTAATACTGTCCTGATGTCTAAAAGGGACTTATAATTGGTTAAAAAATTATTTATGTTAATCTTTTTTTTTTTTTTTTTTTTTTTTTTTTGAGACGGAGTCTTGCCCTGTCGCCCAGGCTGGAGTGCAGTGGCGCGATCCTGGCTCACTGCAAGCTCCGTCTCCCGGGTTCACGCCATTCTCCTGCCTCAACCTCTCGAGTAGCTGGGATTACAGGTGCCCACCGCCACGCCCGGCTATTTTTTTGTATTTTTAGTAGAGACGGAGTTTCAACGTGTTAGCCAGGATGGTCTTGATCTCCTGACCTCGTGATCCGCCTGCCTCGGCCTGGCAAAGTGCTAGGATTACAGGCGTGAGCCACTGCGCCCGGCCTATGTTAATCTTAAAGACACTAAACATTAAGTGGTAAATGAAATAAATCTATTAAGTGCAAAACAATGTATCATTCTTCCACATTGAAACTAATATAGCTTAGCTATGTTATTCCTTGCAAGAACGTGGCACTTCAATTTTAGAAGAAAAATACAAAAGATAACACATAAAAGAATTGGAATGTAATGATTTATAATGCATGATAATATCTGCCTAAAGATTAATTTTTTCCTAGTAAAATTCCCTGGAAGAAGACACTGAAAAGAATGATAGCTGAACAACACTATTAAGACATAAATGGAAAGTGATAGGTGACAATAAACTGATTATTGATTCTGCTCTTGTATATTTCTATGGTCTTGGACAATTCCTTAATTCTTATAAATTCTTCATTTTTTTCACCTGTAATGTAAGATGTCTACAGAACTTGATTTCTTATAACTTACATCGACATATCGATCTAAATAGTTTATAAATAACATTCACAGGCAGTCTTTTAATCATTACTACAATTCACTGAAGTAGGCAGTACCTATTATTATTGCTTTGTAGACATAAAATTTGAGCCCAGATGGCAAAACCACTGTGCATGGCGACAATACTAATCAAATAACTACATCTTTATAATTTGTGTGGCTCATTTAATCACCCTGTAAACTCTTTTTCATTAATATAGAATAATGTGTTTTCCATTACTGTTTTGCTACCCATATTTTGATTTTGTTTTCACTTATTCAAAGAGACAATGTTGAAATTTGTAAGAACTTCTACCATTACATGCAGAAAACACATGTCAAATATTAATGGCATGCTAGAAAGAACATGGAGGTTAAAATCAGAAGTTCAAAATCATGTCATTTCTTTTGCACAAATCAGTTTTATACCTTTGGCCTTCACTTCCTCATTCTGTAAATGAGAAAGTTGGGGCTCATTTACCTCCAAGATCCTTTCTGTCTTTATAATCTGTAATGAAAAAAAAAGCTAGGCCGTTGTAAAAAAGAGTAAGGATATTTTTTAAATACTTGGTTTCTTAATTATAGTCTTCTCTGTAGATATATGTTGATCTACCTGTCTAGCATTAATTCCCTGGGCTTTCACCATTTTTTGTGCCTTTTAAATATTGACTAAATAAATAATTTATTTAAATATTTTATAATAAAAAGAGAAAGGGAAAATAAAAGAAAGATGAATCACATTTTAAGTAAAATAGATATTAATAAAGTAGAATATATCCTTTAATAAAAAATCATCTTTTTCATCAATCATATTATTAGACATACAACACAAAAGAAGAGCTATTAGATATCCTACTAATTAATTCAATAACTGGTATTAATTTATTATTTTTCACATTCATTCTTTCTTTTTTAACATAATTAACATTGTTATGGGTATAAAAGTATTATGCTCATTTCTTTATTCTTTTCTCGCTGTTAATAAGGTAATTATGTTTTTGTTTTTGTTTTTTTATTTGAAATGGAGTCTTGCTCTGTCTCCAGGCTGGAGTGCAGTGGTGCAATCTTGGCTCACTGTAACCTCTGCCTCCCAGATTCAAGCAATTCCCCTGCCTCAGCCTCCCTAGTAGCTGGGACTACAGGCGTGCACCACCGTGGCCAGCTAATTTTTTCGTATATTTAGTAGAGATGGGGTTTCACCATGTTGGCCAGGATGGTCTCAATTTCCTGACCTCCTGATCTGCCTGCCTCGGCCTCCCAAAGTGCTGGGATTACAGGTGTGAGCCACCACGCCCAGCCAGCAATTACGTATTTTAATCCTCAAGAGTTTATCAGAAAGCTATGCCTTTTCTTATGTAAGTTAAATGGACGATATTTTTTCTGCTTGACTTTATTTTAAGCTGCCCTTTCCAAGCTTAAATATATGCTTTCTTATTATTATTATTTTATATAATTAAATGTTTTCTGAATTTCTGTTTAGGACTTTGAATATTTTGTTCAGTCTACCTCCTTAAATGTTACTCAGAAGTGCACTGTGAAAAACAGTGGCAGAAGGCTTTTCTGCAAGATGAGAAAACTAAAATGTTATTAACAATATACCTCATTAATGTCAATTAATAATAAAATTTATTCTTGACACTTAAAAGCATACCTTTTCTTCATTGAACTAAAGTTTCTTTGAAAAGAAGGGTATTTGGTAAAGTTTATAAAAATATGGATACTGTGTTACTTTCACCAAAACAAAAACTAAGATTTTTATTTTACATAATGATAGGAATCAGTCATGAACTCCTACAGACTTTAATAAGAGAGAATCACCTAAACTGAAGTGATGTACTATCCATTTAGATGCTACATAATTATACAACTCAACATTGAGTTAGAAACTTCCTGATTCTTCAGTGCAAGGTCCTGCCAGGAGAGCAGCATGTGATCATTTGAAGTTCAAGAGGACTTTATCAGCAGGATAAAGGGCAGCATTCATCCTAATTTACTGGATTGTTCTCCTTTTATCCTCCCCAGTGAGAAGCAGTGGTTAAGAATTTAAATTCTTTAATTACACAGACTGGGTTTGAATCTAGTCTCTACTATATACGAAGTGTATATTCCAAGTCAAGCTAATTTTATAACTTAGTCTGCCCTTCCTCAACTGTAAGCAGGGAAAATATCTCATTAGTTTGTTGTGAGAGATAGCTGACAAACATGCATGTACATGGTATTGCACAATGCCTGGACAAAATAAATGCTAAAATATTATCTCTGATTAATATCCTCCAGCGGCATGTGATTTGTACTGGGTAACTTCAACTACATGTCCACATATATTCCCTTTATCCAAAGAATCATGGTCTATTATTTGAAGATGATACTCTTTCCCCAAGATTCTAAGAGCTTTAAGAAAAATAAGAACCTAACAGCTGAATAACAGGATGAAAATACAGGTGAGTTTTAAGACTATCTCCTAAATTAGACTACTGCAGGAATCCCCAGATGATTAGCCATTCTGTGGAGAATATGCTTAGCTACCAGGAGGCACCTGCTTTGGCAGGAAGTCCATTTTATTTTAGACAGTTCTAACTGTTAGCAAGCTCTCATTTAAGTAGAATCTTTGGAGAAACAAATGGCAGTTGCTCAAATCATCAGGGAAGTGGCTACACCTTCTCCTCCTCCGTGTTATGTATGTCTGTCTCAATTCTTTCATTCCTCAGTTACTTTTTTTTTCTTGAAACGATGTATTTTCAAGAAACAAGATTACATTTTTAAATATAATTGAGTTAGCTAACAATACTCTTAAATAATTACACATGGGATAAAACACATCGTTCTGGAAGGATTTCAGATCCTTGACTCCCAATATGTGATCCATGATGGATTATTGGTACCAGCTAGAAACTCCAGTCTTAGCTCAGACTGACTGATTCAGGAGCGCTGCTCTACAATATCTGTTTAATTAGTTACCCTCCTTAACAAGCATGTCCTAACAATGACAGTGCTTAATGTTGCAGTTATTCTTTAGAAATAATGTCAAACTATTTCCTAACATGGACAGTGATTTTATTTAAAAATCTCTAATCTTTTTCACATGAATTATGGCTTAGTCAAGTTACTTAAACATCAGGGCTGTAACTATTATTCCAAAGACTCCTTTATGTTATTTTTCTTCTAGAAGTTATTGGCTACCTCTTATGAAATGTTGTTATAACAATGTCATTCATTTTGTTAATCACAATATGTCTAATCTTCTATGGACAAAAAATTAAATAGAAAACGTGACAAATTATAAAGAGAATTAGCCCTCCATAAAGCCTAAAGTATTCTCTGACCACAGCTAATAAGTTTTATACATGAATGGTATAACATCATTTTGGCCAAATAAATGTATTTTTTTCCATTATTGTCTACACATGGCTTCAGCCTAAAATGGAGAAATTGTCGAATAAATGTATTTAGGAAAATGAGGTTTTATTGAAATACCAATTATTGCCATTTTATCTTAAATGACTTGAAGAAAATGCCACTTTGTTTCTCATATCTATACCTAATATAAACTGCCATTCTATTTATGATTATCTCTAAATATATTTGAGAAAACTCAGTTCTGATTTTATTCTGATTTTATTACAAATTAGAAACAAGAAACATAAGCCCTAGTAGAACAATTGAAATGAAAAAATTGTTAGTCTCAATATCAGTGCTAAATTTATTGTCATGAGCATAATTTCACCTAGAACACAAAACTGAACTCCCTTTCAAATATAAATTCCCATTATGCCATATATATTTTGTACTGCATAATTGAATACTTATGAAAAACCAGAATGCTTATATTAAATCAAATTAAATTACATTAGAAACTAATCGAGTTTTGTTAAGAAGCCTTTCAGAATGCCTTTTAAATTATTGGACTATTTTATTAATAAGTAAAAATGACTAAAATGACAGTGAGAAGTATTTTAAAAAATATACTGCCTTGCTAAGATCAAACATGAGTACCCAATTGAATTCCTTTTTACAGTTTAATAGCAACCTTGAATATTTCTAAATAATAAGACCTGTGTTGAAAACACAAATACCTCTCTAGGACATAGCTGAGACAAAAACCACTATATTAATTATTAGATAATTACATCTGCTTTCTAACTCAGTGATGTTTTATTTTAAGATTGTTACTATAAAAGTCAGTCCAGAAAGTATTTAGAAAGTAAACTTAATGCAAGGTTGGCTGTACTTTGCTTTTGATATTGAAAATCAATGGAAATAGTAAGATGTTTGTCAGGAAGCAAAATAAATATATAATGTATATATAGATCTACCTATTTGTCTGACACTACCTAACACCATTTTGTGTCAAGCTTAACAATAATGAGCTGAAACAATTAAAGATGTACAGAAGCACCATAATGAAAGAGCCAGATAAACTATAGGGAACATCTCAACTTAATATTATATAGGTATATTGTACCTGGGAATGAATTTTTAGCTGAAAATATATAAACATCTGAAACAGTTGCAACTAATAATGACCAAAATATTCTGAAACAAGTTTATTAGGGTAATCCATATCATCCTATATATTTAAATCCTATATATATCCTATATATTTAAAAAGGCAAATAAATGTAAGATATTTGGCATATTGCTATTAAGAAAATTAAATACTGTTGATATTATAGAGATCAACATTTTTAATTTAATTTAACTTAATGATATTTTTAATGTATTTATGGAGATTATTATACAGAGAGAATTAATAAGTTTTCCACAGGTTTCATTTTTGTTATTTTATTTTATTTTTATTTTTTTGAGACAGCGTCTTACTCTTTCACCCAGGCTGGAGTAAACCGGTGTGATCTTGGATCACTGCAACCTCTGCTTCTCATGCTCAAGCGATTCTTCAGCCTCAGCCTCCTGTGTAGGTGGGACTACAGGCACAAGCCACCAACATCAGGTTAATTTTTTTTTCTTTTTTTGGAATGATGGGGTTTTGCCATGTTGTCCAGGCTGATCTCAAACTCCTGAGCTCAAAGCAACCCACTCACCTCAGCCTCCCAAAGTGCTGGGATTACAGGAATCAGCCACTGCACCAGGCCCAGATTTAATTGATATATATTCATTGGGTTAATAATTTGTGAAATAGAAATGTTACAGATCTAAAAATTAGTAATTAAGGCTACAAACTGCTGAATTACATAGTGTTTCTTATACCTTCCTGTGCGTGTGCTTTTTCTTTAAGCTTGGATTTCTGACCCTATTCTTCTCTTACTATTCACTTCCTCTCATTCCAGGCATATACAAATGCCCATCTACAATATGAAACCATCTCCTCTCTGAAGTCTTTGTTCATCATCAGTTCCTTGAATTCCTGAAAGCTACTTACAGGGCAGCATAATATGCCAATGAACTGTTTTTCATTAAAGTAAATTAATTTATCTGGTCCTAGTAAGTAAAGAGCAATTCAAAAAAATTAAGTACATAGCATGGATTAAAAAAATTCATAAAACAACAACAAAACAAAAGATATTAAATGAAGCATATGTTCATAAAAGGAAAGTATTTGGGTTGAACTTCTAGGGCTCTGATCACTTGAGAAAGTAAATGACTCCAAGTAAAGTAGGGAAATATGAGAAAGAGATACAACAAAAGAAAACAGGATTTTCTCTTATTTTTGATATGACAAGAAATATACTTTGTTTAAAAATTGTTTCTGTTCAATTTATAAAAACAAACAAAACAAAAACTAAAAAACAGCAAAACAAACCAATAATAACTAGAATAAAAAGTACTCATCCCCTAAATCGAAAAAGCTTATACACAATCCGAGGTTTGTTTCTTTATTTCTCAGACCATTGCCTAGGAGGTCGGAAGCTAGGGATTTCAGAACTTTCCCATTGAATCCTCTACATCTATCAGGACGCAATGGTAGAGACACCATGGAGGATGGTGTGAAATGTTTGAAAGGTCAGATGTGAGGCAGTGCGCCATAATGTACATTATTCCCACTCTTATTTTATTGGCTAGAACTCTAATACCATTGACCTCACATAAGTCCAAGGGGACTGGGAATGAAGTTAAGTAATGCATACATAATGAACATGAGAAACAAAAATATTGATGTTTACTTGCATCCTGTGCTTACAACAGATTGGCCATGCAAGTGGCCCTATTTCCAAGAGCCCCTTATTAATTTGTAGAATACCATTCAAAGTACAAAACCAGGGAGAAAAAGAAGTACAAACTACTACCGTGCTGCATAACAGATGACATAATTATGATCTCTGTCAAGCACATGGTGAAGCTGTGAAAATCAATGTACACTGCTATATAATTCTAAACAACATTGTAAATTTGAGAACCTATGTTTATATTTGGGAGAGTGAATGTGGGTGTGTTTGTGTGTGCATGCATGTGTGTCTTTTAATTAATAATTTTCTATAATTTGATGATTTGAATTGATGAAAAGTTTCATCTTTACCTCTCACAAACAAACAGAATGCAAATAAATGTGCAATTTGAGCTAAAATCCACACTTGTGTTCCGCAGAAGCCTTGCAATTATAAAATATACTGCTGGAAATTTAAGTGTCTTATTGTTTGACTGGATGAAAGAAGCTTGAGGAAAGAATAAGTCTGATACTCAAACTAAAACCTATGGGGGAGCATCGGGTAGATTTCATTAAAGGGGAGAACAAGTGGCATCTTGGGGTTTTTAATATGGGAGGTGGCTTCATAGTTGAGGAGTAAGCAGAAGTACAGAGAAGTATGTTTAGATGTTAGGGCATATCTTTCAGGCCTCATACAGGTTATTTTTCCCCTTATATTAAAAAATAGTTACATTAAGAGTATTATTTTAATTTCTCTTCTGCCCATGAGCATTATGTTGAATATAACTTACCTTCAACTTATCTGTAAAATTGGGTAACCCCATAAGAACTTGAGTATGATTGTGTGGGAAAAATACATATGACCACAAATGGAGGTGTTTTTTGGGGCATTTCATGTGGAAGTGGTAGAGTGCTGTGCAGGGATTCCAAGCTGTGGCTCCTGGCAAAATGAACTTTGGCCCACAGTATTAGGATTGCTGGGCAAGGCCCACAATGCTGTCAGTAGGATGGCAGGGAAGTTAAACTTGCATTTTCACAAAGAACAGTAAATGAGGACCTCTGGATTAAGGAAAGAAACACTAGCTGAGAATCAAGTTACTTGGGAAGAGTTCTATAGTCCCTTCAGATGAAAAGAGCAAGTTCAGGCTAGATTTATAGTAGAAAGGGACAGAAATGAAACATATTATTAAAAACATCATGTCCCTAAATGTAGTATGAGTAAGCAGAGAGTTAAAAACTTATTTCTATATTCAATGGGCAATGTTTTCCCTTATTGAGATTGAACATTATGGATAAAGAACACATTGCATATGTGTTTTGACAGGCAGAATTTTTATGTTTCAGCAAATATTCATTGAGTTTTTCATTCTTTATTTTCCCCCTCAATCCTATTGCTAAGAAACAGAAATCTGGAAATTGTGCTGATTGCTTTGTAAATCTGTTTATTACCGCCATTTGTAAATTAATTCAAAATTTTTATTTTTCTCCATGTGTACCAACAACTTTGAATGCCCTAGCAATGGTATGTAATGGTAATTAAGAAAATACTATTGTATTCTGTTTTGAACAAAGTTTTACATACAAAAGACTATTTTTAAAGAAATGCTGTCAAGATACTGTTTTTCTTTTAAAATGAAGTGGTGTAATGTTCTTTTTACATAATAAGTCCCTTAATAAGTCAGCTGAAAATATGACTCAGCTGACAAAAGATGATACATCCCTAACTTTTTGGAAAATATCAATGTAAGTAAACAACAAGAGGCCAGGAATATGAGCAAACTCACTAAGAAATCTATAAAATGCAATTTTAATATCTAGATAAATTTTCATTTTAAAATTATAATCACACTAATTTTTAAGCCTAATGTTTCTGTTAAACTTTGGTTACTGGCATGTATCCTTTGAGTATTATTTTAAGCCTCTAAAATATTAATTTATATCTGGGGAGATCTCAATCATTAGGGAAAAGAACACTTTAATGACTATCGTTTGAAAGATAGTGCCTAATAGTGCATGCAGTATTAGCAATTCACAGGAGACCTTAAATTTGAAAACAAAAAAAAGTGCATTAAAGAAAAGTGAGTTGAAGGAAACAGAGCATGTTGAGTAGTAAGTGTACTTGGGAGAGATGAGCTGTCAACCTCAAATGAAAAACAACAATCATAATTAAAGCAAAATAAGAATTAGTTGCGTTTGCAATGTTTATGGCATGTTCTTAAGGCTGTACTTTGAAAACATGAGTACAAAGGATTCAGTCTTCTGCCTGTAGATCTATAACCTACTTTATTTTTTGACTTATTAATTTTTTAATTTTTGTTTTCAGTTAAAGCTTTGCCTAAACCTACTGAGTTTCAAGACCATGATTATTTATTTTGATCTTCTTTGGAAAAGGCCACTAAATATCATCAAATACCTTGGGAAGACAGTATGTATGCGTTTTTGTGTATTTCAAGTAGAATCACCTAACTCTTAAAATATCTCTAATGAAGTGTTTTTCTTCAATTCTGGTGGTAATCCATGCTAATGTAACCACATGAGGAGTCTGGTCTTTCTTAAGACCAAAAACGATAAAAAGCACTTTTTAACCTGTTAAATGCCAAGATAAGCATTAGAGTCAAAGATCTGGAGCTACATGGAGTTTACTGAAAAATTATAATCTATAGGATCTACAAGAAGTTTTACATAAACAACTATTTTATGGTGTGCAATGGAGGCAAAGGACATATTGACCAAAGAGGTTAAAGTAAGAATCCTGTAAACCATGATGAGTGTCTAATTTTTCTGAATTCAGTTACAAGGATAAACTAGAGACTATGTATTGTTTTATGCCTCTGAATAAGGAGTTAGGTAAACAAAACACATTGCAATTACTCACAGTTATAATAATTGTTCTATGCATAGCAAGATGCTTTGTTTGAATTCATATGATTAATTCTCTCAGAGAAAGGCCAATACATTTTTAAGTCTTTTGTTTTTAGAGCCCACAGCTGCCTAAGAATAGGCACATCCATTTTCTCAACCATGTAAAGTGTGCTTATGACCTCTACTTCCTTCCTCCCTTCTGCGATGCTATTAGCAGGTTCTGTGCAACAGCCAAAGACCCATTAAAAGGCAGAAATGTGATTTTGATCTTTTCAGTTTCTCACTAAATTACAGAATCAGTTCTCTGGTTGGCAGCTGCTGACAATTTTATAACAGTTTATTTTTCAGCACCTCTCTGAAAAGCACCAATTTATAGTTTAAGGTGCTCATTTATATCAAGACAGAATCCTCATTGGGTAGATGGGTCATTCTTGCAAACATTTGGTTTGCAAGTGACCTTCATGCTTCCAATTTTGTCTTCAGAACAAGAGAAAAAAAATACGTTTTAATTTTTATTTTGAATAGAGTCAGATACAGTTTTAAAGCTTACAACTTCCTACCTTCAGGGAAGGAGAATAATCTCTTAGAAAGTAATTTACGTGTGCTCCTAAAAATGAAAGCTGTGAAGTTGAATATGTGCTTAAGTATATTATAGTTAACACAAATTCTCTCAATATGCATCTGGCCTGGAGTTTTATGTTTGAGAAGTAGTAAAACCTTTTAGCATTTTCCCTCTCCTAAGATGCACTTTCTCATTTGATTTTCCTTCTTGTTAAAAGTGCATATTCGACTTACAACAAAAATGTTTCTTATCTTCATTTCTGAGATTGAAATATTAAAATGTCTATAAAAACTCTCTAATATAATTGTAACTGTAACACAAAATCCATTGTTCTTATATTTTTTCTTAACTACAGATTAATGCAAATAAAAAATCAGAAAAAAATTATGTATTAAGATACAACATTCTTAATTAAAATTCTGCTTGATGTTATATTACTGAGTAAGTGCAAACAGAATGTCCTGTTTATATAGGTAAATAGGAGTATGTAACTATCTTGAAGTTCAACCAATATTTATTGCATATTAGTTATAATCACAAAACGTCCAAAGCCAGATCTTTTAAAGGGATATTATTTGGTTCCAGTGGAGCCTCTAATTACATGGGTATTACTTTAAAATGTTAAGAAAAGATAATTTCATTAAATTGTGGTTAAATGTTATGCTGAACATATATCCAAGATGCTTCCTTTCAAGATGAAAAGATAATAATTATTCTAGCCATTATTGTTCAGCAAAGATTTTCTGCTGAAAACAACAGTTGACCAGTGACATACAAGGCTGAGGGGAATTAACCAGCTGAAGACAGGGAGAAGAGTTTTTCAGTCAAAGAAGCATCGTGAATAAATCATCAGCCTATGATAGAAGGGTATATGCTGGGAGCTACAGTTTAAAGTGCAGGACACAGAGTGGTAAATGTTGAATTAGAAGTAGTCTGGGTCACATCATCAAGGACCTTTAAGCCTAACTATGGATATTAAACATTTCCCTTTAGCTGTTAGAGAGCAATTGAGAATTTTTAAACAAGAGAGCGAATAGCACAGTCATATTTTATTTAAGAAGGATGAGTCTGCATGCAATTTGGAAGATCATTTTAAGATTGACAAGACTGGATGAAAGAACACCATTTAAGTACAGATTAGAAAGGTCTAGATAATAAATCAATAGGGGGCTGAATAAAGTGGTGATATAAATAGAGATAGAACATTGGAATGTACTTGAGCCATATTCAGAAAGAAAATTCTACAAGACTTGTTAAAATATGAAATGAGTGAGAATGAAAAACAGAGAGGAATTTGGACTAACTATTAAATTTCTAATGTTTATAACTGGATGCATGATAGAAGCCTAGGGTAATTTGGAGGCCGGAAAGGGGAGAACAGAGGAATAATTTTGTGGAAAAGATGTTAAATTCAGATTTGCACAATTCAAATTTGAAGTAACAATGGGACATTTTAGAGAGCTTTCCATGGAGCATTTAAATGCAATTTTGTCAGCTCTAGCTTTAGGTTGGAGTAAATACATTCAACCAAATATTTGAGCTTCAAGAATTGAGAGATGTTCTCATGATAAAAAAAAATAAATAAATCATGTTAGGTTATTTTAAATTGTCTTACTTAATTGTTTCCCCCCAATTTTTTTACTTACTTTTATATTTTTCCTATTTTTTTTGGATAAGATAAAAATCATAAGTCAGTTATTAGCTATACTAAATCCAATTAATAAGGCTTTTATTAAGATTTCAGTTTTCTTAATATTTATTGTTAATTTTGATGATAAGACTGCCTAAATTACTAGACAATCTCTTTGAATTTTTATAGGTATCTCTGTTTTTTCTCATGTTTGAAAAACCTGTTTTAGTAAATCAAATAGTAAATTGAATAGAATTTGCTATAAACCAATTAGATTCTTAAATTCTAAAAAAGCTGTAATATAGTTTTATTATAGCTATATTAAATGTCTATATTGAATATAAATCCTCCAAAAGGATATCATAATATACTATAGTGATAATTTTTAATATTAGATGTCCAAAGTACAACACACAATCATAACAGATTTGTTTTTTAGCCTTACATTCCATCTCTGATGAACTCAGAGAATTCAAAGATGAGTGAGTAATAGGACAGCCAGCCAAGTGTAGTAAAAAGCACACTGTCTCTGGACTTGGATAATAGATTAAAATACAAAATCTTCCATCTACTGGCTTTGTGACTTTGGTTAAGTTATTTAATGCTGCATCTGTTTTTCCTGTTGTCTCATCTGGACACACAGTATGTGCTATGTAAAGATTTCATAAATACCTAAATGTGCTTACAATCTAGTATAGGAAATAGAGCAACTACAAAATGCAAAAAAATAGACTTATAAATCAAAAAGATAAATATATAAACAAAAACAAGGATTCAAAATTGTGTCATGTCTTCTGCCAATGAATGTATTGCTTGTTGATATAAAATGAATATCAAGTTACATGTCAATATAAAATGAATATCAAGACAGAAGACCTAACTTGGCTCTGAACATTCACACCTAAACACTGTAAGATATTGAACCAACTTACTAATATTTTCTCATTTGTAAAGTGGTGATAATATCAGCTCTACTTAGTAATGATATTCTTTTATAATATTTTATTAACGATAAAGCTTATATATTTTGTCTTTCAATTACTTAGTAAAATGGTTGTTATTCAGCTGAATTATAGCTGAAAAAAGAGGAATATATAAGGGATATAAATTACTTTCCCAAGGTCGTACACTTTTAAATGGTTTATGGGCCATTGCTATTGGCCCCCTAAAGATTTGCTTAAAAATCACAGGCATGAAGCAGGTTGATTAATAGGAGGAAAAGTATACAAATGTATTGAGTGCGCATAAATGGGAGCCTTCAGAATGAAGATCCAACTTCCCAATGAGTTACAGAAACTTTACTTGGGGTTACAGAAAGAATGGGGGCTTGAATCCAGGTTATGGGAGGGAAGAGAAGAGGCATTCTATTGAGGGGCAATTAATGATTGCTAGGGAGAATGATTGCATGGGGAGGCAGAAATTAACTTGTAAATAATTTTCTTTCAAATTTAAATAATCCTTGGAGACAGTCATCACACTTATAAAAAGGTCTGCTCAGGTGTAGTCACATCTTGGTCTTCTTTTCCTGAAACAGATAATGGGATAACAAGGAGGGGAAGAGAAAACAATTTTTCTTCTTGGTGGTTCTGGATCTTAACCAGATAGAGGAACTTCACTTTCTTTGGGAGAGGAACTTCAGCTTCTTTTGAAGGAAACTTCAGCTTCTTTGGTGGTAGTTGAGAAGATCAGAAAGACCTTGAGGCTTCCTCAGTTCCTCATGTCAGAAAGCCATGTTTTGAGGTATTGATTTCTGAGCACAAATATTGGCATATTTGAAAGTCACTCATGCCTTCTGAATCCTTATTTAATGGTCTTTCTATTACAACCCAATATATTCTTTTTGCCTGCTGCCCAGAAAAGCCAGTAACTGAGAACAGCAGGAGTTGCAGCACAGAAAGAGTTTAACAATCACAAGGCCAGCTAAGTAGAAGGGCAGGAGATGTTTCTCAAATCCACTTCCCTAAAAATTCAGAAGCTAGAGTTTTGGATAAGGAATGAGCAAAGACAGCTTGTGAGTTTAGAAGCAAGATAGACTCAGCTATGTTAGATTCCTCCCACTGTCATAATTTTTGCAAAGGCAATTTCATTCCCATTACCCTATGCATTAAATGCGTACTGGCCAAGGGAAAAAATTCCCCTTTGCCCTCAAGTTTCACTAAAAATCAATCAGGAAAAGGCAGACTAGTAGGAGAAACAGCATACAAATTTATTAATGTGCATGGCAGTAGAATCACATAGTGATTATTCTCACCTCCTAATGGGGTATGGAAGCTTATATACCATCTTGAGGTTACAGAAATAATTTGGGCTCATGGCAGAGCCAATAACTGGTTGTGGTGGTAAATCAAGCAAGAGTGATAAGACAGTTTATGGGAGGAACAAAGCAGGAGGCCTGGCTAGTAAAGATGGTCTTGTTACGTAGATGAAATGTCACAGGTAGCAGCCCTTAGAAGGAGTAGATAAGAAATGTTTCCTTTAGACCTTTCAAGTGTCAGACTCTCAATTAACCTTTTCTAGCTCTGAACAAGGGTGGGCCTTAAAGGAAGTCTGGCTGTATGGGTGCAGATTCTCTGCAGATGTAAATCTCCTCCACAAAAGACAGCTTTGCCTGGCTATTTCTGTTTGCTAGCTCTCTAAACATTCATCTCAAAATATGTCACAAAGTATATTTTGGGGTAAAATATTTTGGTTTCTTTCAAATGTCTGATCCAAATGAGAGATTTCAAAAGAAATTGTTTATAAACTCTAAAATATTATGATAGGACAGATGTAATACTAGTTATGTCTTTAAGGATGGATAGGATTTTAAGAGAGTAATTAGATAAAAATTATTCTGACATAGAAAATACGAGAAAATATACAATGAGGCATCACATAAAATATTTGAGAAAATCTAATTTAGTTTGGCTGAAGATACCGTGATATGATAATTTACCTTGGGAAGTTATAATACAGTATTTGCCCTGAAAAAAACCTCATTTATGTCCCACCCTTTCCCTTGAAGCCCCAAAAATATATATATGCACAGAATAGCTAATAAAAAAGAGAAGGAGAATAATATTTATTTCCCCTAAAAAATAAGAAAAAGGGCTCAATAAAGAACTCTGGTAGGTTGAGATGGGCTGTGTTGAGATGCCCCTGATTCTCCTCCTAATCCCCAAATTAAGTTAAGCTGTTCAACCCAATGCACAGAATTCACAGAATAGAGCCATTAGAAATCATTCGGAGCTGAGGTGGAGAGAGATGGCAGAATAGAAATATCCACAGTTTCCCCCTCTGCCCCTCACAAGGACATCAAGTTAATAACTATCTACTCAGAAAAAAAAATGCCTTTTTAAGAACCAAAAATCAAGTGAACACTCATAGTATCTGGTTTTAACTTCATATCTCTGAAAGAAGCACTGAAGAATAGAAAACACAGTCCTGAATCACCATCACCATCCCTCCCCAACCCTAGCAGCAATGGCATGGTGCAGAGAGTGTCTCTGGGCACTGGGGTTGGGAGAACACAGCAATTGTGAGGCACTGAACTTAGTGCTGTCCTATTAGAGCAAAAGGAAACTAGGATCACAATGAATTGATGCTCACCCATGAAAGGAACATGTAAGCCAGCCCTAGCCAGAAGGGAATCACTGATCCCAGCAGTCTGAACTTGAGTGCCTACAGACCTTGCCACTGAGGGCTACAGCACTCTATGTCTCCAAGTAAACTTGAGAGGCCTTCTAGGCCATAAAGATTGCAACTCAAAGGCAAGTCCTAGTGCTGAATTAGACCCTGAGAAGGTGAAATGAGGGGGCATGTGACATACTGAGACAACATCTGGGAGAGCCAAGGAAATGCTGGCATGACCCCTCCTCTAACTCCAGGCTGCACAGCTTGAGGCTCCAAAAGAGACCACTTCCTTCTACTTGAGGAGAGGAGAAGGAAGAGTGGAAAGGACTTTGTCTTGCATCTAGGATACCATTTCAGACACAGCAGGATAGGGCACCAGTCAGAGTCATGAGGTCCCATTCTAGGCTCTAGCTTCCAACAACGTTTCAAGACACATCCCTGGGCCAGAAGAGAACACACTGCTTTGAAGGGAAGGATCTGGTCCTGGCAGCATTCATCACCAGCTAACTGAAGAGCTCTTGGGCCTGAATAACCAGCAGCAATACCCAGGTATTACATGGGGGGCCTTGGGTAAGTCTCTGAGACTGGCTGGCTTCAGGTTATGGGCTGTTATGGGCTAAGGGGCAAAACTCCTTCTGCTTGAGAAAAACAGAAGGAAAAGTAAAAGAGAATTTGTCTTGCACCTTAGGTACCAGCATAGCCACAGGGGCATAGTGCACCAAGCGGGCTCTTGGGGTTCTCAATGCCAGTCTTGGCCCTTGGAACTGCTCTGGGCTAGAGGGGAGTCCACTGCTCTGAAAGGTGAGTCATGGGCCTGGCAGCAGTTACCACAAGCTTACTTAAGAAACCTTGGGCCTAAGGGAACATCAGTGGTAGTCTGGCAGTACTCCTCATAGCCTGGGGCTCTGGTAGCTATGGGGTGAGGCTCTTCTGCCTTTGGAAAGGGGAGGGAAGAGTGGGAGGGACTGTGTCTTGTGATTTTAGTGCCAGGTCAGTTGCAATACAGTAGAGGACCAGTTAGACCTCTAAGGTATTTGATTATAGACCCTGACTCTCAGACAGCACTTCTGGACACACATGGGGCCTGGGGGACCTCGCTGCTCTTAAGGTAAAGACATAGGCCTGGATGGCTTTACCAGCTGCTGATTGTAGCACCCCAGGGCCTTGAGTGAACATAGGCAGTAGCTAGGGAATAGTTACAGCAGGCTTTTGGTGAGACCCAACGCTGTGTTGGCTTCATGTCTGACCCAGCACAGTCACAGTAGTGGTGGCCACAGGGGTGCTTGTGTCATTTCATCCCAGCTTTAGGTGACTCAGAACAGATAGAAAGACTCTATGTTTGGGAGAAAGTAAAGGAATGGAACAAGAGTTTCTGCACTGTAATCCAGAGAATTCTCCCAGACCTGGTCCAAGACTGTCAAGGCAGTAGCTCTAGCAGTCTGCAAGAACCATAGTGTTACTAGGTTTGATGTACCTGCTGAAGCAGATACAGCTTAGATCACAACACTCGAATCCTTTCAAATATCTGGAAAGCTCCCAAAGAAGGATGGGGAGATGGTTTGGATCAGTGTCCCCACCCAAATCTCATGTTGAATTGTAATCCCCTGTGTTGGAAGTAGGGCCTAGTGGGAGATGATTGGATCATCGGAGTGGTTTCTAATGGCTTAGCACCATCCCCTAGTGCTGTCTTGTGATTGAGTTCTCATGACCAATATCAGTATCCAAGTACAAGTAGATTTAACCCAGAGAAGGCTACCTCAAGGCATTTAATAATCAAACACCCAAAGGTCAAAGATAAAGAAAGGATCTTAAAAGCAGTAAGAGAAAAGAAACAAGTGACATAAAATGGAGCTTCAGTACATCTGGCAGAAGACTTTTCAGTGGAAACCTTACAGGCCTGGAAAGAGTGGCATAACATATGAAAAGTGCTGAAGGAAAATAACATTTACCCTAAAATAGCATATCCAGCAAAAATATCCTTTGAACATGAAGGAGAAATAAAAACTTTCCCAGAAAAACAAAAGCTGACAGATTTCATCAATGCCAGACCTGTCCTACCAGAAATGCTAAAGAGAGTACTTCGATCAGAAAGAAAAGGAAATTAATGAGCAAGAAATAATCACCTGGAAGTACAAAACTCACTGGTAATAGTAAGTACCCAGAAAAAAACACAGAATATTATAGCACTGTAACTGTGGTGTATAAACTATTCTTGTCGTAAGTAGAAAGTCTAAATGGTAAATCAACCAAAAGTAATAACTACAGTAACTTTTCAAGGTGCAGCCAGTACAATAAGATATAAATAGAAACAACAAAAAGTTAACAAGCAAGGGGACAAAGTTAAGGCATAGAAATTCTATTTGTTTCTTTTGGCTTATTTGTTTATACAAATAGTGTTACATAGTTTTCAGGTTAAAATAATGGATTATAAGATAGTATTTGCAAGCCTCCTGGTAATTTCCAACCAAAAATCATACAATAGATACACAAAAAATAAGCAAGAAACTAAATCATAACACAAGAAAAAGTTACCTTCACTAGAAGAGGACAGGAAGGAAACAAAGAAGAAAGAGAAGACCATAGAACAACCAGAAAACAAGTAACAATACTGCAGGAGTAATTCCTTACTTATTAATAGTAACATTGAATGTAAATAGACTAAACTTTCCAATCAAAAGACATAGACTGGCTGAATGGACTAAAAAATAAGAAAGACGCATTGATCTGTTGCCTACAAAAAACACAGTTTACTTTCAAAGACACACATAGACTGAAAATAAATGGATGAAAAGATATCTTATGCCAATGGTAACCAAAAAAGAGTGGAATTCACTATACTTATGTCAGACAAAATAGGTTCCAAGACAAAAACTACAAGAAAAGACAAAGAAGATTACTATATAATGATAAAGGGGTCAATTCAGCAAGAAGAGATAGCAATTTTAAATATATATGCATCCAGCACTGGTGCACCCATATATATAAAGGAAATATTAAAGCTAGAGAGAGATGGGCCCCAATTCATTAATAGCTGGAAAACTCAGCACCCCACTTTCAGCATTGGACAGATCTTCGAGACAGAAAATCAGCAAAGTACCATCAGGCTTAATCTGCACTATAGACAAAAAGGATCTAATTGATATTTACAGAACACTTCATCCAAAACCTGCAGAATAGTAATTCTGCAGAATAGTAATTCTTTTCCTTAGCACGTGGATCATTCTCAAGGATAGACTATGTGTTATATCACAAAACACGTCTTCTCTTCTGACCATGATGGAATAAAACTGGAAATTAATAGCAAGAGAAGTTTTGAAAATTATACAAATATATGGAAATTGAACAATGTTCTCCTGACTGATTAGTGGGTCAATGAAGAAATTAAGAAGGAAATTGAAAAATTTCTTGAAACAAAGGATAACGGAAATACAACATACCAAATGGAATAAAACAAAGGCAGTACTAAAAGTGAAGCTTATAGTTGTAAGTGGCTACATCAAAAAAGAGGAAAAATCTTAAATGAACAATCTAATGATACATCTTAAAGAACTGGAAAAGCAAAAGCAAATGAAACTTAAAATTAGTGGATGAAAAGAAATAATAAAATCCGGACAGAAATAAATGAAATTGAGATGAAAAAGTAATACAAAAGATCAATTAAAAAGTTGGTTTTGAAAAAAGTTAAACAAATCTGACAAATTGTTAGCCAAACTGACTAACTAAAAAGTGAAAAGGTCCAAATAAATAAAATCAGAAATGAAAAAGGAGACAACTAATACTGCAGAAATTCAATGGTTCACTAGTGGCTACTATAAGGAATGATATGAAAATAAGCAATGATATGAAAAATATGGAAGAAATAGTCAAATTCCTAGATGCATACAACTTACCAATATTTAACGAGGAAGAAATCCAAAACCTGAATAGACCAATAACAAGGAACAAGCTTGAAGGCATGGGCGGGTGCGGTGGCTCACGCCTGTAATCCCAGCACTTTGGGAGGCCAAGGCGGGTGGATCGCGAGGTCAGGAGATCGAGACCATCCTGGCTAACACAGTGAAACCCCGTCTCTACTAAAAATACAAAAAATTAGCCGGACGAGGTGGCGGGCACCTGTAGTACCAGCTTCTCGGGAGGCTGAGGCAGGAGAATGGCGTGAACCCCGGGGGACGGAGCCTGCAGTGAGTCGAGATCGCGCTACTGCACTCCAGCCTGGGCGACAGCGAGGCTCCGTCTCAAAAAAAAAAAAAAAAAGAAAAAAAAACACACAAAAAAAATTGAAGGCATAATGAAAAGAATCCCATTGAATAAAACCTGGAGATGTGATGGCTTCACTGCTGAATTCTACCAAACATTTAGAAACTTAATACCAATTTAGAAAGAGAATACTTCGAAACTCATTCGACAAGACCAGCATTACCCTGATACTAAAATCAGACAAGGATGCATCAAAAAAAGAAACCTACAGGCCAATAATCTAATGAATATTGATGCAAAAATCTTCAACAAAATAACAGCAAACCAAATTCAACAATACATTAGAAAGATCATTCATCATGAGCAATGGGTATTTATCCCTGTGATGCAAGGATGGCTAAAACAGGCAAATCAATCAATGTGATACAACATTATAAAGAAAATAGAAAATAAAAAACTATATGATCATTTCCATTGACATTGAAAAGGCAGTTGATGAAATTCAGCATCGCTTTGTGATAAAATTCCTCAAAAAACTTGGGATAGAAGGAATACACCTTAATATAATAAAAGCCATATGTGACAGTCTCACAGCTAGTATCATACTGAATGGGGAAAAACTGAAAGCCTTTCCTCTAAGATCTTGGATTTCCTCTAAGTTCTGGGATTATTGGTGTGAGCCACTGTGCCTGGCATCTTTGTGTATTTTGATACCAGTCATTATCAGGTATGTGTTAGCAAATATTATGTTGGAAAACTGCTTTCTATTTTATTGCATTATTTTAATAGAAAGTCACACTCTTTAAGTTTAGCACACAATCTCTGTGCTGCTACTTTGGCAGTCTGTGTTTCCAAAGGAAATCTAATTTTTAGAGATTTTGCGTTACTATTCTGGTGTGAATATACTTGCTGTGGTTTTACTCCCTCGTCCTCATATTTCACAGTCTGTCAATGCAAGGGTGGAAGAGTGGGAGGGGTCTCAGGCCTCAAGGAGAGTTTCATGGACCTTGACCCCCTTTATTGGTGTCCCTGGCCACACAATGTCTCCACATTGGAGAACGATGTCTGACATTTCATTGGACAAAGAGGTTTTTCCAGCTCGGTGATTATTGTGGGTCCCTGTAGCTGGTGTTTCTTGCTATGTCATGTCTGTGGGTTGAGGAGGCAGCCTCCGAGTGGATGGGAAAGCAGAGGTTTTCCTCTTCAGGCACCATTCTGACTTACAGTAAATAGTGATTTTGATAAATCTCCTTTGCTGATATTCAGCAGGACTTCTATTTGATCCAGGGGAGGAATGAGCCTACCTGACCTTGGCTGTCTTCTATTGCTAAATTAGATGTTGGGAAATGCCAGGCCTGGCATGCCTTCTGTTGAATGGGAGATCATGAGATGCTCTTCCACTATGTTGTTCCCCAGTCTTCAGGTATCTCCCTAATTAGTTACCTTCCCACTGCCATTGAGTATTCTCTTTCAGTGAAAAGAACACAAGAGAAACTATAGTTGTATTCCCTGGGAGAAGCAGGCAGATGCATCTAGGCTATTTTGTCATGACCAGAAGTGTGCAAACACTTGATATCTTCCTACCACTGAAAAAAATAAATACAACTTTACTTCCTTTTTTATATTTGTAATATAAGCATAGCAATTATAGAAATAGAAAAATAATGTGGATTACTGAGACTCAGATGACTGCACAAAAAAGTAATGGTTTTATTTAAAACAAGAAATTAGGAAATTAACACTGAGGTTTATTTATAACTCCAACTTTTGTATGTCTTGAAGATATTAGAAACATACTTTCTTGTTTCTGTTGGAAACATAAGTCTCAATAATTTTTTATTTTCTAGTGTTTCCTTTGCTAAGTAATGTTTTTACTGCAAGAAGAACATTTGTTCTCATTAAAGTGTATTTTTGACAAAAATTTTAAAATTAGGGCATGGTTGTCACCAGGAGTTACTATTATTTTGTTTTGCAGAGGTTTGTCAAATAATAACTATATAATGGAGTTAAAAACTATAAATTGTTTATTATTAAACTGCAAAAGTATATCAAAGCTTTTAATTATCCAATTAATCATGATTACCCAGAACACAGAATCACACTTTTATTACTGTAGGCACAATACCTATTTTTTCCTTGCAATGACAGACAAGCTTTTAAATACCTGCAATTCTATCATTAGCTCTTCGGTTACTGTGTTTTTGTAAATTCACCAATTCATCTTATTATTTTGACCCTTCTAGTGTTAAAGTGGAAAAAAAGTATTATATTAATATAAAAGCTTAAAATTTTCTAAAAGTTTATAAAACTCAGAAACTTAGACTTTTTTATTTTCCAGAAAAAACATTCCTGGGATTTACCTATATAAAGAATAGGTTAAAAATGCCTATATTTTTTCCACATATAGCCTCATTAAAAATTGAATTATCTGGGAACATATATCTCTACCAATAATTTTAGAATTTTGTATATAATGAAAATATATAACTTAGTAGAAATAGAAGTTGACATTTTATTCCCTTTTCAACCTTCCTGGCTTTGAAACTCTCTTAACTTGACATTCAGATGTGCCACAATGTCCTAGCTACTCTACAATAGACTTATGCTATATTCTTAGTTATTTCATCAGGCTATTGTAAGAATTTTACTCTGTTGATTGAAACTCATAAGGAAGATTCTAAGAATGTTCTTAACAGTGGATATAATGTTAAATTCATCTCTATTTTTGTTACAATGATGAACCTGAGAAATAACTGTGGTTCTCATTTGTTGATGCACTTCACTGTATGTACTTGTATTCTTATATGCTTTATAACTAAGATAAAAGGGACTCTATTTAAAACATGAAACGCAAAAAGAAAGTTAAAAATCTAAGTTAAAGCCCTTATGAGAGAGAGGCAAACTTGTTTATCAGCTCTTGCTGTCCGTAGAAAAGTACACAAATGTATACTAGGAAAGATCTATATGAGGAAAACTACAAAACTGACAAACATTGAAGAAAAACTAAATAAATGAAATAATGTTCCATGTTTATAGACAGGAAGACTCAATATTGTCGAGATGTCAGTTGTTCCCAAATTGATTTATAGATTCGATTTAATCCTGATAAAAATTCCAGCAAGTTATTTTGTGGATATCAACAAAGTGATTTTAAGATTTATATAAAAAGGCAAAAATCCCAGAATAGCCAACACAATATTAAAAGAGAAGAGCAAAGCTGGAGGACCGACACTGCCCACTACACAGGCTATATAAAGCTACAATCATACAAAGAATTTGGTATTGGTGAAACAAATAGATACACAGGTAAATGGAACAGGAGAGAAAGCCCAGAAATAGAACCATCTAAACATAATCAACTGATATTTGACAAAGGACCAAAAGTGAAACAATGGAGAAGAGTCTTTTCCACAAATAATGCTGGGAAAACTGGATGTCCACATATCAGAAAAATGAATCTAGACACAGACTTTGTATCTTTCACAATAATTAACTCAAATAATTAACTCAAATAATTAACACATTTAAATGCAAAACTATAGATTTCTAGAAGATAACATAGGAGAAAGATGACTTTGGATTTGGTGGTGACTTTAGCTACAACACCAAAGGCATGATCTATACAAGAAAGAATTTATAAAGTGGACTTTATTAAAATTAAAATTCTTTGCTCTCTGAAAGATACTGTCAAGATAATAAAAAGATAAGTGCCAAAATAGGAGAAAATATTACAAAAGACATATCAGATAAAGAACTATTATCCAAAACAAAAGAATCTTTAAAACCCAGCATAACAAACAACCCAGTTAAAAAATTGGCCAAGGACTTTAATAGACAAATCATCAAAGAAAGTATACATGGCAAATAAGTATATGAAAAGTTGCTCCATATGATATGTCACAAGAAAAATGCAAATGAGAATGAAATATCCTTACACACCTAGTAGATGATTAAAATCGAAACACTGGCAACACTGCATGTGGTGCAACAGGAATTCTCATTCATTGCTGGTGTGGATGAAAAATGGTACAGCCACTTTGAAAGACAGTTTTGGCAGTATCTATCAAAATTAAACATACTCTTACCATATGATTTGGCAATCATACTCCTTTGTGTTTACCCAAAGGAGTTGAAAACTCGTGTTTACACAAAAGCTGCACAAGGAATCTTATAGCAACTTTATTAATCATTGTCAAAACAACGTTGAAGCAACAAAGATATCCTTCAGTAGGTAAATGAATACACTTGGGAACACCCAGTCAATAGAATATCATTCAATGTTAAAAATAAATGAGCTGTCAAACCACAAAGAGACATCAAGAAAACTTAAATGAATATTAGTAAGTGGGAGAAGTCAATCCGAAAAGGCTACAAACTCTATGATTCCAACTATATCACAAACTGAAAAAGGAAAAACTATAGATACAGTAAAAAAAAAAAATCAGTGGTTGCCAAGGGTTGGGGGGAAGGAGGAATGAATACGCAGAGTAGAGAGAATTTTGGGGGCACTTAAACTACTCTGTAAGATACTAAGGTACAAGATGGATATATCTTATTACACATTTGTCCAAATCCATAGTTTTTACATTAGCAAGAATGAACCACCCTAGTGTAAACTATGGACTTCTGGTGATTATAATATTTCAATGTGTGCTCATAAATTGTAACTAACATATACCACTTTGGTGGGGAAGGTTGACAGTGAGAGAGGCTATGCATGTGTTGAGACAGGAGCTATATGGGAAATTTCTCTCTTCTGCTCAATTTTGCTGTGAACATAAAACTGCTCTAACATTAAAGTCTATTAAAAGAAAAAGACCTACTAGATTCAGTGGCTGAAAGATCAAATTATGTCAATGCAACTGTACAATCTCCAAGAAGGTCAAACTTACAGACCCAACTTTGCCAAATAGTTGAATCCTAGTACATGTATCCGTGCTAACTTCCCCACTATTCTAGTTTCTGATATTAATAACCACATGAGCTATCTTTTCAGGAAACAAGGAGGTATAATAGTGAAAAACAGAAGAGTGACATACATTTTCAAATTAATATTTATTCATGAAGAATATGAGAATGAATTTCTATTCCAATCCAGTGAGTAGCTGATCTTTTGTGCATTCAAGGTTTCTTCCTTTGAGAGTGATGAGTTCAATTACTTGATTTTTTTTAATTCCAATTGCTTTTTTCTAAAAATATGACTCAGCAAAGGTGGTGGGCTAACTGAGATGTGATACATTTAATTCAGTGACTCTGAAGGGAGATGCTACCTAATACAGTTTCTAGAAGGCCCAAGATGGAATTAAAAATTCTGAAACTTCCTGAAATCTCTTTGATCTGCAATTACAGAATCCATGAACTACATAACAGCAGTTTCCCCCTTATCTTCAGGGTCACATTCTCAGACCCCCAGTGAATGCCTTAAACCATGGGTATTACTGAACCTTATATACACTGTACATTTTTTTCCTATACATACCTATAGTATAATTTAAAAAGAAATTAGGCACAGTAAGAGATTAACATAACTAATAAAAAACACAGAACAATTATGAAAATGTACCAGCATCACTGTTCTTGCACTTATTATTAATAATTGCTATTATTAAGTAAAGCAATTGTTACTTGAACACAAGCACTGCAATACTGGATACTGCAACAGTTGAGATGGCTACTAAGTGACTCACAGGCAGGTAGTACATATGGCATGGACACACTGGATAAAGGGATGAGTCATGCCCACACCAGTTGGAGTGAGATGGTGTGAGATTTCATCAGGCTATTCAAAATTGCATGCAATTTAAAACTTATGAATTGTTTATTTCTGAAATTTTCTGTCTAATATTTTCAGACTGCAATTGAACACTGTTAACTGAAATTGTGAAAAGTGAAACCACTCATAAGAAGAAGAAACTTTGAAACTTTGAAAGACAAGTAACAGATTTTCTCTTACTGTTGTCAACACCAGGTCTGTCATTCTGAAATAAATTAAAACATCAAAAACATAAATCCATGAAAGGCATTTGAGATAAAGAAACAGGATTTTTATTCTAGGGTGCTATTCCAAGTCAAAGCATATCTCTGAAAATTATTGATTGCAAGCAAAAGAATATCATTTTAGAAATCTTTTTGGCATTCTTAATACAATAAAGAGTTCACTATATGTTGCAAAATGAGAATATTTTAAAGGGAAAAAGCTGAGATCAAAACAAAAAAACATGAGTTTATCTTATTACTTGCTATATGCTAGGCACTATTTCAAACATTTTTATTTGTCAATTAATTTGATCATCATGGAAAATTTAAGGTCTACATATTATTTTTCCCTTTTATCAATGGGAAAGTTGAGACTCTAAAGGTTCAGAATCTCCCCAAGATGGTACAGCTAAAATTGGCTAAGGCAAACTCAAACACATTTCTTTCTGAGTCCAAAGCCCATTACGTTAAATATTTTATTGAACAGTAAGCTTTCCATTCTTACAAATTTTTATTAAAATGTAGCATTAATTTCTTGAATTCAATAACAAAATTAATGACAAATATACAAACCGTTTCCATTGACATTTTAAAGTTTCTGTTTACAGTGAGGTAATGTATTTAATAAGCCATTAAGATATGGTAGATTTGCCATTCTCTTATGAAAGTTATGAGAATTAATAGTAATAAATACAAATGAAATTACCCATTAAATATTAGACTATGAAATTACCCACAATATACTTCATTAAGCACTAAGAATAAACACTGAGGTAAGGATACTTTACGTAAGATGGAGTCTAGCTCAGTCGCCCAGGCTGGAGTGCAGTGGCACTATCTCAGCTCACTGCAAGCTCCACCTCGCAGATTCATGCCATTCTCTTGCCTCAGCCTCCCAAGTAGCTGGGACTACAGGCACCCGCCACTACGCCCGGTTAATTTTTTTGTATTTTTTTTTAGTAGAGACGGGGTTTCACCGTGTTAGTCAGGATGGTCTCGATCTTCTGACCTCGTGATCCACCCGTCTCGGCCTCCCAAAGTGCTGGGATACAGGTGTGAGCCACCTTGCCCGGCCCTTTATGTAATTTTTACACTGTTATGTTTTCTCTATTAGTCAATAGATTTATGCCTATTGATAGAATGAATCAGTTCCTACCTCATCATCTTCCCTATCTCTCTAGCCTGTCTAGTTTTATCAGGTATCCATTTCCTAACCAAACCCATGACAACAGCTGCTGAGTCCAAGGGTCAGTCCCAGGTACACAGGTCACAAGTTGTGCCTTGGGCAGTCTACTTAGCAGCTGCTCTGCACAGATGGAATGAGCATCATCACCAAAAACATGCTTCTCTGCAGCTAATGTTGTGAAGAAATAGTGCTAGGCAATCCCACAGCTCCTGTGGGATACACTATGTAGAAGTACCACTCTTCAGGGAAGATTAATTTGTCAGTTCAGTCGTATATTTCAATAGTATGTTTCCCTGCACTACCTGAATATTTTATTGCTTTATAGCACAATATAGACATTCAGTACTAACAAAATGACAGAATACATTTGATAGTAAAGCATAATATTCATAAATAACATGTATCTTTTCAATAATAGATGGAAAGCACGTCTCTAGACATCTGAAAACTTTTTGTTTTGGCCAGTATTTACACTAGGTTTTTGTTAGCTCATTGAGAAAACTTCTGTATAAATTAAACAAACAATTACACAGTGTTGAACTATCTCTTTAATGCAGTGCCCTGGGGTATGACTATTTTTTAGATTTATGCTATTATAATCATTTTTATAATAACACAATACAATGAAGTTGTAACTCAGTACCATGCCCTAAAACAATTACCTATTATAGTTCTGTAAGCAGAAAGTATTTTTAAGTAACAATAAGATTATCTTTCATGATTTTTGGTATGTGTAATTCAGATTAGATATCACCAGTTCTTCCAAATACATTGAGATCCACATTTTCTTTCAGCATTGCCCTAGCAGAGAGGTTCTCCATGAGAGCTCCATCCTTGCAGCACACCTCTGCCCGGACATCCAAGCATTTCATACATCCTCTGAAATCTATGCAGAGGTTCCCAAACCTCAGTTCTTGACTTCTTTGCACCCACAAGCTCAACAACATGTGGAATCTGCCAATGCTTGGTGCTTGCACCCCCACAAGCCACAGCCTGAGCTTTACCTTTGACCCTTATAACCACTGGTGGAGTGGCTGGGACATAAGGCACCAAGTTCCTAGGCTGCACACAACAGAGGGTCCTGGGGCCCATCTCAGGAGACCATTGTTTTCTTCTAAGCCTCGGGGCCTGTGATGGGAGGGGCTGCCCTGCCTCGAAGGTCTCTGACATGCCTTGGAGATATTTTCCCCATCGTCTTGGAGATTAACATTCAGCTCCTTGTTACTTATGCAAATTTCTGCAGCCAGCTTGGGTTTTTCTTCTCTATTGCATCGTCAGGCTGCAAATTTTTCAAGCTTTTTTGCTTTGCTTCCTCTTGAACATGTTGCTCCTTAAAAAATTTTTTCTGTCAGATGCCCTAAATCATATCTCTCAAGGTCAAAGTTTCACAAACTCTAGGGCAAGGGCAAAATACCATCAGTCTCTTTGCTAAAACATAGCAAGAGTAACCTTTGCTCTAGTTCCAGCAAGTTCCTCATCTTCATCTGGGACCACATTATCCTAGACTTTATTGTCCATATCACTATTCAGTAAGTCTCTAGGAAGCTCCAAAGTTTTTCATATTTTCTTGCTGAGCCCTGCAAACTGTTCCAGCCTCTACCTGTTACTCAGTTCCCAAGTTGCTTCCACATTTTCGGGTTTCTTTACAGCAATACCCTGCTCTACCACTACCAATTTACCATATTCAGCCATTCTCACTCTGCTAATAAAGACATACCTGAGACTGGGTAATTTATAAAGGAAAGAGATTTAATTGACTCACAGTTCCACATGGCTGGGGAGGCCTCACAATTATGGCAGAAGGGAAAGGAGGAGTAAAGTCACATCTTACATGATGACAGGCAAGAGAGCTTGTGCAAGGGACCTCCCATTTATACTACTCTCAGTACTATGAGAATAGTGTGAGGCAACTGCCTCCATGATTCAATTATCTCCAACTGGCCCTGCTCTTGACACATGGAGATTATTAGAATTCAGTGTAAAATTTGGGTGCGGACACAGCCAAACCATATCATCTTGTTAATATTTTTAATTTTCCTAATCATGTACATGTAGTATACAATGTCTTATGCAAAATAATTGATCTTCAAGTGTGTGACACTATTGGAAAATTAAGTTGATATTCTGAAATGATTTGCATATTCTGAACAATGGAAAGGATCAATTATTAATTTTCAGACTCATAAAATGCCATATATTGTTATTCCATTGCATTTATAAAATCACTTCCAAGGACACTGGAATATTTCAATGGATATAGAAATTCATTAAGTCATAATAACATGGAAAAAATAAAATATTCCTCCACTTTTCATTTTTATGTCAACCACCACAATCCTTTCATTTTATGTGCATAACTTAATAAAGACTATTCAGATTGGCATAATAAACTTTGAGTTTATGTAAAAGAAATAGCATAATAGGAAAATACTGAGTAAGATATCTGACAGAAAGTGTTAACACTTTCAGTGGCCAATGAACCTACTTTTAGCCTCAGGAAAGTTATTGATTGAATTATTTCTGCAACACTAACTCAATGGATTTAAAAAAGTATACTAGCTCTAAGATAAAGCTCTGTACAACCAAAAAAAAAACCAGGTAATTCATTGTTGATCGCTTATTGGAAAAAAGAGTAACTGATTAGTAATTGATAACTAATGACATTAAGCTACATCAGAGGTTGGATGCTATTCACATACCTTTCAAGAAATATGAAACCTCAAAGAACCCCAAAATTTATTATTTTCCTGAGCTGGAGGTGGTCTGCACCCCACAAACTTTGTGTCTTTTGACTTTACCTACCAAATATATTAGGTGGGGGACATCTGATGAGTCACCAGAACTTTTCCATTCAATTGCTGTTCTGACGTTACCTATTATATATTCTTTTTAAAGTTAGATAAACTTATGGGGGCGGGTAAAACCTATTGTGTCTAATGCATTTGATCTTCAATTTCAGCCTAAGATTTTTATTGCTAGCAGAGCAGAGGATGCAGGGCCTCATCATTCAATTTCTCCTCAAAATTATAGTTAGCTAGGATATTTTTATCCAAAAAAATGAGAGATCTGTAGAGAAAGAAAACATACTCTGATTTACAATTTATAAAATCGAAACTAACTAAAAATGAGTAAGATGTTTCAAACAATGATTTTCAACAATCTAGACGTTAAATATGGAAGTGCAGATTGCCCCAAAACTATGAGAAGGAAACAAATTCAGCCCCGGGAATACCCAGCTAACTACCTTACTTCCTTCAGTGACATACTAGTTCACCACATTTGAAGAGATTTCATGTGGCAGTGCAGGAATGGCAATGAAGGCAAAGTCTGCCAACTTCTTGATTGAGAAGACAGAACTGAGAATCTGGAGTCACCAAGGTGTCGTAGTTTGTAGTGCAGAATATTGGAGAGGAGAAAAGGAATTCTAGAGATCTACAGAGTGCCCTCGAATATTCAGGTAATTACTGATCAATGCACGCATGCGAGGCAGGCTTAAGGCAATCTGAAAAGACAGGAGACAATAGTGCCTGACTCTCAAACAGATCTAAGAAAAATGTCTCTTTTCACTAGTAAGAATGGAAAGCCACATGATCCAGGGCACCAAAAAGCCCACCAAGTACAAAAAACATGAGTAAAATCACACTAAGGCACATTATAATCAAAGTTTTTTTAATAGTAATAGAGAGAGTGTTTAAAGGTCATCAGAGATAAAAGATATTATATGTACAGAGGATCAAAGATAAGGATGACAGCAGGTTTCCTATATGAAACAATGCATATGAAAAGATTTTAGAGAAACATCTTCAAAGTATTTGAAATAAAAAATGTTATCAATCTAGAATTTTATATTCAGTGAAAATGTCATTCAGAAAGAAGTCGAAATAAAAACTCTTCTGATATTCAGAAACCAAGAGAATACCTAATCAGCAAACCTACATTATAAGAGATATTGAAGTACTTCAGGAAAATGGAAAATAATAAGAGGAAATGTAAATCTACACAAAGGAACAAAGAACCCAAGTAAAATAGTTAAATAGGTAAATATATAACATTTAAGAAATTATTTTTAACAGATAATCAACTCTTTAAGTAAAAATATGTGGTAGAATTTACAATATAGAAAATAAAATGAATAACAATATCACAAAAGTTTTTCATAAAGGCTTCATCAATTTACATTCCCATCTACAGTCTATCAAGCTTCCCTTTTCTCCACATTATTCTTCAACACTTATTTTGCATTTAAAGAAAATAATGGCCATTTAAACATGTGTGAGGTGTTATCTCAATGTAGTTTTCATTTGCATTTCCCTGATAATTATTGATGTTTGATCATTTTTGTATATTTCTGTTGGTCATTTATGTCTTCTTTAAAGAAATGTCTATTCGGATCTTTGCTCATTTTTTAACTGGGTTAATTGTTTGTAGGTGCATCAACCTCATCTCTGCGTTCATGTTTACATGACGTTTTGCCTGTGTTTGTCTCTGTGACCAAATTTATCTTCTGTATGAGGACACCAGTCGTCTTCTAGATATTTACTCAAGAGAATGAAAGCATTGTCCATATACAAACTACATAGACCTATTTCACTTATTATACTCACTATATTCGTAATTGCACAAAACTGGAAACAACCCACATGTAAATATATACACTCATACACAGACATAAGCACAATGGAGAGTACTGTTTAATTAAAATGAATGAACTACTATTACATGCTACAATGTGAATGAATCTCAGAATAATTATGCTGAATGAAAGAAACCAGACACAAAGGTGTACATACTGTATGACATAAATTACTAAACATTGAAAAGTAATCTATAGTGATAGTAAGCAGATCAGTAGTTACCTGAGAGTTGGGATGATGAACGGAGGATATTTCACAGGATATTAATGTATCAAAAATACATCAAATTATACTCTTTCAATATGTGTAGTTTATCCTATGTCACTTATATTTCAGCAGGACATGAATATAATTAATCATATAATATCATTAAGAAAATTCATAATAAAGCACATTATGACATTAAAAAAGACAAGTTAATCAGATATAATTTATTTTTATTAAAAGAGACTACGAGTTTGAGCCATCAATTACTATCAATTTTTAAATCCTTCTGTAACTGTTAGTAATTTTACTTATTATTATTGTTCTGTTTTTATTTATGTATTTATGATTTATTCAGATTATTTTTCTTAGCTGTAATTTTATTTTTCATGTACAAACATACTTGCTACATTTTAGAATAGCACTTTTTATTTTTTAAGATAAATAATCTAGCTTATTTCTACATTCTTCACTTTTTAAATGTTTAAAAAAAATTTTTTTTCTCAAGGTTAGTCATCCTTGGCTATATTTTTTAATTTGAGTAAAATTTGCATGTAACTATGATATATAACATGATGGTTTGATATATGTATACACTGCGGAGTGGATAAATCAAACTATTTAACATATGCATCACCTCACATACTTTTTTGTGGGGAGAACACTTAAAATCTACTCTCCTAGCACTTTTCAAGTATACACAATGTTGTTATTAACTATAAGCACCATGATGTACAATAAATCCCTTGAACTTACTCCTCCTAATTGAAATGTTGTGTCCTTTGACTATCTCCCCAATCCCGTCAATCCCCAATCTCTTATACACCATTTGACTCTCTGTTTCTGTGAGTTCAACTTCTTTAGATTCCACACGTAAGTGAGATCACATAATATTTGTCTTTCTGTGCCTGGCTTATTTTATTCTACCAATGTCCTCCAAGTCCCTCTATATTGTTATAGATTATGGGATTTCCTTCTTCTTAAATGACATATTGAATATTATTCTATTGTGTGTGTGTATATATATATATATATATACACACAATGTCCATCAATACATAAATGGATAAAGAACATGTTTTTACATATATACATGTATACATATATATAGTATAAACTACACATATCGAAAGAGTATAATTTGATGTATTTTTGATACATTAATATCCGTGAAATATACTCCGTTCATCCTCCCAACTCTCAGGTAACTACTGATCTGCTTACTATCACTATAGATTACTTTTCAATTTTTAGTGATTTATGTCATACAGTATGTACACCTTTGTGTCTGGATTCTTTCATTCAGCATAATTATTCTGAGACTCATTCACATTGTAGCATGTAATAATAGTTCATTCATTTTAATTAAACAGTACTCCCCATTGTGCTTATGTCTGTGTATGAGTGTATGTATATACATGTGGGTTGTTTCCAGTTTTGTGCAATTACGAATATGGTGTATATACACATATATACATATATATGTATATATGTAAAAACATGTTCTTACATGTAAAGCATGTAAAACATATATGTAAAAACATATATATGTATATATTTACATATATATGTTTCATGGTTGCAGGTCTTATTAAAGTCTTTAACCCATTTTGTGGAAGCTTTATAATGGAGTATGAGATGAGAGTTTAATTTCATTCTTTTGTATGTGTATATCGAGGTTTCACAGTATCGTTGATTGGAGAGAGTCTTCTTTCCCCACCGAGGTTTTGGCATCTTCATTGAAAATCAATTAACCATAAATGTACAGATTTATTTCTGGGTTTTGTGTTCAATGCCATCGGTCTTTGTGTCTGTTTCTATCCCAGCCCCATAGCATACTTGGTTTCTTTATATTTAATTATTTTCATTGTGGTTTGTTTTTGTTTTTTGTTTTTGAGACAGAGTTTCACTCTTGTTGCCCGGGCTGGAGTGCCATGGTGCAATCTCTGCTCACCGCAACCTCTGCTTCCCGGGTTCAAGCGATTCTCCTGCCTCAGCTTTCCGAGTAGCTGGGATTACAGGCATGCGTCACCATGCCCAGCTAATTTTGTGTTTTTAGTAGAGACGGGGTTTCTCCATGTTGGTCAGGCTGATGTCAAACTCCTGACCTCAGGTTTCCACCCACCTCGGCCTCCCAAACTGCTGGAATTACAGGAGAGAGCCACCGCACCCAGCCCATTGTGTATTTTTAAGGGCTTTACATTTTAATATTTTTGAGATATTTCTCTATATACATTATGTTTAATAATATTCATATTGAATTTTGGAAATTGAAATGCCCTTACTTCTCCAAGAGGCTGTGGTCCTATGTCTGAGAATAAAACAAAAGTTTTCTCAAATAAAAAAATATAAAACATGGATGGAAATTATGCCTTTATTATTAATTGTATATTCAAAAAAATTAAATAATGTATTGTTTTCCTGGAACTGTATTACCATCTGCCACTTAGTACAACGAGTATTTTTTAAAATTTTGCGTCAGTAAATTCAGTAATAGTCATGAATATGGAAAACAAAGTTAAGCATTATAATACAATGAAGATCAATACCATATTACCATTTCTGAGAAAATGGCTTTGCTAAAGTAAAAGTTTTCTGTAAGTTTGCATTACATATTTAACATTACAATGTATTCCCCATATTTTCTGATTATCAATGATATCAACAGAAACAAGCATCCTATATACCAACAATGATTTGAACAAAATAGTTATGAAAAATCAAGCATAGGATGACACTAATAAAATGTTGCTCCATTAAAACTTTTTCACTCTGATTAGATACATACAAACACACACAAACACAGTGGTTTCTTCCACCAACACCAACTAGAGAGTGGTCCAGTTCCTTCTAGAAAGAGTAAATAAATTCTTAATTTATTCTATTTTATAACAAATTTTTAGAATAATGTAATAGTTTAATGGTTAATTCTAATGATAACATCTAAGTGATTTCCCCCATCAACCTCGGAATGTAACTATGAACTTGTGATTTTTGTTATTTATTCAAAATATTAAATTTGTCACAATGCTCATTTTTGCTTCACATAATCTCAAATTCTTACTGAAAATCCCTTTGAGGTAGCTCATAGATACTCTTTCTTGATATTTGTGTTCTTTTTTCCTACCTTAACAAAATGTATTTGCCAGTGACCTGGAATCAGTCACTACTCCAAAGGCTCATAGTTTTTTTTTATTGAAACGAAAATCTGTAGCTTAGGTGTGAATATTACTAATAAAAATTTGTCAGTTTCAGTATATATATAGATAGATAGCTGTAGATACGAATGTAGCTGTTACTATGGATTTGGATATGAATATGGATGTAACATATACACATATGTATATACATACATATACATATAGCAGTCAAATATAGATATGATAAGCAAATATAAATTTATAATTATATACTAAAAGTATGTATACATATATCCATGCATATATTACCAATTCGTATTATACCTATTTATCTTATCTCTATTCACTACAATATCATATTTATGAGTGCATACACATGTAGACATACAAACACAAAAAAGGTGACATGCAATATGTAATACTCTGCTCCTAGCTGCTTTCTTTTTGTTTTTGAGACAGGGTCTCACTCTGTCTCCCAGGCTGGAGTGCAATGGCGTGATGTGGGTTCACTGCAGCCTCGACCTCCCAGGCTCAAGTGATTGTCCCATCTCAGCTCCCCAAGTGGCTGGACTAGAGTTGTGCACCACCAACCCCTCTAGTTTTTGCATTTTTTTTGAGGAGGGGGGTTTTGCCATATTGCCCAGGCTGATCTCGAACTTATAGGCTGAAACGATCCCCCTGCATTGACCTCCCAAAGAGCTGGGATTACAGTCGTGAGCCACCACGCCTGTTTTGCTTCTAGCTTTTTTCACAAAACAATATATTCTAGAGATCATTTTCTTGTACCACATAAGGCTTTACTCACTTTTTTAGGTATGCACAGAACTTCTTTGTGTGGATATACCACAGTGAGTTCAACATCCCTTATTAATAGACATGGATACTTTTCAGATAGTTAAAGTAAAAATAATGTCATTATGACTAACTTTTGGCTTGCATTGTTTTGTACTTGTTAAGATATATATATATATCTTAATATATATTATATATAATATATCTTAATATATAATATACAATATATATCTTTATATATTATATATAATATATCTTAATATATTATATATAATATATATCTTTATATATTATATATAATATATCTTAATATATAATATATATCTTTATATATTATATATAATATATCTTAATATATATATCTTTATATATTATATATAATATATATATCTTAATATATTATATATATCTTTATATATATTATATATATCTTTATATATATAATATATATATCTGTTTCTAGATGTGGTAAGTGCACGTGTAACTTTGTAATTTACTGATAACTTTGTAATTTACTGACAAATTAACTTCCACAGTATTATGTCATCTTGAACTTTAGCCAGCAATATATGAGAGTCAGTTTTTAATATAGTCATGCCAACAGTTTATGTATTGAAGCTTTTAGATTTTTTTGCTAATCAAATATTGGAGAATTGATATTTCAGTTTAGTTTACTTTTTAGTTATAGTAAGCATGACCGTGCTTTCAAATGTTTAAGGGCTATTTACAAAAGTTAAATCACCGTAAAAGATAAAGCTATTTAAGAAATTAATATGTTTTAGAACTTAAGTAATTCATAATTGAAAAACATTTTCTGTAAATTATTAGAAAATGAAAACAATGTTCAAGCTATTGAAAAGTAACAGTTTTATCATAATTATGGAATTTATTTTTAGGCCGTTTATTGTCAGAGGTCTTGAAACTTATTGTTGGAAGATAATTCAGAGATCATCTCATTCTTGATTCCTATGCTGGCTTCCCATAAGAGCCACCAAGGAAAATGTAAGAAACACCAGTGTCAGGGACTTTCACAGAAAATTTTTATAAAACACTTCTGGAATGCTTTATAATTGACATATAGTGATTACATATATTTAAAGGCCATTATAAATTAAGTTTTGAATACACTACGCCCACACACATTATGCTTAATGTTTCCATGGTACATGATTTTTCATTCTTTGACTTTTAACCTTTCTACATCTTTATATTTAAAATGTATCTGTAGTTAACATCATATATTTAAGTTCTCTATTTGTTCTAATTGTTCTCTATTTTTCTTTTATTGTTTGCTTCTTTTTATTTCTACTTATCTTAAGGTCAACCTAATACATTTCACTATGCAATTATTTCTCTTCTACTGGCTCTCTTCTACTGGCTCTTTTTATATTTTTATCTTTATAAACTCTTTTTATATTTTTATCTAATAGTTGATGTGGAGAATACACTATGCTTTCTTAACTTACGATGTCCTCCTTAAGTCAGTCTTATAAAACTTGAAATAATTTGTATGAGACAATAAGAAGTTTTTTTTTATACTCCTAGCTGTACTTTGTGCTATTTTTGTCAGTTTTCTTCTAGCAATGCTAGAAGTCCTATAATACATCATTATATTTTTTGGCTTTGAAAATTAAATTGACTATTAGCTCACTTAAGAACAAAAGATAAATATTTTTTGAGAATTATCCACATACCATTTTTGGTAGTGTTTCTTTCATGCTGAAGAACTGAATTTGCATATGGTCTGACTTCCATTCAGCATGAAGAATTTTCTCTATCATTTCTTACATTATATTCTCAGATTAGACTTGATATCATCTTTATTTAATCTTCAATTTTGAAAGATAATTTTACTGTACTTATAATTCTAGGTTGATAGTGTTTATTTTTTTCTACACATAAAAATGTTGATTATCTTTCGCACTCTTTTATGGTAAAAAGTCAGTCATCAATATTGATACCAATCTGCTAAATGTGGTGTCTTTTTTCTTTAGCTGTTTTTAATTACTCTCTATATTTTTTCATCATTTAAATATAATATTCCTAGTTATGCTTTTATTTATATTTCTTATTCCACTTGTATGCTGTGATTTCTCAATAGGTGGTTGAGTTATTGTTTGTTGCTCTTCTATACTACCTTACTCTTGTTTTCTTCTCTGGGCTTCAGTTTGAACAATTTCTGTTGCCTTATCTTTATTCCTATTGATCTTCTCTTCTACTATGTCGACTCCACTGTTTATCCAATTCGCTGAAGTGGTGGTATGTGTGTGTGTTTGTGTGTTTGTTTGGTATTTTATTTCTCACTTCTGAGATGTCCATTATATACTCCCATTAAAGTGTCAATAAATCTGAAATTTCCCATCTGCTGACTCATGTCAATTCTTTTCCTACACATGCCCTAACATATTTATCATAGTAAATTTAAATTCCATGTTGGCTAATTGCAACACCCTGGTCATTTTGGATCTGCTTATATTGACTGTATATTTCTTGATAGAGGTCACAGTTTCCTATAATTTCATATGTTTATCAATTTTATTACAAATGGAAAATTGTCAATCATACGTTGTTGGAAAATTTAGAATGCTTTTATCTTTTTCCTGGAAGTGTTGAATTTTGTTCTTCCAAGCAGATAAATGGCTGCAGGTCATCTTGATGTTACGAATAACTGTTTTTACATTTAATGTGAGTTTTGTCCTTAGTCCTTGGTTGTAATCGCAGTTTCTGATATTTGGTCTTTTTGAAGTTCTAATCACAAATCTTAGGCACTTATTATAAATTTCTCTTAAATTGTCCATATTACATTATCAAATTCTATCACTGATACTACACAGCTGTTGAAATTTCTGCTAAAAAGTTTTAGTTTTCTAACGATAGTATTTGCTCAATTTTCTTGGAAACTTTCCCTGTAAGATTATGGTTCAGATGTTGACAAGGGTGTGCAATTTGTTACTATGCAGATTCTGGGACTTCCACCTTTGTGGCTCTACTCTCCAATTAATCTTGCACCCTCAAACTCCAATCTCTGATGCTCAGTCAAAGTGAATGTTGCTTTCTGCTTGAGCCTTAACTCTGAAACACTCTGAAAATAGGAGAATGCTTTCAGAAAAAAGCTGCATGAATGTGGATTTCACCCATAACGTTTACCTTCTCTCAAGAGTCATGTTCCCTCCAGGGTCTGCTGCTTGTGGTCCCTTTCTGGTGCCTTCAGAAATGTGTTTTTGTTTTATGTTCTTTTATTTTTTACTTTTTAGTTTGGGGTTTATAATTGTTGTCATCAAAAAAGTAGGTTAGTCGAATCACAGTTATTCCACCGTAACTATAAACTGGGACCCAAAGTCATTTTATTCACTATGCCACTACTCACTTTTTGACAGACAACATTTTAAAACCTCCAAACACATTTTACCAGGAAGATTTCAAATCAACAAGGGCAAAAATTGGCCAGGCACAATGGCTCATGCCTGTAATCCCAGTACTTTGGGAGGCTGAGGTGGACGAATCACTTGAGGTCAGGAGTTTGAGACCAGCCTGGCCAACATGGTGAAACTCCGTCTCTACTAAAAATACAAAAATTAGCTTAGTGTGGTGTTGCACGCCTGTAGTCCCAGCTACTCGGGAGGCTGAGGCAGAAGAATCGCTTCAACCTGTGAGGCAGAGGTTGTAGTAAGCCTCAATCCCACCACTGCACTCCAGGGCAACAGAGTAAGACTCTGTCTCAAATACATAAATAAATAAATACACAAACAAAAACATCTACACGTTTCTGAAAAAGGATATTTACTTTTTTGCTGTAGTCTTCCTGAGATGAAAATCATTTTACTGTTGACAGCAAAAATAAGAACAAAGCACTAGTTTCAGATTATTCCATCACCAGAGAAAGCATACAAGTCCTTTGGTCTTTTTACAAGTCTGTGGATCCCAGCACACGGAAAAGTGTGCAGATAGTTATGACGGTACCTGAGAAAATGACAAACTCCCTGATGGGGATGACAGTACAGAGCACAATAGAATAGAGATTAGAAAATTCCCTCCTCCTTCCACTACCCACTTTAGGCTCTCTGTAAAGCCTACTTCATTCACCTGGGACTCTAGAGAAAAAAGCCTAGGGTAGCCCAGGTGATCCTTGAGGTTAAATTTTTACCAATTCAATAGAATGAGGGCTCAGTGTCAATTTTAATTTGTTTAAGTTAAACAAAGAAATTAATTTTATGCAGACATAATTTCCTTGATTGAGATTTTATAGTTGATAAAAATATCTGGAAGGGATGACACAGTGAGCATTCTAAAATATCTTAGCCTAAATGAACTAGACTGTCTGTATAAGAGGAAAGTTGTTGCAAGTTGTGGTTGTCAGCTGGGTATGTAGGTATGTATGTTACTGTTTTGGACTTGTACATTACACAGATAAATACCAGAAGCAAGAGGAAGAGCAAAAAGTGAATGTAAAGAAACAACATCAGTTCTTAAGTAAAGACAATAGATGCAAACACTAGCCACCTATATATTTTTGTATTATCAGGGATAAGTAATGTATAGTGGATAGGGTAAAGAGTAGGACAGTGGATGGGAGGAAATAAAGACATACATTTTAAGCTTTGGAATGTTTTGTACATTAAGCATGGTCATTAAATAAAAAAATTCTATTTAAACTTTATAATATACAAGTACATAGTTTGAAGAAATCTTTCAAGAACTCAAAATACATCACACATCAATTCCAAAGCATTAGGAACAAACCAGGGTAAAAGAAGAAAGCTAAAGACAAGTTTTGGCTGTTGATCTTCACTTAAGGGATAATTGAATATTAAAAAAGCAAAAATCAATCTAAGTCTGGCATTTACGCAATGTCTGAAAATTTGTATCTTTGCCTACTTTGGAAGATTTGGCCATAATACTTTTTATCTTCTTTCAGTAAAAAATGTAAGACTATTCTGCACTTAGGTTGAAATTTGACTTATGATGCTTTCAAACGATACGGTCCAAACCACTCATTAGGTAGTACATAAGAGAGAAATGTGATGCAATTTAGATGTAAAATTAACCACTTCTTGTGAAAAAAAAAAAGCTAGAAAAAGCTTGGCAAGTGAATTTGTTAAGTGTTTTCTTTTACGTTGAAATGTAATTTGATGCAGAAAGAGGAAAGAAAAGAAATACATTCTCATATGTCTCTGTGTTCCACAAAGATTTGGCTAGTCTAGAGCTAATTGGCCTATTGAGGATACTGATGTTTGTGAATGAATGTGCTAGGATTTTATTGAGTAATTATAATTTATTGATTTTTTTATTTATTGTTACTTTATAATCTAGTAGAACGCACTTAAGTCCGGAAGTATGGAGGATTTGCTTGTAATTTTGGCTTACCAAAAATGAATTACACTACCTTAAATCATTTGCTAATTTTTATATTCAGTATTTACTGAACACAGATATATGCCAGCTACTTTTACTGATTAATTTCAAATTTTAATCTTATCTCATCATTAAAGTGCCAAATATTCGCTAAAGATATGAGACCAGATAACAGAGAAAAATAATAAGGGTTTCAGAATTGGAACAGAAGATATTGAAATAAAAGGAACACAAATAACAAAATTTTACTAGAACCTAACTGAGTAAACAAATGTAAAAGAAGGCAAATGGGTTATCAAATTTGCCCAATTATTGTGAATTCATAAAAGGAATCAGAATGCCAAAGAGCAGAACAAAGGTATGTGGTCATAATGGTGGAGAAAAAAAAATATGTCTTAGGAAATTCAGTTAAACAGGTCTCATCTCCCATGACATGGCTAGCTTTGCTATGCCTATTGTGGAACTGAATATGAGAATATATGCCATGTTTAATCACTCTGGAGCTGAACACACAGGCTAGTGGAAGAGATATATACATTAAACACACAATTACTATACATTGAGAAGAGTGCCATAACAGAATAATCAAACTATAATGAAAGGAGAGATAAGGAAAATGCCAGCCCTTAAATGCTAAAAGTAAACGCAACACCCAGGCTACCTTTTACGTATATAGTGTGTTGAAAATCATGGAGAAGTTAAAAGCAAAGCCTTTCTCAAAACTCCACATGTGAAAGTGAGATCAGAATGAATGCATCTAATGAGAAGACACTTAGAAAGTAAGTTTGGGTAGCCTGTGAAGGGTGGATAAAGGAACAGGTTGTCATACTCCTCTGATGACTCAGCTCAGCTATGACACAAGCCAAATCCACTCCTTAAGGTAGTCATATCTTCTATATTGTTGGAGATCTCATTATGTATGTGCTAAAGATTCTCTGCACTGGGTAGAAAGGACTCATTGGGGCAGAGGTGTTTCTAAATAGATCCATAGATAAGAGTCACTCCATTATTATCATAAATATGTTTGTATTTCCAGCTGATATTGACAAGGTTGACCCAACTTCCACACAGCTACACCCTGCTGGAGAAAACCAAAATGTGATCCAACAGAATCTGGTAGCTTTGTAAACTCATGCTCTACCGTCCACTTGTTTTCTTCTCAGCTTCCACTCACCATGATCTACTTTATTTATTCTATGGGAAGGCACACAAACCTAATTTTAAAAATTTCATTTGACATTGAATCTTTATATCTGATACCTTACAAAAAAAAGTACTTGTGCTTGAGTTATGTGTTTGTAGCCGTTGTTTCTGTTTCTGTATTGGTTGACTCAGGACCATTTCATCTCCCTAGTCTTTCTTGTCTATATCAAGATGCTGTTTCAATACATGTGAAAGTCTTTGAAACATATAAAGTCCATCACAGAAATGCTATTAGCCTTTAAAGGACTAAGTATTATATATCATCAGATTCTATGACAGATGATTCATAAAAACAACTAAAGAGTTTATATCTATAGTGCATCCAATGTATTTGTTGCCAGTGTACTACCGTTTCAAGAGAATGAGTTTTCAGTGTAGTGCCTCATCATAATTTTTTTATTCCATACAAACTGATAGGAAACATTCCTTAGTTCCTTCCCAACAGTTCTGAGAATAAGAAACAGCTTACAAAGCATAGATACGTAGAAGTGCAGGGCTAAGCAAACACAGGACAGCACACAGACAAGTAGTCTATATATTTCAGAAAACATCGTGAAAATAAGTAGACACATCCTGGAGGTGTGGCAAAAGAAGCTTGTAATCAGCAAGGAAAAGAAGAGAAAAGGGTTAGTTCTTCTCAATCTTTGTCATAGAAATCCAAGAGAGATATATTATCCAGTGAAGCAGGAGGAATTAAATATTTTACTCAAGATTAAACCAGTAGTAATTGATTGACCTAAAATATGAAGCCAGGTGTCTTTACTAACCACACTCAAACTCAATCCCAGGGAAGAAAACTTGGCAGAAACATCCTGAGGACAAAAGAGAATATCAACGGAACCATATGAAAAGGAATACAAACTAGTCTAGTGTGGAGACTTATCTTAGCCACATGTTGTTAAGAGTTATTTCTGATTCTTAACAAGGAGATAAACGTTAGGACATAATATAATTCTGCCACATAATTTGCACTGCATATGCATGAAACTAAGATGATTCATCATTTCATGTATTTATGAGTAGGTTAATTATCCAGTACAATTCGCATAGTTTTTTTTCTTATTTAGGTTTTAAATAATCTCACTCTTTTATTTTCATTTCAGAAATTTGTGAAGTAAAATAAAACCTGGATAAAATGGACTAATGGAGTCAACCTGAAAATGACAAGTATTCTGCTGTTTATTATTAGGTAAGCAACTTTATATAAGATGCTGCTTTAATATGTCTTTTTGTTTTCTCTCAGTGCCTGTTACGTATTACATAGTTATGAAATTTAAAATTTTTTTTTCCCAAAGTTCTTTGGAAAGTAGATATTAGAAAGTAGAAAATATTTCCCCATAGTAGTAATGTTATTGACAGTGTTCATGATCTCAATCCATCTTCCAAAATATTACTTAATAAAAAATGCAGCAATAAAACATAATAGAAAACAATTCTTTTGCAGTATTACTAATTAGGCAAAACAGAAAACAATAAAATATAAAAACTAATTTTAAATTTAACTTGGTGCTGATATGCAGTGATTAGCAGCCCCTATTAAGAAGAGAAGGAGATGAAAGAAACATTGTTATGTTTCTCTTAAGGAAACTTTGGGCATTTTCAAGGTCTTTTATTATTATTATTATTAATTATTATATTTTCTAGATTCAAGTTTGAAATCTCTGAAAAACAATACTTCTCATTTTATGCTGCATTGTTATAGATTCTTATGTTTGAGACATTCACAGGATTTCAACAGAATTATTTGACAGCTTCTGACAAGACTGAGGTTATTAAGTGATCCATGTTATTGCACTCAAAAATAGAAATAATGTTTAGCACCTGAAACAAAGAAATAAAACTAGTTGAGAAAATATTCTTATATTCCGTAATGAGCAGAGAGAAATTATTTCAGTGCTAGAAGCTTTCTTGGCATCTGCTCCCAAATCTTTACTAATTAGAATAGCAAGTCAATTGTGGAAAGGGAAGCAGTAAGACAGTAATGTTTGCAGCTTGAATTTTATCAGAAAAGAAACACAGATGATAGAGAGGAGTAAGTTGTCTCTTATCACTCAGCTTGTGAGAAAAACCTATTTCTATGAACAGACACTAAATAGCAATAACATTTGAAGATTAGACTCACAGATTGCTTTATTTCTGAATGCTAAAATTCCAAGGAGTTTGATATGGTTTGGCTGTGTCCCCACCCAAATCTCATCTTGAATTTTAGCTTCCAGAATTCCCATGTGTTGTGGGAGGGACCCGGTGGAAGACAATTGAATCATGGGGGCCGTTTCCCCTATACTGTTCTCATGGTAGTGAATAAACCTCACAGGATCTGATTGTTTTATAAGGGGAAACGCTTTCACTTGGCTCTCATTCTCTCTCTTGTCTGCCACCATGTAAAATGTCCCTTGCTCTTCCGCCATGATTGTGAGGCCTCCCCAGACACGTAGAACTGAGTGTCCAGTAAACTTCTTTTTCTTTATAAATTACCCAGTCTCGGGTATGTCTTTACCAGAAGTGTGAAAAAGGACTAATACAGAGTTCTTTCTCCATAGGGATTTGGGACCAATCTTCCTTTCCATGAATTATATCACGCTCTCATAGAACTGAGAAATAATCTTTTTTCATTTTAAAGTAGGTCCCATAAAGGTTCAATAGTAACAGGAGATTACTGACCTCTTTTTTCATCTTCTCCTCTATTTATTTATAGACTAAGGCAAAGGTTTCACGTCGAAGGGTCATGCGTCATTGAAAGTGTCACAGAGGGAAAGGTTCTGCTATACTCTGGGGCTCCTATGACTGATGCTTCTGTAGTTTTGTTTGCTTTTGTTTCTGTGCTAACAGAACTATCATTCTTAGAAGAAACCCCAAATCAGATTCTCTTTACCTAATTTTTCTCAAGTCTCTCAGTTACATATTAAAATTGTTGATATTGGAACAAAATCAGTTATGTGATAGCCTGTACCATTTATTTAACAAGAAAACTACAGGTCCATAGATTCAGGGGAATAATTTTTAAGTTTTCTTATCTCCTTCGTCTCTTTGTTCAGAGGGGGAAGGAACACTGATGTAGGCCAGAAACACACGCCTGCCATGATTGGGCAATGGGAATTCAGGAAGGTGCACAGAAACAAAGAGAGAAAACATTGAATTCTGTAGGCCAAGCACTCACAGCAGTACCATTCTTGTTGGAATCCCTCTCCTTACTGTGGTTGAAATGATCTACACATCTGCATGCCTTTTTCTTTGAATGGACCCATGCTTTGGGAATCCCAAAACTGAATCGAGAAGCTTCCTCAGGTAAAGTAGGAAAAACAGGCCAAGCTACTTGCACTTGCCTATTATCCAGGCAAACGTGACCCACGCCATCAGCCCATTCATTAATATTGTCAGTTCAGGGTTGAAATTTGGATTAGTTAGCTAGAATGTAAGTTTACTTGACCTTGTTTTCTCTATGCAGGACTTTCTTGGATAAATATAAGTGGAGATCATCATAAAGCATGTCTTAGTGAGGATTGAATTGGATGAGTAGTTTGTCCCAGTTTGCACAAGACTTGCCTTGTTTTAATGTTGGAACCCCTCAAACATAGGCAAACTGTATATTTGGTCAATGTAGGATCAAAGATCCTCTACACTATCCACCTGTCTTTTCCCTCTTCTTAGACCTAAGCAACAATTACTGTACACATTTTAAAATATACATTGACTTCTGGTTCTGGACCAGATAATGTGAGCACACTGTACCCTATTTCACCCACTAACTATGACTAATAAAACTAGAATAAAACATGTAAACCAACTAACAGAAGATTCCGAAGGTAGATAAAAGCAGATAGACTGGGTAAGAATCTCAGGACTTATGGAACAACTCAGCAGTGAGTCTATTAAGTAATTAATTAACTAATTAATTTTATTTTGCCTCATATTCATCTTGCCCTAGTTACTGGAGCAACCAGAAAATCTGAACTGCCAACAGAAAAAGACAAAAAACACTCCCAAATAAACTTTCTCCATCCAGAGAATTAGAATCTTGTAAAATAGAACATTTTAAAATTTATCTGCTCTAATAGGAGAAAAGCAATGGTGCCACATCCCATCCTTACTGGTATATAGACACCAAACAGTGCAGGATGAAGCCCAGTGGACTCTGTTTGATCTATACTGAGTACCAGCAAAAAGATACAGCACTATCCCCACTACCACTGGCAGCTAAGGCAGTTCTAAAGGTAAAGATCACTCTTGACTCTTCCACCTCTCCACCAGGTGAGTACCAGTAAAGAGAAAGAGACTTGCCTAGTCCCAACCAAGGGTTAGTAATACACTGGGGAATAGAACTCTGACAAGAATGAAGGAAAGCTAAAACCCCACATTTGCAGGCAGAACCTCAGAAAGGAAATCAGTGGGAAATATAGACTGGGCTAGGGAAGTATCACAAAAGCTGGAAGTTGGAGAAAGGATACTTTAAATTTAAAGCCAGGTGTGTCAAGACTTGTGTTCACTTTATTGTTGGACGTGCATAAAATTAACTTTAGTCAGCATAGAAAAGGTTTTGAACACTGAAAAACAGTTTAAAACTCAATGGTCTGGTTTCAGATCTGAGTACAATAAAATAATAGGTGTGTCACAATACCACCGCGAAGTCTTTATATACTAAATAGACATCACAACTACAACCAGAAGAAAATTGTTAGAGATATTTAGTCTTAAACTTGACTGATTGCTGTCTATCAAAACAACAATAACAGAAATCACTATTATCCAGACAATTTTAATAGGACCCAGAGTCACATGACACAGTATTCCAAATGACAAAAATATAAACCAAAATTTTATTAAGCATACACAGAAAAAGAAAACTGTAAACAATTCTCAACTTAAAAGGCAGTCAATCGATACTAACCTTAATATAGCTCAAATGTTGTAATTATAATGCAAAGACTTGAAAAAGAAAACAGAAAAAAATGAACTTCAGTGCTCTGTGGAACAAGATCAAAAGATCTAATATTCATTTTATAGGGTTTTCAGAAAAAGAGAGTGATGTAGCAGAAAAAACAATTGAAGAAAAATGACTGAAAACAGCCATAATTTGGTTAAAAATATAAATTCACGGATCTAAGAACACAGTAAACTCCAAACAACATCAGTTAAAGAAATCCAAACCAAGCAACATCATAATCAAATATCTGAAAACCAAAGATAAAGAAAAGAACTCATTAGCAACCAGAGGAAAAAAAAATTCATATAGGATAACAAAGATTTGAATGATAGCAAATTTTTTATCAGAAGCCATTGAGATAAAAATAAAATGGGAGCAAGACACTGTCTCAAACAACAACAACAAAAAACAATGAGATAACATTTTTCAAGTGCTAACAGAGGATTGCCAATCTTGAATCCTATACTCTGTAAAATATTCTTCAGAAAAAACAGGAAAAATAAAGCATTCTCAAATGAAGGAGAATTAAAAGCATTTGTAATGAGTAGTACTACTACACGAAAAATACTAGAGGAAGTTCCTCAGGTGGATGGAAGAGGATAGCAGAGGGCATCCTGGAGTGACAGAAATTAGTGAAAAACAATACAAATATTAAATTACCACCTGGCACGGTGGCTCACGCCTGCAATCCCAGCACTTTGGGATGCCAAGGCAGGTGGATCACCTGAGGTCAGGAATTCGAGACCAGCCTGACCAACATGGTGAAACCCTGTCTCTACTAAAAATACAAAAATTAGCCAGGCATGGTGGCACATGCCTGTAATCCCAGCTACTCAGGAGGCTGAGGCAGGAGAATCACTTGAACCCAGGAGACGGATTTTACAGTGAGCCGAGATCACCCACGGACAAGAGTGAAATTCCGTCTCAAAAAAAAAAAAAATTACTAGGTAAATAGTGTAGATTATTTTTCTCCTCTGAATCTTGTTAAAATATTTTTATCTTTTATTTACTTTTATTCATTTATTTTTTCTTTTCAATTTTTATGTTAGATTCAGGGGTACATGTGCAGCTTTGTTACATGAGTAAATTGCATGCCTTAGAGGTTTGGTGTACAGAGTATTTTGTCATCCAGGTAATTAGCACTTGATACAAAGTTTTTTGATCCTCATCCTTGTTCCACCTTTCACCCTTGAATAGGCCCCCGTGTCTATTGTTCACTTCTTTGTGTCTATGTATAGTCAATGTTTAGCTCCTACTTATGAGTGAAAATGTGGTATTTGGTTTTCTGTTCCTGCATTAATTTGCTTAGGATAGTGACCTCCAGTTTCATCCACACTGCTACAAAGTATATGATTTTATTCTTTTTTATGGCTAGGTAGTATTCCATGGTGTATATGTACGATATTTCCTTTATCCGCTCCACCTTTGATAAGTACCTTGGTGGATTCCATGTCTTTGCTCTTGTGAATAGTGCTGTGATGAACATATGCTGCATGTGTCTTTATAATAGAACGATTTACATTCCTTCAGGTATATATACCCAATAATGAAATTTCTGGGTCGAATTGTAATTCTGTTTTAAGTTATTTCAGAAACTTTCAAACTGATTTCCACAGTGGCTGAACTAATTTACATTTTCATCAGCTATGTAAGTGTTCCCTTTTCTTCACAACCTCACCAGCATCTGTTGTTTTTTGACTTTTTAATAGTAGCCATTTTGAATAGTGTGAGATGATATCTCATTGTGCTTTGGATTTGCATTTCTCTAATGATCAGTGAAGTTGAACAATTTTTCATATACTTGTTAGTCACATGTGTGTCTTCTTTTGAAAAGTGTTCATTTCCTTGGCCCATTTTTTAATGGGGATTTTTTTTTTTTGCTCATTAATTTGTTTAAGTTGCTTACAGATTATGGATATTAAACCTTTTTCAGATGCATAGTTTGCAAATATTTTCTTCTATCTGCAGGTTGCCTATTTACTCTGTTGTTAGGTTCTATTGCTATGTTGAATCTCTCCAGTTAAATTAGGTCCCATTTTTCAATTTTTTTTATTGCAATTGCTTTGGCATCTTCATCATGAAATTTTTGCTAGGGCCTATGAATATAGGGCATTTTCTGTTTTTTTTCTAGGGTTTTTATAGTTTTAGATTTTACATTTAAGTCTTTAATCTATCTTGAGTAGATTTTTGTATATGGTGAAATAAAAGGGTCCAGTTTCAATCTTCTGCATATGGGTAACCAATTATCTCAGCACTATTTATTGACCAGAGAGTGCTTTCCCCATTGCTTTTTCTTCATCAGCTTTGTTGAAAATCATGTGGTTGTAAGAATGCGGCTTTATTTCTGGGTTCTCTAACCAGTTCCATTGGTCTATGTGTCTGCTGTTGTACCAGTCCCATGCTGCTTTTGTTACTGTGCCCTCATGGTATAGTTTGAAGTGGGGTAGTATGATGTCTTCAGCTTTTGTCTTTTTGCTTAGGATTGCTTTGACTTTTGGGACTCTTTTTTGGTTTCATATAAATTTTAGAACAGTTTTGTTTTTAACTGTAAAAATGCTGTTGGTAGTTTGACAGGAATATGGCATTGAATCTGTAAATTGTTTTGGGCATTATGGCCATTTTAACAACATTGATTCTTCCTATCAATGAGCATGGAATATTTTTCCATTTGTTTGTGTTATCTGTGATTTCTTTTGGCAGAGTTTTGTAGTTCTACTTATAGAGATCTTTCCCCTCCCTAACTGGCTGTATTCCTCGATTATTTATTTATTTATTGTGGCTATTGTGAATGGATTGCATTCCTGATTTGACTTTCAGCCTGGATGTTGTTGGTGTACAGAAGTGCTGTGGGTTTTTGTACATTGATTTTGTGTCTCAAAACCTTTCTGATTTTTTTTTATCAGATCTATGAGATTTGGGGCAGACACTATGATATTTTCTAGGTATAAAATCATATCATCTAGGAGAAGAGACATTTTGACTTCCTCCCTTCCTATTTTGATGCCTTTTATTTCTCTTCCTTACCTGATTGATTTGGCTAGGACTTTCAGTACTATGTTGAATAGGAGTTGTGAGAAAGGGAATCCTTGCTTATTCTGGTTCTCAAGGGGTATGTGTCCAGCTTTTTCCCATTTAGTATTATGTTTTCTGTGAGTTTGTCATTTATGGTTCTTATTAGTTGGAGGTATGTTATTTTGATCCCTCATTTGTTGAGGGTTTTAACATGAAGCGATGCCGAGTTTTATCGAAGTCTTTTTCATGTCTGTTGAGATGATAGTGTCATTTTATTTTTAGTTCTGTTTATATGATGAATCACATCTATCGATTTGCATATGTTGAACCAACCTTGCATCACAGGGATAAAGTCTCGATCATGCTGGATTAGCTTTTTGATGTGCCGCTGGGTTCAGTTTGCTAGTACTTTGTTGAGGATTTTTGCATATACATTCCTCAAGGATATTGGGCTGAAGTTTTCTTTATCGTTATGTCTTTGTAATGTTTTGGTATTAGAATGATACTGTCCTCATAGAATGGGTTAGGGTCGAGTCCTTCCTCTTCAATTTTTTGGAATAGTTTCAGAAGGAATGCTACCATCTCTTCTTTATATATGTGGTAGAAGTTGGCTGTGAATCCATCTGGCCCAAGTCTTTTCTGGTTAGTAGGCTTTTATTACTGATTTAATATTGGAACTCATTATTGGTCTTTTTAGTGTTTGAATTTTTTCTTGGTTCAGTCTCAAGAGGTTGTATGTTCCCAGGAATTTATCCATTTCTTCTAAGTTTTCTAATTTCTGTGCATAGAGGTGTTCATAATAGTCTCTGAGGGTTTTCTCTACTTCCATGGGGTCGATGGTAATGCCCCTTTGTCCTTTCTGATTGTGTTTATTTGGATATTCTCTCTTTTTTCCTTTAGTGTAGCTGGCAATCTATCTATATTATTTATTCTCTCAAAGAATCAACTTCTAGTTCTGTTGATTTTTTTTATGATTTTTCACATCTTGGTTTCATTCAGTTTAGCTCTGATTTTGGTTATTTCTTTTCTGATGGTAGCTTTGAGGTTGGTTTTCCCTTGTTTATCTCATTCTTCAAGGTATGATATTAGATGGTTAATTTGATATTTTTCTAAATTTTTGATAGGGGCATTTAGCGCTATTAACTTTCCTGTTAACAATGCTTTAGCTGTGTCTTGAGATTCTGATATGTAGTATCATTGCTCTCATTAGTTTCAAAGAATTTCTTGGTTTCTGCCTTAATTTCATTGTTTACCCAGAAGTCATTCAGGAGCAAGTTTTAAATTTTCCATTAATTGTATGGTTTTGAGCAACCTTCTTGGTATTGATTTCTATTTTTATTGCACTGTGGTCCAAGAGTGTGGTTGGTATATATATAGTTTGCTGGGAATTATTTAATGGCTGAGTATGTGGCTGAATTTAAGAGTATGTGCTATATGCAAAAGAGAAGAATGTATATACTGTTGTTGAGTGTAGTGTTTTGCAGCTGTCGTTATGTACATTTGGTCAAGTGTCAAGTTTAAGTCTTAAATACCTAGTGAGGATTTTGCCTAGAAGATCTGTGTCTTACTGTCAGTGGGGTGTGGAAGTCTCCCAGCATTATTGTGTGGTTATGTAAGTCTCTTCACAGCTCTCTAAGAACTTGCTTTATGAATTTTGGTGCTCCATTTTTGAGTACATATATATTTAGAATACTTAAAAGTCTTCTTGCTGAATTGAACCCTTCATTATTATGTAATGCCCTTCCTTGTCTTTTTTTTTTTTTTTTACCTTTGTTGGTTTATAGTCTGGTTTTATTTAAAATTGTAATAGCAACCCTTGCTCTTTTTTGTTTTCTGTTTGCTTGGTAGATTTATCTTCATCCCTTTACTTTGAGCCTAGGGGTGGCATTGCATGTGTGATGGATCTTGTGAAGACAGTATACAATTGGGTCTCATGTCTTTATCCAACTCGCCACTCTGTGTGTTTTACATGAGGTGTTTAGCCCATTTATGTTCAAGGTTAATATTGATATGTGCTGATTTGATCCTGTCATTGTGTTGTTGGCTGGTTGTTTGCAGGCTTCATTGTGTAGTTACTTTATAGTGCCAATAGTCTATGTACTTAAGTGTGTTTTTGTGGTGGTCAGTAACAGCTTTTCATTTCCAAGTTTAGCATGCCTTCTAGGACCTCTTATAAGGCAGGTCAGGTGGTAACAAATTTCCTTAGCATTTGTTTCTCTCAAAAAGATTTTATTTCTCTCTTGCCTTAGGAAGCTTAGTTTAGTTGGACATAAAATTCTTGGTTGGAGTTTGTTTTCTTAAAGAATGCTGACTATAGGCCCCCAATCTCTCCTGGCTTGTAGGGTTTCTGCTGAATTGTCTACTGTTAGCCTAATAGGGTTCCCTTTGCAGGTGATTTTTTCTTTCACTCTAACTGCTTTAATATTTTTTCTTTTACATTGTCCTTGGAGAATCTGATGACTATGTGTCTTGGTGATGATCATCTTGTACTGTATCTCACAAATTCTCTGATTTTCCTGAATTTTAAGATTTACCTGTGTAGGAATATTTGGGACATTTTTGTGACCAATATCCCCAAATACGTTTTGCAAGTTGCTTGCTCTCTTTCTTTCTCATATGGGGATGCCAGTGATTCATAGGTTTATTCTCTTTACACAATCCCATATTACTTGATGGTTTTATTTATTCCTTTTTATTCATTTTTCTTATTTTTGTGTGACTGTGTTGATTCAGAAAAGTAGTATTTGACCTCTGAGATTCTCTACTCAGTTTGGTCTATTCTGTTTTTTGTTTGTTTGTTTTTGTTTTTGAGACGGAGTCTCACTCTGTTACCCAGGCTGGAGTGCAGTGGCGTGATATCAGCTCACTGCAACCTCCGCCTGCCGGGTTCAAGCAATTCTTCTGTCTCAGCTTCCCGAGTAGCTGGGACTACAAGCGCATACCACCATGACTGGCTATTTTTTTTTTTTTTTGTATTTTTAGTAGAGATGGGGTTTCACCATATTGGCCAGGCTGGTCTCGAACTCCTGACCTTGTGATCTGCCCGCCTCAGCCTCCCAAAATGCTGGGATTGCAGGCGTGAGCCACTGCGCCCAGTGTTCTATTCTGTTTTTAATCCTTCTGGTTGTATTATGAAATTCTTGTAGTTAATTTTTCAGCTCTATCATATCAGATAGGTTCTTTCTTAAAACAGTTATTTCATCTTTCAGTTATTGTATTGTTTTATTGGATTCCTGAGATTGTTTGAATTGGGTTTTGACTTTCCCCTAAATTTCAATAATCTTTGTCGCCATCCAGATTTTGAATTCTATGGCTCTCATTTCAGCCATTTCAGCCTGGTTAAGAACCATTAGTGGAAGGTAGGACAGACATTTGGACATAAGAGACACTCCAGTTTTTTGAATTGTCAGAGTTCTTGCACTAGTTCTTTCTCATCTCTGTGGGCCAATATTTCTCTAATCCTTGAGGTTTCTGTCCTTTGCATGGGAGTATTATTGCTTTTATAATCTTTGAAGCTCTTGAGAGTTTGACTGCAGTATAAGTTGTGTTCAGTCAATTGGCTTCATTTCTGGATTTAGGCAGCAAGGCTCAGTTCAGCTTCCCTGTGCTGCATTCTATAACCCTGAGGGGTTGATACTAGGCCCACACCTTGGTTCTCTGGACCTTCAAAATTAGAGGGTGCTGTGCTTGAGGGGCTGAGGTATTCCTGGTCTAAAGGGGGGCTGCTAGCAAAAGCACTTCATTGGGGTGGTTGTGGCAGGGACTGTGCATGGGTATGCCAGCAGCAGCAGTAGCACAGTGGGGTATGCGCTCACTGGCAGGGGTAGGGTGGTGTCATCTGCACATGCTTATACTGGCAGTGGCAGGGCAGAGAGGTACACCTGCATACATGTGTCAGCAAAGTGCTGGGGGAAGCTGTGAGTAAGCATGTGCCGATAAACCGATGGGGGAGGCTGCAAGTGTGTGCATGCCAGTTGAAGCTCTCTGATGGTTAGGTGGAGTTTCTTGGCAAAGGAGCTATGGCAGCAGCTTTGGGACGTGCCCTGTTTGGGCATCTGAGGCTACACTGTAAGTGGGTGTGGCCAAGCAGGGGCCACAGGAGAGGCTGGTAGACAAGTGGGCACTTAGTTCAGATTGGTCTTTTACCAAAGGCAAACCATCCATCTCTGTTCAGGTCCAACAGTCAACAAAGGTCAAAGCCACCTGGAGGAGCATGGTGAGCCTCAGGGGACGCACATCCCTGGCTGTGCTCCACTGCAGCTGTTTCTGTGCCAAACCCTCTGGGCTCTGTACAGGCTAGAGTCCTTCTCTGCAAACTCTCTAAGCTGCTTTTCTTGTCAGATCAAATATCTGTGAGCATCATGGGGTCTCATGCAGGTAGCATTCCAGAAGTCCGGGGTGAGAGTGGACCAGTCCTTGCCTGCTTAACTCACCCTTTCCCCTGGAATTGCTGGGGACCAGGAACAACTCCTGGTGCTCTGTGCAAGCTTCCCAGTTTCCTCTCCCTTCAACTCAGGTTCTGTGTCCTCCCTCCTTCCACTCTCAATGCCTTCGTTTGAAAGAGTTTGCTTGGAGTGTACCAGTCTTCTTGATGGTTTGGTCTCTCAGTAGGACATGCTCTTGATGGCTGCCTCTAGTCAGTTATCTTGGCTCTTCTCCCTCCTAGTTTGTTTTTTTTTAATTGCAGTAAAGGCACAAAATAAAATGTTACATCTTAACAATTTTCAACTGTACAGTCCAATGATATTAAATGTATTCATAATGATATGCAACCATCATTACCATCTATCTCCAGATGGTAATTCATTCATCTTGTAAAACTGAAACTTTATATCCATTAACAATAACTCTTTATATATGATATATTACTTTGCATTATTTGAAACTTTTAAATGTGAGGCTTATTTTATTGCTCATAATATTATCTATTTATATAAATGTTCCATGTGCACTTGAAAATAATGTATATTCTGTTGTTATTGGATGAAGCATACTCTATTGATGTAAGTCATGCTGGAGAATGGCACTATTAATCTCTTTATGTATTTACTACATTTTTATTTGTTCTATCAATGATTGACAGACCATGTCTTTGTCCATTTGGATTGCTTTAACAAAATACCTTAAACTGAGTGGCTTATTTATTCCTCAGAGATTATTTCTCACAGTTCTGGAGGTCCAATATCAAAGCAGCTGCAGATTCAGTGTCTGGTGAGGGCAAACTTCCTAGGTCATAGATGGCCATCTTCTCCCTGTGGCATAAGGGGCAAAACGGCTCTCTCAACCCTGTTTTATAAGGGCACTCATCCCACTCATGAGAGCGCCATCCTCTTAACCTATATAACACCCAAGTGTCTCACCTCCTAATACCATAACTTAGGGGTTAGGACTTCAAACTATAGATTTCATGGCACAAAAATATTCAATCCGTATCAAAGAGATATTGACATTTATTACCATAATCATTGATTTATCTATTTCTGTTTGCAGTTGTTCTGGGAATAGGGATGCTGTCTTTCTTGATTACATTTCAAAGGGATGGCGTCTATGTCCTTGAGAAAGACATTCCTGAACTGTAAAACTGGCAAGAGACTGGAAGAAGATTTACATCTCCAAAGGGCAGAAAAAGAATTTATGATTCTGAGTTTTCTAAATGAAATGTTCTGAGAAAAGTGAGGTCAGGGCCTCATAGTAAGAAAATTTACTCAAGCTGAGGGGAACCTTAAGGCAGTCTTGGTTTGTATAACTTTATTTTGTCATTTCAGTGGTAGCTTTAGTGTACCTCTATAACTTATCACAGCGTACCTTTGAGTGATATTATCACCATTTCACCTACGTTATAAGAAAGTTGTAACTGCGTATTTTCATTTCCCTATTCCTGTCCTTTGTGCTCCTGGTATCATACATTTTATTTTATGTATGTAGTAAACCCCACACTGCACTGCTATTTAAACAATTATGCTTTAGTAAGAAGTACTTAATTTTTTAAAATTAGATATTTGTGTACATGGTTAACATTCCCATTGTTCCACATTCCTTTGTGTAAATCTATATTTTGACCTGGTATCATCTCCCTGTAGCTTAAAGGACTTTCTAGAACCTACTGGTAAGATTAATCTGCTGATCTCTTTGAGATTAGGGAGTTTCTTTTGCTTTGCTTCTTACTTCAGTGTCTTGTTTTTCCCTGTGAAATGTCCAGTCTGCTACTGATCTTATTCAGTGTCCAGCACACTTTTTTATCATATCCATTATAATTTTCATTTCTAGCACATCAGTCTGTGTATTCATTTTCAATATCTCTAGAATATTTTTGTCTCAGAACTTATTCATTGCAGTTAAAATAACTATGTTAATGCACTGGTCTTTTAATTCTAACATCTCTGTCATTTCCGGGCTTGTTTTATTTGATGACATTTTTCTTATTTTTACCAGTTTTCATTTTCCTGCTTTCTTAGAATGCCTGTTATTTTTGTTTAATTGCCAAAAACTTTGAATACTTTATTGGTTATTGGATTTTTTTTTTGTATTCCTAACACTATTCTTGAACATTGCGTGGTGCAGTTATTTGGAAACTTGTCTTTTCGCATATTGCTTTTAAGATTTATTAGGTGAGATCCTCACTCAGTCTCTGAAAATTATCCTTACTCCTGTTACTATATTCTTCTGAGTACTCTGTTTAATGCCCTGTGTGTCATGAAGTGTTCTGTCTGTGCAAGAGAAACAAGCTTGTGTGAGCACTGAAGATTGTTCCCTCTCCTCCTCTAAGATGGCTCTTTCCCTTGCCTTAGGTTATTTCCCCACAGTGTGCACTGATGAGCATTCAGCTGAATACTCAGCAGGGGCCATCTTCAGGTCTCTGGAGTTTTCTCTCTTTGCACATCTTTCCTCTAAGGGACTCCGTCTTTCTTAGTCTAGTTGTCTTGGTCTCAGTGTTCTCTCAACTCCATCTCTTAAACCTAACATATTTACCAGGCTCTGGCATTGCCCTCCGAGTACCAATGCCTAGAAATTCTCCCAAGGATTTAATTTTATGGCTTATCTTATTTAACTTTCATTTCTTATGGATGATTATCCTTTATTTCTTGATATCTTGTTCAATGTGTAATGTCTGATGTCTGATATCTTGAAAACCACTCTCTCTCATATTTTGTCCATTTTTGTTTTGCTGCTGTTTCAGGTGGCAGGTTAATCCATTGTGGCTAGCAGCAGAGATTCAGCTGCATTACTGTTATTGAAAAAAATGCAATGAAATCCATTTTACTTAATTTCCCATTAATAATTTCCAGGCTGGGTGAGGAAGATATGTAGACATAACCCAAAGTAATTTATGAAATAATTTCATTTATTAATAAAATACTGGTGGCTTTGATCTTGCTATTAACTGATTTCTTTCAGAAGGCTTCCTATAAGGTACTTAAATGCCTAAAATATTGTTTTATATATAATCTTTTGGTAGAGAAACCAACCATATCAGAACCAAACCTTGGCATGTTTGATATACCCAATTTTATTGTGAGTGATCCATGCCTTTAGCAGTAGATGGAACACTGCATTTATAAGCCAGATTCCACTTGAAATAAGTGATTTGATTCACAAAAGAATTTGCATCACTTCATGTGATTCCTGATCAATAATATTACCAATGGATTTTGTTGTACTCAGACTCAACTACCTAACTCTCTGTCCACATAAAATTACATAAACAAATTTTAAATTAAAGTTATTTTGAATATCATTACATGTAAAAAGTGTCAATATGCCTATCAACACGGGAAGGATGACTAACCTTTCACAACATAAATGACAATGTCTTATATATTGAGATTAGAATCTATCGGGTATGGAGATTTAGTCTGAGGATTGGCTTGAAAAACTTGTTTCAAGAAATCTCAAGTAACGCTAATGAAAATGATAATTTCTGATGGATCAATTATTTGCATAAAGCATAGTTTCATAAATTGTGTATAAATTGAAACAATTTTAGTTAAACATATATTAACTTTAACTCATTATAACAATAAGTGCATTTTTACTTAAAGTAAAGAAACACTACACTGTTTCTAATCTGAAAACCCTAGCCACAGTCTCCCCTAGATCACAGCTTTTTTCACGAAAAACAAAGTGTTATACCACTGTGTATATAAAGCACTATTTCCACATGTAAGGAATGGAATGGCCTTCTGAAAGAAAATTGTTATTCATTTCGATCTACATCTTTTAGACAAGTTCAATCTCAGAGGTAGATATTGCTTAAAATGCTTTCTTCAATTTCTCTGGAGGCTTCCTTTTGAAGGTTAGGTGAATATCAAAACGTTACCCTTTGTTTTTCTTTTGATATCTATGTGTATCATGAGATCCCACATATTCTACTTTGAAGCTGTGCTTTCTGCTGTTTTTGGGCTGCTTGTATCCCCTTCTAGTCCAGCTTGCTTTTGACTCTTTTCAACTTTTTCTTTCAGCTCTTTATCTGTGCAATTCCTTGGAGTCTCATGTTGAAAAGACATGAAGACATGACTTCACTGCCAGCTTTAAAAAGTCACAAATGAAATGAGCTCAGGAACTTGAGATACCCTGGCACCTCCTAAATGCAGTTTTGGCAGGCAATTACATAAGCCCATGAGGACCTGGTAAAGTAAGAAAGTAATGGGAAATAGTGACTGGAATATCAGAAAAGAGACTCAATATTAATTTAATGGATTTACATTATTGATTTTGTTCCTTAGAATATGCTTCAAAGAAAGTAAAATCTATTATTCTATAACAATATTTTGAAATCCAATTACAAACCATATCATAATAAAATTCCTGGAACATAAATAACTTGAGAGGATATATTTTGATGAATTTAATATCAAAAGTAAGAAAAAAGTACAGTTCAGTGACAAACTTTGAACTCCTAAATTTTGGAGGCTAATTTACAAAAAAAATTCTATAATTAAAATCAGTAAATAATAGCATATGTATCGTTTAACATGTTAATTAATAGCCAGAGTAAATCCCTGCACACTATGGTATTGTTACCTTAGTGAGTCATAGGATGTAAGCATAATAAATAACTGTACATTTGGCATAATAAATGTGTAAAATAAGTACTTCAGACGTCATTATTTAGCAGTTTAAAAATGATGCCAACTGCATATGGAATATTTAATGAAGTTTTCTTGTGGGAATACAGAAATTGATTTTATCAAAGGATTAAACAGATTTTTTAAAAAAAGAAAGCTCTAAGCAAAATGTGTCAGGTCTTTGCAAAATATGATGATGGCAAAGCTCAAGGAAAATTAACAAAAAATCCAAAATTGCTAAATTTGTATAAATAATCCTCGGCACAGCTAAACATTACAACATATGATGGTCTTCTTGAAATTTCATTCTAGCCACCCCTGTGTGTACCCTACCTTCTCAGTTGGCAGGACCAAGCATGAACTATGTGCTGTAATAGTCTTCAATTTTTTTTTGTCATCTTAAACTTAGGGCAGTTTGCTGTATTTAAGTTTATGCATGCCTCTCTTGACTACAAAAAGAGACCATAGTCCATATAGCCTTAAAAGTGCGAGATCTAGGAGTATGTGTCCCTAGATCCAGATTTTATTCCACCACCCACCCACTGTGTATAACATGGGATAAATAGTTGACTTCAACAAATGTTGGTTTTCTCATCTATCACACAAAACTATTTATAGAAAAAAATGCATTATGGTGTGTATATAAATGATATGTGCATAAACACACAATGTGCATGACAGTATCTCATGTTGTACTGGATGGATGCACGCCATCTGCACGTTTAATTCCTCCTTTGTGATCCCAAATTAAACATTTCAAAAGGACCTCCCATTACATCTACTGACCAATTTACATCCAGTTACAGTATTTTGCTCATTGCCTAGTTGTACCCAAAACTAAAAATCTAAATATCCCTATGCACTATTTATGATCTCCATTCTGAAGGCTAAATATTGAATCCTGAAAAGTATAAAGTAACTATTTACTGGCTCACCATATTAAAGGGAATAAAATTCTACTAGTTACATTTTCAAAAATTCCCTATGAAGACTCCATAACACAATTTTGGCTTTAATTCTGCCATAAGATATACTTTTTTCATTTATTTCCCTTTTTATTTAGTTTTCACAGCAGAGATGTTTAAACCTGCCTAGATTCTTAGTGGATGTTAGTAACATCCAAAAAGAACAAAAACTATAAAAATCTTATAAAAGCTTAGTGACAAATAGAGGAATCTTCCAAGGGACTCTTTCTTTACAGAGCATCCAATTGGCAATGCATCCCACTATCATTTAACTGGCACTTTCAGAAAGCTAGAACATTTTGAGTTGGTTGCCCAAAGCTGCTATAACATGGATTTAATTAGCAATGGTGGGATAGCTTGCCTGATTAACTTGTCCACAGATAACCAATATATACTCTGGAAAAATATATACCCAATAACTGCTTGAAGGTTAAAGAGAGACTTAATGAGTCACTGAAAAAGGTAGGAATTGATGAAGAGTGGATGCTAGAGGAAGAGGAACTGTACTGAGTGAGATTTGCCTATTTATGTCTTCCTGCCCAAGAGAAAATCCAGTCCTCACTGTGTAATATGAGTGTATAGAGTGCTCCTAAATCTGCATTATATGCTCTGCATACATCCTTTTCTGATCACTGAACTGTACCTACATGCAGGAAACTTCAATTTTTCCAAGAAAAGAGCCACATCCAGAAGTCTAAAAGAAAAAGTAGGTATTTTAGTTACCGCCCACCAGACGGGAGACAGACTTTGGAATTTAAATTGAATAGAGTTACTGACATCTAGAACAAAAATAACACTATTGAAAGAAAGATAACAGAAATGAATTATCTACAATTATATCATCTACAATGTTAAACCTTTTATAAATCTATAGAAAATCATAGAAATATGGGTAAAGAGATGAATAATTTATGAATGATAATGGAAACAAGAACAATGACTATATGGTAATTCTAGAAATTAAAATACACTTTATGAAATGAAAACTTGCACTCATTTTCTTAATAACAGATTATAGATGGAAGAAGAATGTGTTAATGAACTTGACACACAACAACAGAATTATCTGATCTGTGGAACAGAAAGACGAAGGATTTTTGAAAAAGTAAAGAGGGTTTTAATGGCCATGAGACAAAATAAAAGGTCTAACTGATTTTTATTTGACGTTTTGAAATGATATCGAGAAAAAGGGGCGGAAAATACTTCGTAATATGTTGAAAAATTTATAAATTTTATATAAAAAATTTACTTATATTAAGGGTCTAAGTGAACTCTAAACAGGATAAATGCAAAGTAAGCTACATCTAGGTATATTACAAAATAAAATTGCTGAAAACATAAGATAAAAAAGAAAATATTGGGGAAGAAAAATCTAGAGAAAATAGGACAATTTGCATATAGAATAACAAGGATATAAATATCAGCTTATTTCTTGTCAAAAACAATGGAGGCCAAAGGCTACTGTACCAATTTCTTTAATTCCTAGAGAGGAAAGAAACGTCAACCTAGAAATCTATATCCAGTGAAAATATCCTTCAATAAAGATGAAAAACTGACAAAATCAAGGTATTGTCAGACAAAAACTGCAGTCATAGTTGAAGATTGTTAAGAAGCTACTCAGAATCAGACAGAACTACTAGAAAAAAATAGAGAAAGATAAAGAATATGTGATCAACACTACCAAATGTCAAAGAGAAAACTCACATTTTTAAGTAAACTTAAAATATTCATCAAAAACAGAATAAATGTTGGGCCATAAAATGTCTCATTGATTTTCTAAAGATTTTAAGTGTGCAGAGTGTGTTGTCTGGTGAAAATGGAATTACATTAGAAATCACTGGCCGGGTGCGGTGGCTCACGTCTGTAATCCCAGCACTTTGGGAGGCAGAGGCGGGCAGATCACTAGGTCAGGAGATCGAGACCATCCTGGCTAACACGGTGAAATCCCGTCTCTACTAAAAATACAAAAAAATTAGCCAGGCGTGGTGGCAGGTGCCTGTAGTCCCAGCTACTCGGGAGGCTGAGGCAGGAGAATGGCGTGAACCCGGGAGGCGGAGCTTGCAGTGAGCCGAGATCGCGCCACTGCACTCCAGCCTGGGCGACAGAGCAAGACTCTGTCTCAAAAAAAAAAAAAGAAATCACTAACAATAAGATACCTAAAAAGCTTCCTCAAATAATTGGAAAGTTTAAAATAATAACTTCTACCTTGATTAATGTTTATAGGCACTTGAAAACAATGTGTATTTTCTTCTTGTTAAGTGGAATGTCAATTAGGTCAAGTTGATTGACACTGCTAAGTTTTTTATATCTTTACTGTCTATTAGTTCTACAAATTTATTATTAACTGAGGAAGAACATTAATATCCCTAGCCATAATTGTGAATTAGTCTATTTCTGCTTTCAGTTCAGTTTTTGATTCTTGTTTTTTGAAGCTCTATTATTATGTGCATATTCACTGAGGATTTTTTTTTTTTAGCCCTCTTGATGAGTTGACTGCTTTATCATTATAGAATTACCCGCTTTGTTCCTGGCTATATTTCTTGTTTTAAAGTCCATATTATGTGATACTAATATTAGCCTCTACAGGTTTATTTTGATTAGTGTTTTTATGGCTTTTTCTTTTCCATCTTTTGGACCTTTTATCAGTCAGGTTTACAATGTAATAATTTATATATAGTTACATTTGCTGTTTTTACTAGTACAGTCTCAGGGTTTTAACAAATATTTGGAGCCATGCAACCACTAAGGCAATCAAGGCATAGCACAGAATCAAGGCATAGCACATATCAAGGCATAGCATCATTCCCAAATATCCCACCTGCCAGGTTACAGTCAGTCCTCTCGCCTTGCCTCAATTCCTGGCAACCCGCAATATTAATTGTCTTCTAGAATGCTATATAAATGAGATAATGTAGAATTTAATTTTTGTTTCACAGCTCTTGCATGTAACATTGCTTTTTAGTTTTATCCTTATTACTATATGTATAAGTAAGTTTTGTTAATGCTAACTAGTATTTAATTGTGCGAATTTACCACAGTTTGTTTACCATGGATCAGTTGATAGGCATTTGGGTTGCTTCCAGTTTTCAGCAATTATGAATAAAGCTGCTATGAACATTTTTGTGCAGGTCTTTGTTTGGACTTATGTTTCTATTTCTCTTGAGTAAATGTCTAGAAGTGAGCATGTTGGATCATATGGTAATTGTGTGGTATTATAAAACACTATCCAATATTCTTCAGAGTGCTTCTAACTATGCAATTCTGACACTAATGAATGTTCAGTTATTTTATATCTTCACCAGAACTTAAAAAATTACCGCTGGTAAAGGTGTGTTCTGTTTTCTCATTTCGTTTTCCTGATGATTATTTATACTGGGCATCTTATGCTTGGTTGCTTAGCATCTGTTTAAAATTTTTTTCCCACTAAAAAAGATAAAACTAAGTTATTGTTTCAGAATTGTAGACATATGTTGTGTATTCTGGATACAAGACTATTATCAGGCACATGTTTTTCAAATATTATTTACAGTCCATTTCTTAAGTTTATTTTAAAGTGTAAATTTTAAAAATTGTTGATAAAGCCCAATTTATCAGTGTTTTCTCTGATATTTAATTTATATAGTGTCATTCATAAGAAATTTTTGCCTAACCTAAGGGGAAAAATATTTTCTCTAACATTTATTTTTGAACATTTATTGTTTTAAGTTTTACATTTAGGTTTATAAACCAGGTAGAGCTTTTTTTTTTTTTTAACTTGGTGTGAAGTCAGGGATGATTGTCAAATGTTGAAGTTACCTTGCATATATTGGAGAAACCACATTTGGTCATGAAGTATTTTCCATTTAATGTATTTCCAGATTCTTGCTAACATTTTTAAAACTATGTTTGCATCTAAATTCATGAGAGATGTATATCTATAGTTTTCTGATCTTTCTTTTCTTCCTCTCTTCCTTTCTCTTTCTCTTCCTATTATTTCCTCCCTCTCCCTGCCCTTCTCTCTCTCTCTCTCTCTCACACACACACACACACACTCTCTCTCTCTCTCTCTGTAGCCCATGGTCTGACAATCAGGATACTTTTTTAGTATTTTGAGAATTATAATAGACTTTGTCATTTCAGCCATGATTTTAGATCAACTCAAGTCTATTGTTAGCGCTTCTTTCCTTCCAACAGTGGGGTGTGGATGAAGGAGGAGTATATATCTTAGTTTATAGCCTAATGAGGGAAACCTTAGTAGCATTGCCATTAATATCAGTAACAAGACAATGTTACCCACCATCTCTGTTATTGGCCAACATTGTTTTGTAGGACACTCAGTGCCCCCCACCCTTTGTACTTCTTTTCCTATTCACCTCCCAATTGCCAAAAAGTATTTGTCCTTTTCTTTCTACCTTTATTAACTTCCCCCAAATAAATTAATCTTGTCAAAGTTCATGTACTTTTAAGTCCTTCTCCTGTAGTCCATAGTCTAATCATTTAGAGCACTTATTCAGGATTTCCAGAATTATGATGGACTTCGTCATTTTGCAATTGTTATAGATTTAGCCTTCAGTCTATTGCTAGCTTTGCAGATCTGATTTCCGAGAGAGGATGGGAGAATAGGGTAAGAAATCGTGCACTGATTTAAAAAAAAAAAAACCTCACAGTTAATTTGATGTTTTGTCATATCTCAGTTATGTCAAGGGTGTGGAATATGTGCTGTTTTCTTTTTCCCTTCCTATTTTGATTTTGGAAGACATAGTGAAAGAAGGGAGCTAAGCAGCTGCCTTTGTCTCCAGCTCCTCAGAAGTTCCCATTATCTCTTAGATTATTTTAAATGCAAAACAAAACAAATCTTTTGCCCTGTTTTTAATTTTCAAAATTGTTTTCTTGAAGAAAACCCTTTAAGATTTTTTGTAGTGCATGTCTGCTAGTAGATAAATTCTATCAGCTTTTGTTTGTTTAAAAAAAGTCTTCAGTTTATGCATAGAATTCTAAGTTGACAGAATTGTTCAATACTTGAAAAATTTCACTGCAGTGTCTTCTAGTTTGCACCATGGCTAGCTAATAACCTACTCTCATTCTTATCTTTGTGACATTGCATATAATTTGTATTTTGTTCCAGCTACCTTTAAGTTTTTTCTATTTATTACTCCTCTTAAGCAATTGAGCTTTGATATGGTTTTGGGTTTATGCCAGAAAGTCAAATTATATCAATATGTATCTAATTTATTCAAGTTTAGTATAACCTTTCTCTATAATAAATCCACAAAGTGTTGAAAAGTTTAAATAAAGTAAATTAGGTTTTGTTGACAAAATCATATAATAGTGGAGTCTAGTGAATGTTACACATAAGTCTTCCATTCTTGGCTTTGCAACCTGATATTTATATAATCTTTGGAAAATAATTTGTCTTCCTTAAATAAGTTACTTAGACAATCTTTTCCTGAGCTCCTATATTACTCTCACTTAACACACTTTTTGTAATTTCTAATCATTTGTCTTATATATTCATTAATTTGAGCAGTATTTAATTTGAAATTTTCTAACCTTAGACTTGAAAGTTTCATCTGGCCAGATACATCTATCATATTAGAGATGCAAATGATAACACTTAAATTAAAATAGAATTTTGTTTTTAAAAAAATTTTTAAATAATTCATAAATCATATTTTTGTTGAAAGTTTAAATCTTAGTGTGGAAATCTTATAATCTTATAAAGTGAATTATATGTTGTAGGCAATTAACTCTGCTAACCATAGCTTAGTTTTTTCAAGCTGTAGGGGCCTTTGTGTGACATTCACTGTTTGATGAGATTAACATATAATCTGGCCAGACGGGGCCTATTCTCATATTCCTATAGTTTATTTTAGTTTCATAAATATATATGTATGGAATAAAACTGATAACATTCCTGAAAATTAATGATTCTGTTGTTTATTAGGGATAAGTGAACAAACAAATCTGGAATATGATACTAAGCCTATTTTGGTATGAATACAATTTTTTGAATTTTTGATATCAACAAATATTGAGTGCAAAATCCTTCAGAGACAACAAAGATAATGGCATGTCTCACAGAAAGAAGACTAAACCCTGTTTAATCAGTTATTAAATATGTAAATGTGACTAAAGTGCAATATGATTTACAACAGCATTTCAAGTTCTTAGTGTTTTATTGCATTCCCATTCCATGGAAATATTTTCTGATAGATATATTTCAAATTTCACTCGTGTTAGGGAAAATTATTTTCCTGACCAAAATCAAAGTGGCAAGTGGATTCTTTTTGCACTAATAATACAAAACAAAAATAATATTGCATTACACTATTGTCTTTTTATTCAACAAATAATAATTGTGGAACTCTGAAGAACTATAGTGTAACAAAAATAAATTGCACATTCTTTACCTTTTAGAAACTTTTCACCTCCTCAGATTTTCTAGTTAGTCTCTCAATTTTAGCACAGAGTTATGTATTTTAGGCCTGTGATAATATCTTTTTTATCTTAGCATATTTATCTTTATTAAAAAATACATACATTTGGGGATATAAGAAATCACTGATTAATTCCCACTGCTGAATATACAATAAACTGCCTAATTTTACTGAAAATGAGATAGTTCAATAGTAGGAAGATTCAGTAGCTTCCCATCTACTTAAAATGGTATGGTGGCAGGGAGTCAGTTGTCAACTGATAGAGGAACCTACATTTAAAAGTCTTTGCCTACTGTCTACACAATTTGGTTTTGAACTCTGATTTGGTTATATATTCCTCACTGAGGTCCTCCTGTCTCAGCCTCCCATGTAGCTGGAACTACAGGCACATGTCACCATGCCTGGCTATTTTTTTTATTTTTTGTAGAGGTGGGGGTCTTGCTATGTGGCCTGAACCTATCTCAAACTTCTAGACTCAAGCAATCTTCTTGCCTCAGCCTCCCAAAATGCTGAGATTACAGGCATAAGCCACACCTGGCAAATTTATGTATTTGTTTATTTATTTTGTGAAAACAGGTTTCACTATGTTGCCCAGGCTGGTCTTGAACTCCTGGCCTCCAGAGATCCTCCTGCTTTAGCCTCCCGAAGCACTGGGATTACAGGCATGAGTCACTGCTCCTGGCCCTCCTCAGAGTCTTAATATTGTTGTGTCAAAATGTTATCTTAGAGTTGTTAAAAGGAACTATCTTAAAGAATATGCTTAAGATGCAAACCTTCTGTCAATTCCCCTTTATCTGTTTCTGTGTGTGTTTGAGGTTAGAAGTTGAAGAGGACTACTTAGCATGTAGCTGAAGCAATGTAACTCCTCTATGAATTTTGGCCCAGCTCACCAGGAAATACACTAGGATTTAGAAAAATGCTTTGAAGTGACAAAATGTAGACATTTACCTGGACTTTTACCTTTTATGTTGAATTGCCTAGGACTTGGGAAATGGTGGTTGCAATAGGAAAGTTAAGAACAAATGTCATCTATCAAATTATTATTATTCATATTATTTAGAAAAACACTTCTTCATTCTCATACCTTTCCAGGTTTGGATTCTAATTTCACCATTCTAGGAACTCCTCACCTCCTCAGACTTGTCTACATGGTTTCTTAATTTTAACACAAAGTGATGTATTTTCGGCCTGTGATAATCTTTTATACTTAATGCTAGTCTACATGACTTAATCTCAGATCTGTGAAATGAGGATAAAAAAACTACCCAATACAATCCAATACAATTTTGTTAAAATGAAATGATTTACTCTAGGCTCTATATATAAAGTGCTTAGACAAGTGGCTAGCACTTAAGGGTATACAAACACACACATATGAATGTATGTATAACTGTGTATATTTGTATATAATAACAAATATGTATAGACATGTATATATATTTGTATATATGTATATATATTTGTATATTTGTATGTAATAACAAATGTGTATGTGTATATATATTATCTCCCTAAATTGGTTGCAAATTTCTCAAGGGCAACAAATAACATTTTCTACTTTGTTTGTTTGTTTTTCTCATATAATTATTATCCTTCTAAGAACACAGAAAGGACCCAAAAGCTTGCATAAAGACTAAGCAGGAACATATTAAAGTGAGTCTCACTGTCTCAATCATTGTGCTGGGGATTTTATGGTTATTTCATCTAATTCTTTTAACAATTATTGAAGCAATTATTTTTAGGCACATTTTAAAGATAAGAAAATTGGCCTTAAGTAATTTCTCTCAAGCTTGCAAACCTAGGACATAGCATAGCCTAGTTTGCAGCATATTTTATTCTTATTCCATATTCATTGTTCTTTTCACACATCATCATTGCCAAATCTGCCTAATTGAATTAATGAATATGTGAAGAATCTATGTCAAAAGATTCACACTTCCCTATGCTTTTATAACAAAGGCTTTTTGTTTTTAAATTTAGGACTTTTTAGAAAATGAGAGCCAACACTGTAGATAATAAGAATGATATTTGGATCATACCATCTACAGTGAAGAGAAATGTTCAAATTATGGTTTATTATTCCTTGTATTCAGAAGCCTCAAAAAAAAGAAACATAATAAAATAGATCCTTAAGTTTGGTTTAAGAAGTAACATTCTTTGAAATAGTTGTGTTTTGTATAAGATACTAAATTTAAATAATTCTTGGCTAATTTAATATTTGACTTTTTGTTTAATCCATTCAGTGTTTACCAGATAATTATTGTCCAATTTTTTTCTATTAATGTACTTGATAATAAGAGTAAGAATGAAAGAATCATTAGTACGAGACTACTAGATTTCCAGAGTTTTATGTCTTAAAATTCCCTAAAACCTGTGAATGTTACTTTTGATTTTAGAAAATTATATTACAAATTGTATTCTATTAGAGCCAAAAGGTAGTCTGAAAGGAATGGTCATTATGCTCTTATATTCAAAAATTATAATTGATATGATAAACTGCAAATTTAAACTTTAGAAATAGAGTAAAAATTATGTATATATATAATTTATACTAGACAAATTAAAAAATTTACATTAAAACTCTTACAAACATCAGACACACAGACAGTCATATTTGCATCAATTTAATGTAAATACAAGTGAACAAACAGAAAACATTCAGGATGGCATTCATAAAACATCTTCTGAGTACCCAGAAAGCTCTAGGTAAATTGGAAAACCTGGCAAAATTTTTCACATAATTTAATTGATATTCGGTAAATTAGAAATAAATGAGATTTTGTTTAGTTTCTTTAATAATGCTTTATAAATCTAGTATACCACCTTATCTCAGGCATCAAAAACTATATTATTATTTCTATTTGAATATGGATACATGCATGTAACACTTTTCTGTTATGACATTCACTAATCCTTCATATAATTACAGAAGTAAAAAACTGACACGTGAAGATTTGTTGTAATCGATTTTACTACACTTTATACTGGTAATAAACATCTCAACTGTATAATTCCTACTTTTTTCAATGTCAGAAAAATGACACACACACACAAACCCGTGATTCATTTTGAATTATGCTTATTGAAGTTTTAAAAATAAAATATTGATTGGGAAGAACTTGAAAATAGAGCTTGACCTCCAAATATATCCATATCCTAATCCCTGGAACCTGTGAATGCTACCTTATATGGCAAAAAGGACTTTGATTAAGTTAAAGATCTTGATGTGGAGGGATTATCTGGATTATCCATGTGGGTCATAAACATCATAACAAGTGTGTCCTTATAAGAGGGAGGAATGGAAGAGAAGATGAGAAAGCAATGCAATGTCAGACATAGAGATGAGAGTGATGTGGCAGGCAAGAAGCCACGGATTTCCAGTACCTGCCAGAAGCCAGAAACAGCAAGCAATTTTCTCCTTAGAGACTCCAGAAGGGCTAAGCCCTGCTGACATCTTGACTTTACCCCCAAAAAAGTGACTTCTAATTTCTGGACTTCAGAAGTGTGAGAAAATAAATGTGTTTCAAGACACCAAATTTTTGGTATTTATCACTGTGGCCACAGAAAACTAATACAAGAATTTACTTTTTTTTTTTTTAAGTAGTCTTTGCTTACCCTGTTCCCCCTCTGACTTTACTAATTCAGCATTTCCCTACACTTAAGTAAATTTTCACTCCTCATTTTATTTCTTGTTCCCGTTTTCTTCTTCTTCTACTACTACTGCTATTACTAATACTGCTACTACTACTGTTACTATTACTACCACCACCACGGAAAATAATAGATAATGGCGAGTATTTATTGAGTGCTTACTATATGGAAGGCACTGCTCTAAGTGATTTAAAAATTCATTTCACAAAAAACTCAGTCAGGTTTTTATTCACATCTCATTTTAGGAATGAAAAAATCAGAGATATAAGAAGCTAAAGTAACTGTGTTAAATTAAATAGATACTAAAATGAAGAATTAGGATTTGGAACCCAAGCAGCCTGGCTCCAATGTTCACTGCTTCCCGTGGATCCAAACCAGATTTGGCTTTCAAATGACAGGGAAAACAACAACTAATTCAAAAAACAAAACTTAGTCTTAATTGAATACTTATTCATGTTCTGCTTCCTACCTTTTTCTGAATTCCTAGTCTTTTTTTTTTTTTTTAATTCTTTTCTTGTCATCCAGGCTAGAGTACAGTGGCACAATCATAGCTCACTGCTGCCTTGAGATCCTGGGCTCAAGCCATCCTCCCATCTTGGCTTACCACATAGCTGAGACTATAGACCTTGCCAATAATTAAAAAAAAAAAAATGTACAGAAGAGGGCTATTGGTATGTTGCAAAGGTTGGTCTTGAACTCCTAGCCTCAAGTGATCTTACTGTCTTACTGCCTCAGCCTCCTGCCTCACCCAGACACAAGCCACCACTCCTGGCCTAGTTAATATTCTTTGTTTACATTTCTTATAATTGTATTACACAGTTTCATAATATTTATGTATCATAGTGATACAGAAGGGGGCAGTAAAGTGCTGGGAGGAGAAGGGTGGGTCCCTGGTGAGGGCTCCATCCCCAGGCTTCTGCCCATGGACCTAGGTGAGGGCAGGCACTCCTGCCTTTGCACCCAAATGTTGCATTTCTTGAGACCACCCTGGCCTACCACACCCCATCGTGTGCCTGTAAAAACCCTGAGATCCTAGTGGACACAGATACAAGTGGCTGAATGTTGACAGAACACACAAGTGTGAGAACACACAACAGCTGTATGTCAAGAGTAATGCACCGGTGTAAGAGCAAACCGACAGGCACCAGCAGGCTGTCAGGCCATAGACCAGTGGAATGACGTGGAAGGGTTGGAGGAGAGCCCCGCCAATGAGAAGCCCAACTCCAGGGAAAAACCACCACCTTCCCACTCCATCTCCCTTCTGGCTCTCCCATCTGCTGAGAGTTACTCCCACTCAATAAAACCTTGCACTCATTCTCCAAGCCCACGTGTGATATGATTCTTCCTCTACAGCATGGCAAGAACCCCAGAATACAGAAAGTCCTGTGTCATTGAGGTAAGGCAGAGGGTCTAATACAGCTGATTAACACAAGCCACGTACAGACTGCAAAATAAAAGATTACTCTGTAACGCATGCCCCCTGGGGCTTCAGGAGCTGTAAGCATTCACCCCTAGAGGCTGCCATGGTGTTTGGGGCATGGAGCCCCAAAACTTGCCCATCTGCATGCTCCCGTAGAGGTTTGATCAGTGGGTCACTGAAGAAGCCAGCCACTGCCCCTGTCTCATGCCCTGCAAGGGGTATAAGGGAACTTTTCTCATTTCAACAGTATAATATTTTAAGTATAAAATACTTCCTCAATATTTGAAGATTAGTACTCTCAAGAAGAAAAACAAAAGAACATGTTTGAAAATATTAGGTTGATACAGAAGTAAGAGTAGTTTTTGCATTGTTGTAATTTGCCATTTGATATTGGAATACATTCTTAAATAAATGGGGTTATGTTATACATCCTTTTAATGGGGCATTTCTCACTGTATTTTTTTTTTTGCTAATGACATTACTTGCTGGTTAATTTGTATTTATTTTAGACTATGGAAATGATGTTAGACAAAAAACAAACGAGTGATTTTCTTATTTGAGTTCAAAATGGGTGCTAAAGCAGCAGAGACAATTTGCAACATCAATTCATTTGGCCCAGGAACTGTTAACAAACATGGAGTACCGTGGTGGTTCAAGAAGTTTTGCAAAGGAGACGAGAGTCTTGAAGATGAGGAGCATAGTGGCTGGCTATTGGAAGTTGACAATGACCAATTGAGAGCATCATTGAAGCTGATCCTCTTACAACTACACGAGAAGTTGCTGAAGAACTCAACGTCAACCATTCTATGTCGATTGGCATTTGAAGCAAATTGGAAAGGGGAAAAAGCTTGATAAGGGGGTGCCTCATGAGCTGAGCAAAATAAAAAAAAATCATTGTTTTGAAGTGTCGTCTTCTCTTATTCTTTGCAACAACAATGAATCATTTCTCAATTGGATTGTGATGTGTGCTGAAAATGGATTTTATGCAACAACTGGTGACAACCAGCTCAGTGATTAGACCGAGAAGAAGCTCCAAAGCACTTCCCAAAGACAAACTTGCACCAGAAAAAGGGTGTGGTCACCGGTGGTCTGCTGCCAGTCTGATTTACTACAGCTTTCTGAATCTCAGCAAAACTATTACATCTGAGAAGTATGCTCAGCAAATCAATGAGATGCACCAAAAACTGCAATGCCAGCAGCTGACATTGGTCAACAGAAAGGGCCCAATTTTTCACGACAATGCCCAACCACTTGTCGCACAGCCAATGCTTCAAAAGTTGAATGAATTGGGCTAGGGAGTTTTACCTGAACCGCCATATTCACCTGACCTCTTACCAACCAACTACCACTTCTTCAAGCATCTTCCACAACCAGCAGGATGCAGAAAATGCTTTCCAAGAGTTTGTCGAATCCTGAAACGTGGATTTTATGCTACAGGAATAAACAAACTTATTTCTCATTAGCAAAAATGTGTTGATTATAATGGTTCCCATTTTGATTAATAAAGATATGTTTGAACCTAGTTATAATGACTTATAATTCATGGTCTCTAACTGCAATTACTTTTGCACCAACCTAATATAATCTTGGAATAATCTGTTGAGAAGTTTGTTCCTTTCCGAAGAGACAATCGCTTTCTACATACATATGCATTTATGGAAAAACAACTTTATAATGAAAAGCAAAAAGCATTTTCTGAATGATCAGTAAGATTTTACTCTTTCTGGAAATCATAAACTTGAACTGTCAATGGCTAATTTAGGCACTACTTTTGTGAGCTAAATTTCCTTCCTAAGAGATTTAAAAACTAAATCTGCTTAATTTTCTCTGCAATCATTTCTTTTGTCTTAGTCTGACTCTTTGTACCTTTTATTCACACCCTGTGGTTTCTATAATTAACATATTTTGTCATTAACAAACCAAATTATTGTTTATTAATGTTAGGACAGATCTCACTGATAAGGAAGCTTAGAAATAGGCTGCCTGGACTCCACAGACATGTGCCAAAGTCATTGGTCTATCTTGCTCATTAAGCTTTCTTAAAACACAGGTAAAGGTGCAAGAATAGTGAACTATGGGTTAAAACAACAGAAAGTGATAGGTGGATTTGGACAAAGGAACATTTGATAGGGAAGTAAGAGTGGTAAACAGGGGAGACGATAATTCTAGGTAGAGAAAATCGCAATCACAAAAGAAGGTCCTGAGAAAGTCACTGTGGTTGCAAAAGAGAAAATCAGAATGAGTGACCCTGTATGGAATGGAAGATCCCTGGGGCAGATCATGTTCTCCCTTTAAGCCACAGTAAGCAATTTGATTTTATTTTAAGTCTGAGAAGAAACCATTGAATATTTTGAACAGGAAAATGATTTAATATAATTCACATTTTAAAGGAATCTTTCTGGAGAATAGCCTGTAGAAAACTAAGAAAGCTGTTAGCGTAGTTAGGAGGCTGTTGTCCTGACTTGGGTAAGAAAAATGAAGACGTAGTAAGAAATGGTTGCATCTGTCTTATTGGAAGGGGGTGGTGATACAGTTTCTAAGGGATTCAGTGTGTAGCGTAAGAGAAATAATCACCAGAGGATTTGACTTATGCAACCAAGAAAAAAAATGACACATTTATTGAGAAGAAAGACACTGGGGAAGGAATAATTTGAAGATAGAATCAGAATTTATAGAGCCAGAGATGATTGGCTCATGCCTGCAATCCCAGTGCTTTGCAAGGCCAAGGTGAGAGGATAAGTTGAGGCCAGGAGCTCCAGATCAGCCTCCACAGCATAGTAAGACCCCTCTCTAAACTAACACAGGAACAGAAAACCTAATACCACATGTTCTCACTTACAAGTGGGAGCTAATTGATGAAAACTCATGAACACAAGGGAAATACAGACACTAGGGTCTGCTTGAGGAAGGAGGGTGGGAGGAGGGAGAGGAGCAGAAAGGATAACTATTGGGTAGTGGGCTTAATACCTATGTGATGAAATAATCTGTACAACAAACTCCCGTGATATGCATTTACCTATGTTACAAACCCTCACATGTACCCTGAACCTAAAGTGAAAGTTTTAAATAAATAAATACATACAAACATGGCAAATATTAAAAAAATATATATCCCGGTGTGGTGGCATTTTCCTCTAGTCCCAGCTACTCAAGAGAGTGAGGCAGGAGGATGGCTTGAGCCAGGCATTTGAGGTTGCAGTGAGCTATGTGAGTGCAGTGACAAAGTGAGACCCTTTCTTAAAAATAAATAAATAAATAAAATAAAGAGGGCCAGGCATGGTGGATCATGCCTGTAATCCCAGCACTTTGGGAGGCCGAGGCGGGAGGATCAGGAGGTAAGGAGATTGAGACCATCCTGGCTAACACGGTGAAACCCTGTCTCTACTAAAAATACAAAAAATTAGCTGGGCGTGGTGGTGGGCACCTGTAGTCCCAACTACTCGGGAGGCTGAGGCAGGAGAATCGCTTGAACCTGGGAGGCGGACATTGCAGTGAGCCAAGATCACGCCACTGCACTCCAGCCTGGGCGACAAGAGCGAGACTCCGTCTCAAAATAAAATAAAATAAAATAAAATAAAATAAAATTTAAAAATAAATAAAATAAAGAGAAACAGAACTTATAAAACTTTATATTCCAACAATTATTCATTCTCTCACTCATTTATTAATATTATTAATATTCTTTTCAAGTTACTTTGTTGTCATTGGATAAGGCAAAGGAAGCCATGAACACTTTATAACCTACTTGGGGAAAGTAGACATTGTTGTTCTTGTTTTCTAGCATCAAATTCCTGTGTTGTTACTACCATTATCAAAAATATTATTTGTTTGGCCATGAAGGTAGGTTTTATCCTAGGGTCACTGTTATAAAGAGCCTTGTTTGTAATTTAAAATCAATTCCAGTTTTAAACCAGTAACAACTCAGACATTGGTTGATTGTATGCAGAAGACTTGCAAAAAATACAGTCACTTTAGACCTGGATTTCTTCTCACCGAGAAATGTTTCTCCATTGTTCTTCAAAACTACTTGTATTTTTGTATAAATTCTTAAAAGGGCCAAATAATAGACTTTTACAGTATGTGTATTAATAATTAGAAAACGGAATATTTAATTATATTTTCCACTTTCCTTGAATGTCTTGAATTACAGTTTTTTATTTTATTAATTTCTACTCAAATTACTCTTTTATTATCTAAATTGTCAAAAAGCTAGTTAAAAGAATTGTCTTTAGTATTGGAAAATAATAGAAAATATTACCAGAAATAATAAAAGAAATTTCCTTAAACACATGAATTTTTTCTGAGATATATTTTGAAGATAACTCATTTATTTTCAAGGAACAGCATGAAATGTTTTACGATGTACTTAGAGCACATTTTAAAATACTAATTGCAAGAGGAGAAATTTCAGTGACTTTCAGTCATTTAAATCAAAAAGTTTAGTAGACCATGGCTAATATTATTTATACCAGTGAGTTCTTGGCTTGGCATTTTCATGGGAGGCATCAGTATTTCATTTATTGATCAAAGAAATAATATTGTAGTATTGTATAAGATGTTGGGCTGCCTTTCTTCAGCTAATTATAAAAGAGCAGCCAAGTTTTGGGGAATTTTGAGCCCACTACTCTGACATTAAACCACAGCATTTCACTTGTGTGTTTGATCAGCTATTGAAGTAACAAAGTTTATAAGGTAGTAAATGATAGATTTTGCTTCGTGTTAAATAAGTATATATTTTTTCTAAACTTAGGAAGAATTACATTAAATACTGTCTGGCAAAGTGTGGCATCAAGACCCACTGCCATGTTAGAAATAAGCTGTTTCTATGACCAAAGATCATATTAGGAGACTGTGGCAAGTGTGTTTAAACCCTTCCTGAGATTCAAGGATATAAATATTTCTTAAATCCTTACTACTTTTATCCCTTTTCCCAAAATATTTTATTTTCAATTTTTTTCTTAGTATCCTTTTTATTATCTTTCTCTGATTGTCATTAACTATTTATTTACTGAACAAATATAGGGGCTAGCACTATTTTGCTTTAAAATTATAACTCACGCTATTACACTGCTACCCTAAAAACCAACAATAGCAACAAAAACAACAAATCAGGGGAGATTCCTTTGCGGTATAACCTACAACTTTTCTCAGCTATTATTTTTATCCAAACATAAACAACAGTTTACTATTCCCTCTTAGACGACTTAGCATTCCCTCTTTCATATTACCAAAGTATTTATTTGTCTTCACGTAGGCCATTACAGATAATTGATATCAGGAGTATTCATAAACTTAACCTGAAAAAAAAAACCCAGAAATATGGTAGCTTCCTGAGAGAATGATAGAATCATGTTACTTCCCTATCTTCAGTTCCTTAGTTTGTAAGGGAAGGGGATTGAATTGGATGAGCTCTATAGTGTCTTCTGCCTCAAAAGTTTTGTTTTTATAAATCCTCTGCGAATTAAAAATTTCTACAATTTTTACAAATTTTAATCCATCCTTGAAATATTCTTAAATATTATACAGAGTATATCACTGAGAAACACATTTCCCTTTTAATAAGCCCTTATGCACATACTAAAGAAATATAGAAAAGCATATCTGCAACATCTAGTGCGGTGAAGCTTAAAAGCAATAATTTGAACAGTTTGTGATTGATTTTGTAAAAATGTATACTCTATCCAGCATTGCTAATTATATAATAGCACTCTTCAGTTTTGGAATGTGAACCCAAACTACCATTTCCACACTTTAATGTTTCTGAATCATTATTAAAATATCTCATTATTATTATATATATTACATCCTCTAGTTTACTGGAGGCCCAAGGGAGGCAATTATTTCACTTGAAATTTGACTGGCAGAATGATGAACTATGAAAATAATCACCATCTGCATGAGTTTTTTTTCACTTGTAATAATAGCAATTATTATTAATAATGCATGTTGCCTAAAAAGGAAAGAAACAACTAACCTTAGTACGGTTATATAATTTCAATATTCAATTCAAGAGACCAATAATTTCGTCTCTATTATATGTAAAACATTATGGTAGCAATGGCAGGGGATAAAAAAATGACATAGGAATTATCTCTGTTCTGAGGTAGAAAGTATTCAAGTAGGAATAACTATAGCCAACATAGAATAAGAAAATGCTTATTACAGGCACAAATAAACATTATGGATTCATGGAAATTATTTTTGGTTGTTGAAGTCATTGTGGGAAAGTTAAACTTGGGTCCAGAATAAGAATTGAATTTGGCAAGGCACTGTTGTGGGACAATATTTTATACACACACACACACACACACACACACACACACACAAACACATACACATACACATACACATATGTATATGTGTATTTCCATGTATATGGAAAGCATGAGATAAGACATGAAAGCATTACTACATAGCGTGTTTTCAGGGAATTGTGAGTATCCCAGAGAACTCACTATGCATAGAACTATACATAGAACTAGACAGGCAGGAGACATAATCTAAGTAAGAGGTAGGTTAAGTCCAGATAGTAGACCACATGGCATAATATGCTAAGTATTTCAATCTTTACTGTTTAACTATACATGAATAATGTACAGCAAGTCTTTAAAATAAACAAACTGGATCTTAGTATATTTACTAACTGTTCTATCAGGAATAAAAAGTTCTTTCATTGTGAAGAAGAAAAAAGAGGAGGAAGAGGAGGAAAGAAGGAGGAGGAGGAGAAAAATGAGGAAGAGGAGGAGCAGCAGCAGCACTGGTAGAATAGAAGCTGCTTAACATAAACAAAATGAGAATATATTAGAAAGGTTGAAAGACTGATAATCAAAATTAAAACTTGAAAAATTAAGCTCAAATTAGGTTCTCATTTGAAACAATAGCATTTTGGGAGGTGATAATATGGCTTCTAACTGAGAACTATGCATTATCTAAATTAAACAAAAAATGAATATAATACTAAAATAATAAAATTTTATGATTTTAACAAAATAATAATGGTATGAAGAAATGCATCTGAAATGGCAGTTGGGATGCTGAGTTAAATATCATGTATGATGATTTTGACCTTACAGACATGTAGATAACCTTTAAGATGTAACTGGAAAAAAAATTGAGTCTGATTTTTTATATATATATACACACACACATATATATGTATATATGTGTGTGCGTATATAAAATTACATATATAACATATATAATTATTTATATATGTGTATGTATATCTATATATTATTGAAATTTGTTACATTAACTTTTAAAAATTATTAATCTCAGTATTTGATTTACAGCACTGTGGTCTCTCCTTTTTCTGGTTATTTATATACATACGTATATATGTGTGTATATAAATATATAATTATATATGGTTCTGTACAATTTAAATATATATTCATTTATATATAATTATATATATTTACACATATATAAACAAATATATAAATATATACAATTTTAATATATTTAAATATATACTTGTATGTAAATAATTATATATTTTATTTATATATAATTATACATATATTATATATAATTATATACACAGATATTTAATTATAATCATATATATTTACATATACAATATATAAAGATATAATTTCATACAGACACATATATAAAAATAATTAACCAAAACAAGGAGAGACCACTGTGCTTTAAATCAAATATTGAGATTAATAATTTTCAAAAGTTAATGTAACAAATTTCAACTCGAGTTTAGGGGATTATGAAAGATACAGTCTAAGCCAATTTATTTTTCTATCTTCTATCAATTTAAGAAAGTTTATCCAAACCTTGCTCAATTTTCAAAATAACAAGCCTGCATTAATTTATTTAAAATTAATTTAATGATATCAATATAGTAATGGCAATTATTTAAAAAGTCAATTAGTACTCTAACTTTTATTTGAGAAATAGAGTGTTTCCTAGCCCCAAACTTTCTTATTCTTCTCAGTCTACTGCTACCAAAAAAATTCATTGTGATGTTTCTTCTGCTAATTGCAAAACATGTCTAAGTGACATGCTGTCATTTTTTTAGGTATTAGCCTGGCCAACCCAGGCCAGAGCATTCGTGTTCCCATATTTACTATAAACAAGCAACTGATAATGGTTCCATACCCAATCTGCATGCACAGGAATCCACCCCAAAGAATATCAGGCACTTTTATTCTATTTTTTAACTTTATTCCTTCCCTGAGGGGAACAGAAATCCCAACTCCTAGAAACCCCAAATACCTACTCTTTTTTCCCTATAATGAAGAAAACATCCTGCTTCTTTACTAGGATTAGGACCTTCCTGCAAGAAAATTAGGTTAACAGGTAAATTGGGAGAGCACATGGCATATCAGTTCTCATCTCTCCGTCCCTCCCCTCACAGGGCTCACACCGTGTCTTCCCCCACAACCATTAAGTAAGGGGTCTGAGTTTTATACATTTCCAAGAAACAAAACTGTCCATTTTAAAGCATATCTTTAGGGGCAATTCTGAATATGTCAAACTGTTAAACTTTTATTGTATTGTTTTCGGATGTCATAATATGTGATGGCTTATATTACATATTAATATCACAAGATTCCCTAGCCAAGTGTTGTCTTAAGCTTTTGAAGTATTGTTGAATGAAATCTAGGGCAAACAAATGTCTTTAAGAACCAAAAGCAGATTTCTTCATCTGCAGCATTAGAATAAAACAGTTTCTTTGTTTTGAGAAATTCTACTAAGTTTAAGTAACTTACTCAATGTCACATAACTTGTAAGCTCAAATTATTGTAATTTGATTTTGTTTTGACAGTGGTTATATGCACATGGACTGTGTAAATATAATACTCATTTAAGGAAGAAGTTATGTCTATACTATTCTTGACTACTTTAGCCACAAGCATATTATTCTGTGTTAATATAAAGTTGTGCTGTATAAGTTAATTATGTGATAATTATATTTACCTACTAAAAATAGCTATAAAACTAAAAATATAGGAAAACTAGAAAGTCAATTAGTTAAACTTTCTACCAATGGAAATGATTCTGTCATTCTTCACTCAATTTGATAGGTTGATCAACATATCTAAATGACAAGATCATTGTTTGTAATAACAAAAATTTAAAATGACTGTGGAAATTGACATGCTTTATACTTTTATATGCAAAAAAGTCTTAGGGAGCTTTCTACATATGTTTCACCACTTGGGTACTTGGCTGTCCTTTATATGCTAACTCATGTTCTCTAGTCACAGAGTGTTCCTTGCTGATATATATCTATATAAATGTATGTGTGAGTATATATATACACACATATATACACACATATACATGCGTGTATATATACACATATATACACATATACATGTGTGCATATATACACATATATACACATATACATGTGTGCATATATACACATATATACACATATACATGTGTGCATATATACACATATATACACATATACATGTGTGCATATATACACATATATACACATATACATGTGTGCATATATACACATATATACACATATACATGTGTGCATATATACACATATATACACATATACATGTGTGCATATATACACATATATACACATATACATGTGTGTATATATACACATATATACACATATACATGTGTGTATATATACACATATATACACATATACATGTGTGTATATATACACATATATACACATATACATGTGTGTATATATACACATATATACACATATACATGTGTGTATATATACACATATATACACATATACATGTGTGTATATATACACATATATACACATATACATGTGTGTATATATACACATATACATGTGTGTATATATACACATATACATACACATATATACACACATATACATGTGTGTATATATACACACATATACACATATACATGTGTGTATATATACACACATATACACATATACATGTGTGTATATATACACACATATACACATATACATGTGTGTATATATACACACACATACACATGTGTGTATATATACACACATATACACATGTGTGTATATATACACACATATACACATATACATGTGTGTATATATACACATATACATGTGTGTATATATGTATACATGTATACATATATACGCATGTATACATGCGTATATATGTGTATATATACACGCATGTATACATGCGTATATATGTGTATATATACACACACATATGTGTATATATACACATTTAACATGTGTATATATATACATTTATATATACATATATACATTTAACATATATACGTGTGTATGTGTGTGTATGTGTATACACACACACACACACTCACATTTAAATGTCCTGCCAGATATGCTCATAGTTCAATTATAATGAGCTTAATAAGGCTATTTTTCTTCCAAAATATTATGGTTTGTTATATCTCTGACCTTTAATTTCTAATTGTTTAAATTATGTCAAAGTAATACATATCATATGGCATATGTTATATAGTACATATACATGCAATATGTGTTCTATATTACATGTAATTCTTACTAGAAATACATCTAGTTGAATTATAATGAGTTCAAAATTGCTATTCATTTCTCTTCTTAACTGTTACAATTTGGTATTGACTGTATAAATTCTTTATTTAAGCTGCGGATACTAAAATTTCTTATCTCATGTTCTGAGTTTATGTTAACAAGAATTTCTTGTTTTCCCTCTACAAATGCAATCAAGATATTTTATTTTCAATTTTAAAAGGGTGGGGAGCCTAGACACCATATCAGAGGACTTGGAATAAAACAAAGCTCAAAGCTGAATGAATGAGAGAATAACTCTCATCATCGGTGATATTTTGCGCTTTGAATCTTTAATAAAAATTTACTGATGCAGTGTAAGTTTAATTGAAACCTTTCCTGATGTGTTTGCACACCCTACCTTATTGTCACTGAGATATTGTATAGGTTAAGGAGAATTTATGAACTTTCAGTTATAGAGCTTTCTTTGGAAAAAAGAGTGATTTTTTTCCACAATGAATGTTAAGCTGTTATTCCAAAATATAGAGTATATTGTTAATTTTTATATAACAACAATTTATGATTTATTATAAGTATTATGCTTGATCACTTACTGAATTACCTCACTAAGCTTTAAAATAATTTCATTACATACATGCTTGCCTTCAAATATTTCAGCCAGGATTTGTACTATATCATTAGAAGACATCTAAAAATATCATATTATACATTTATCATTTAGATCTTATCTATGTAATAGTCAAATTTAAGCTTTATGACTCCAGCCTCAGTATATATTTTTTACCTTCCAAGACTCCTTTGGAAGGTGAGTTCAAGGATCTCAGTTGAGATTCTTCAAAAATCCTTCAATGGAATCCATATATTTGCTCATATTTACTATGTCACATTAGTTATCTTTTCAAAATAGGTAAGATTTATTACTTGGGTTTTACAATTTATTCAAAAAATATGTATCTTTTAATAAAAATAATGCATAATGATGCTTTCATTATTTCATAAATGTGAAATGTGGCTGCTTTCATTATAAATCCATATCTATCCATCTAAATATGGAGGTTAATTAGGACAATTGTTTGCTTGGTTAGACTGAGACTGCCCAAATTTATCACCTGATACCCAGTCTGATTTTGCACTACCATTAGATTTTCAGGTTACACATATAAAATTTCTGTTCTTGTAAGTCAAATAATTGATGTTAGCATTTTATATAGGTTATTATAATACTTCTAGCTTCTGATATGGTCTTTCCTAGTAGTGTAGGAGATGCTTGTACAATGAATAGTGTTCTCACCTTAATCCTTGGTAAACTCAGGGAGACTATTAGTGATAAACAATTCTTCTGCCTTTACACAATTCTTCTCAGCCTCAATGAAACTAACAGCTCCCATTAAAGGAAAGCATGCAGGGTAGTTTCTGATAAATAGATGTGTGCTCAAAAAGAAGCATCTAGGAAGAGCTCAGTCTTTCCAGTTTCTAGTGGTGATGGGAACAACATTCTATGTTGCTGCTCTCCTGACCATTTGGTATACTAGCCAACTGTGCCATGACCCCTGCCACAACTTCAGAGATGCACAAAGTTGCAAAGCTACCAATCACCAAGATCAGGAGGAAATTATATGTTTTACACACATAAAATATTTGTAGAAAATAGAGATAAGAAGTCATGTATTTCAGCATATAGAGAGTAACCTAAATACTCAGTAGAGCTTTTTCCTCATTTTTTTGTCATGAAATGAATCTATAATCATCTATTGCTTTATTTGTTGGTAATGCTTTTTTTTAATAGTAAACCCTTTTAATAGCAATGAGCCTCAAAATAAAAGTAAATACATAATAAAAAGTATTAAATCATTTGTGGGATAATTTCAAAATCTTGATCAACTATGCCCTTTTTAATTGATTATTGCTTTTAATAATATGATGATGGGTTACATTGTGTCTTCTAATTTTTATTAAATGCTAGATCTTGTAGTAAAATAACACTAAAGACTGAGGAAAATAATACTTATGCACAGATAAAGGTGCAATTCTTTATTTTCTATCAGGTCATTAGTGTGTCTTGTTGAGTCAGGGTACTCAGCAGTCATTCCTGGTCTGGTTTTGTTTATTTGTTTTCTTTTGTTACATTGAAACATGACAGGCTTCACAATCTTTGAGAACAGGATCATACAAATTTTTAAAGCAGGGATTGGAATCGTGGAGCTTGGATATTTTGTCACAGGTCTCCTTCATACCCCCAGGCTTCATCGAGGTCTTTGTACCTCCTCACCAATGTCAAAACTCTGATCTGCCTGACCCTCCCAGAGGGTAGGTAGACAGTGATTTATTCAGTGGGTAATAGCTGAATTATTTCTTTGAGTTATTTCATCCTGGCTTGAGACTATAGCAATCCCAGCAATCTACAACTCAGAAGGGATTTCTCTCAGCTCTACTGCCATTCCTCCAGTGAAGGCACTTCATTGCCTCATTCTCAGGCTTAGTAAGGGAGTATGCAAAGTTTTTTCCCAGGTCATCTACTCTTGTCTCAGATCATAGCAGGACCAGTGCTTCAAAGAGAACATTTTTCAGTATCTCTCCCCTGCCGCTAATTGCTTTGTAGGCATTTGGCCTATGAGAAAGAATTGGCATGTGGTTCTTTTATGTTTGGGGATCCCTGGAATTTTAAAACCCTTCCTCATGCTGCTCTACCAAACATGAAAACAGTGTGGGTTTCCTCTCTCCAAAGAAAGGCTTATAACTTTCTGGATTTCAGTTCACCAGATTCTTTTGCAATCTCAGCTCACTGAAGGGCTTAAAATAATTATGATTGTGTAGATATTCTAGCACATTCTTGTTGTTAGTTGAAAACAGCAGTTGAATAATGACTTTTACCTTGCTGTTATCAGATGGTTCTAAGTATAATTAATTTCAATAGTGGTTTGATTTCTTTAGTCCAATTCAACAAATTAACATAAAGTTTTGAATTTATACCTTATCAAAAATAAAAGCAACTATCATTTTGCGGTATGCTATTTACAAACTCCATCCAAAACGATTTTTTAAAATTACGTAAAATTACATATTTAATTTAGAAAAAGTTTTGGTTTTGAATGGAGTATTCAAATAGAATGGTTTTGAAGGTTCAACAATATAATGAAACCAATGGTCAATGAAAAATGGTTACAAAATAACATAATAATATAAATTATGTGAGTACAATATTTCTCAATTAGAAGTCCTCTGCTTTGGAGAAAAATATCCTGGGGAATTTGGGTGGAATGTTATATGATTGCTTCTCTCTCGTGTCTTGCCACTACTTCTCACAACGAGCTTATATAACTCTCGTCTAGCACCACTATAACCTAAAATTCTAAGAAAAATCCCTTAATATTTAGGTGGTCCAGACATAAGTTATTCTAATTTTTAAAGTATCAATTTTTAAATTTGATTTCATTTTTTACAATTTCACTATATCTGTGCAACTTACATTTATTTCCAAAGCGCTTATCTTTCTTCTTCCTAAGGAAGACAAACTTTCTTTAACATTTATACCATCACTTTTATCTACTAATACCCTTCTTTGTTGCTATCATTATTAATATCCCCCATGGACCCTTTCTTCTCATTTATTAATGCCTCTAAAACCTGCATCAGTTTTTTCACTATTCATTTTATCATAAATTATGATATTTCAATACATGTTTATATTTATTTAGCACCTTTTCCCCTCTGATGTCAACCTCCTCATTTGCAACAATCCATTCCCACAGTCATAATTTCTCATGGTCATACTCTCAACAATAATTGTAACCTTCCAAAATTTCCTGGCGGGTGGTATTCCCATCTCTGACTATATCATTTCCTTCTAGATCCCATAGGTTCAAATCAGTAGTTCTGGCACCCAATTAATACCTTCAATATTTAAACTCTATCATGTTTTCACTATTAATTAATATGTTAATATGTTTCATTTCCATCTTACCCACTTGCAATACATTGTCCAGGATATGTATGACTGCCTTGCATAAAACACCTCAAATCCCTTATCTGGGAAAGCAAAAATGCAGGCTTTAAAAAACTAATAACAACATCTGTATATCTACAACTTAAAGATGGTGGAGAATGCTGAGGCAATATAGTAATTGGACTCCATAAATTTCTGGAAGCTAAACTCAAATAAGCACTCAAAATTGCGTAATTATTCTATGATACTAATTTCACAAGTGACTTTCCAGTTATGAGAAATAGTAATAAAAATTGCTAACATTTGTCAAGTACTATGTTGTGTTCACTTTGGGCTTGCATCATTCCATGTCTCATGACATTATAATCTCCACAAGAAACCCATGACATAATTGCTATTTTTAGCACCATTTTACAGTTAACTGTATGTGACATAACTGCAGTTCATGTTCCAAATTGTTATACCATATTGCCTCTGTACCATGTACTTTTTAGGATATAGATAAAGTTTATCTGCTCCTATTGAAACTCATTTTCTCCACTTGTGCCCAAATTCCACTCTGAAAACTTTCTCAAGAACTGTCAATCAAGTGATCTTCTCTTTTGTTTTACCAATTGCTCACTATCTACTACATTAATCCCATTTGTATAGGAAGAAGGTCTAGATTCTCCCAGTTTTGGAAAAAAATGGTAAACAAATGAATATAAATGAATCCTATCATCTTTCCAACTTTATTCCTGTTTCTTATATGGAATTTGGTTATAATATTCCATGTCTTCTGACAGTACAAACAGCCTTTCTTCTTTTCTCTACTTCTAACCCTGACTACCTGCTCTAATCAGGCAATGAGGGGTACTAATTCCTGACAGAGGGGAAACAAATGAGATGAGCCCTATGACCTCAGTTTACTGCCTTGGGACTGTTTCTGGGCTCTAGCATTGTGAGAGGAAACCAATGTTGAACCCAGTGGACTTCTGGGTTGATGAAGCAAAGCTGAAAATCTGGGGCAACAGAGCTAGCTAGAATTTGCAGGGTAGACAACCAGAAAGGAGGGAGTTGCACAGAGAAGTTCAAATCTGAATAGAGATCCCTTGAATGTTCATTTGATTACTGATGAACACATGCACACGAGTGAACTACCTGACACCAAGCAAAAACTACCTGAGGTGTGCATGCCCCCAGCTGGTTTTTTTTTTTTTTTGAGACAGAGTTTTGCTTTTGTTGCCCAGACTGGAGTGCAGTGGTGTGATCTCGGCTCACTGCAACCTCCGCCTCCTGGGTAAAGCCATTCTCCTGCCTCAGCCTCCTGAGTAGCTGGGACTACAGGTGCCCGCCCCCACACTTGGCTTTTTTTTTTTTTTTTGGGGGGGTATATTTTAGTGGAGATGGGGTTTCACCATGTTGGCCAGGCTGGTCTCGAACTCCTGACCTCAGGTGTTCCGCCTGCCTTGGCCTCCCAAAGTGCTAGGATTACGGGCATGAGCCACTGCACCTGGCCGCCCCTAGCCTATTATCAGTTTGACAAATCATCATAATTCACAGGATACTGGGTAGAATACTCAGAAGGGGATTGCCTTAATCATGGGGAATAATTTACTTTGAACTAAATGCTGCTCTGATCCTATATAAAAAATTTTAACAGCAAGAATCAAGATGATTAAACTGTTTCTAAGTGATTTAGCTGCATCTCAAAATAAAGTCGTAAATATTTAAAAGTACTAAAATATCCAGCACCCAACAATGTAAAATTCACAATTTTCGGTCCCTGAACAACTACTAGTAGGCATGAGAAGAAGTAAAGAAAGATATGACCCATAGAAGAGAAAAGTTAACTAAAGCCAGCTAAGAAATAACAATTATTAAAATTAGCAGAAAAAGGCATTTAAATAGTTTTTCAAACTGTGCCGAGATATTAAAAAAGTTAAGCAGATATATTGGAACTATAAAACGACCACTTCTAATGAAGAAACATATAATATCTGAAATAAGAAATACTGAATGAGATTATTGGTAAAATTTCAATGAATTTGCAGGTAACAAATATAAAACACAAAGAAAAGAGAATCACCAAATAATGAAGAGTACCGATAAACTAAAAGACAACTTCAAACAATTTAATATGTGTGTATTATAATTGGAGTCTTTAAAGAAACAGAGCAAAAAATATATTTCAAGAATAATTTCTGACATTGCAACCCCCCAAAAATGGACAAATAGGAACTAACTAATCTAAAAAGCTTTTGCTCTGCAAAAAAAAAAAAAAAAAAAAAAAAAAACTATCAACAGAGTAAACAGACAATATCCAGAGAAGGAAAAAATATTTGCAAACTGTGTCTCAAAAATAACTGATATCCAGAATCTATAAGGAGGTTCAAATAAACAAGAAAAAAGTAATCCCATTAAAAACTGGGCAAAGGGCATAAACAGAAACTTCTCAAAAGAAGATATACAAGGACCCAACAAACATGAAAAAATGCTCAACATCACTAATTATCAGAGAGATGCAAATCAAAACAATGAGATACCATCTCACACCAATTTGTATGGCTATTAATAAAAAGTCAAAAAATAACAAATGTTGGAGAAGTTGTGTTAAAAAGGAAACACTTATACACTCTTTGTGGGAATGCAAATTAGTTCAGCCCCTGTGAAAAGCAGTTTGGAGATTACTCAAAGAACTTAGAGCGGAATTACTATTAAACCCAGCAATTCCATTGCTGGGTATATCACCAAAGAAAAATAAATCATTCTTCCAAAAAGATACCTGAATTCATATGCTTTTTGCAGCACTATTTTCAATACTAAAGACATGGAATCAAGACAGGTGCCTACCAACGGTGGGTTGGATAAAGAAAATGTGGTACCTATACACCATGGAATACTATGCAACCATCAAAAAAGAACAAAATCATGTCCTTTGCAGCAGCATGGAATGCAGCCAGAAGCCATTATCCTTAGCAAATTAATGCTGAAACAGAAAACCAAATACTCTCACTTATAAGTGGGAGCCAAACACCGAGTACACACGGACACAAAGATGGGAGCAATAGACACTGGAGATGCCAGAAGGGAGAAGGCAGGGAGGGGGACAGAGTTTGAAAAACTACCAGGTACTATGTTATACTTGGGTAATGGGATCATTAGAAACCAAAGCCTCAGCATCATGCAATATATCCATGTAACAAACCTGAACATTACCCTCTGAATCAAAATATAAATAAAACAATTAAGAAAAAGAAAAATGTTTGAAACAATTTTGGTTTTGATAGAAACAGTAATCCCAAGATCCAAGAAGCTCAACATGTTTGATTTCATGTTTCTGTGGTTCCTCAACCTCACATAATCAAGTTGCCTCAAATACATGATAAAAAAAAATCTTAAAAGCAACAAGAGGAGGAAAATGATATGCTCTACTACTTTAAAAGAAAGAGACTTAAGTATTATTGTATATTTCTTTTCAGAAACAAATCAAGAAGACAATAGAGCAACTTAAAGCAACTTATATCCACTTTTGTGTATTACAGTAGAGACATAAAAGAGGATATAAATTACAACCAGAAAACATATATTTTAAATGTAGGGGCAAACTAAAGACTTTTTAAGATATACAAACATTGGAAGAAGCCCAACACAGGAAATATTAAAGGCCATTCTTTAAGTAGAATAAAAATGGCATAGGGTGGGACCAGGAGTCTCAGAAATGGTAACTACATGGGTAAATTTGTATATTTTTCTTATAAATTAAATATATTTAATTATTTAAATTAAATTAATTATTTAAAATATTATTTAAACAAAAAATGCAATATGTTGTGGGGTTCATAACATGCTTATAAGTAAAATGTAAGACAAGAGCTGCATCACACCAGAACATGGATAATCTCACAATAATTACTGTGAGTGGGAGAGGCCAGACAAGTGATTTCATAAAGTGTGATTACATCCATATAAACCTCTAGACAATGCAAACTGTATAATCTATGGTGACAAAAAGTCAAAGGTTAATGCCTAAGAATTGGGAGAGTGAGATCAGGTGTTCAGAATTACAAAAGAGTTGTTGAATCTTTTGGGAGTGAAGAAAATATTCATTATCTTCATATTGATGGCTTTGTAAGTGTAGGCAATATCAAAACTTACCACATTGTACACCCTAAATATATAGAATTTATTTTATGTCACTAAATATCAATAAAGATGATTTAAAAAAAAGTAAAAAGATTGGAAATAATAGATATTGCTATGACTTATTTTCTCCATGGTATATTCTTATATCTGTTGGAAATTCCATTACCAGGGAGGAAAGCCCAAGATCAGAGACTACAAGTTTCCCAGCACAGAGTGAGTGCTAAATAAATATTAATTGAAATAAATTAAATGCCAGCAGTATGCTCATTAGATAGTCCAGGGATCTGATCCTAATCTCATTGAGGTAAATGCTCCAGTGTTTAATTCAATTAAACCCATAGTTATTAAACATAGTTTATCCCTTTGCTCAACTCATTAAAATAGTACTGCTATATGACAATCAAAACTGCCTATTATCTTTCCAATACACTGCTTTACTTGTAAGCACCACCTATCTTTATTGAATATTCTTACCTTAAACATCCTGGTCAGGTTATGGTACTGTAGTCCCCAAACCTCTTAGACTATTACGACTAATGACATTTTCAACTGTAGTAGTTCTCATTCGTGAAATTGGAGAGATATTGATTGGGAAATCATCATTTATTAATAAAATATGTTTTTCATCTCAAAGCTAACATACAAATTTTGATAGAAATCTCTGTATTCCAGTATATAAATTCAAGCTAGAGATAGACTTTTAAATGAGTACTTGTAATACTTTGACAGATTTGTTAGCCCTGTATTTAATACACAATAGGAAACATAAGGAAGTACTGGCTAGTAGTTTTTGGGTCTGGTCAGAGAAATCTTTAAAAAATAAATGAGATTGGAGCTGAGTCTTTAAGGTGGCTTTGCATTTACCAGGTAGAACGCCAGAAAGTGATTATTTTAGAAACATAAATTAATGCATACAAACAATATGGCAACTGAATTGTTTGCATAATGAATGAAAATGCAGACAAAGATGAGGTGGGAGAGATTTTTAAGGGACAGATTATGGAATTTCTTGCAAGCAGTATTGAGGAGGGGGATTAAACCAGACACTTAAGATTTTACTAAGCCCTGTGACACTAATGGATTACTTGCTCTCTTCAAATTGTTCTTGCCTTGCTATAATTATCTACAGTTATTCTAAGAATATTCTTACAATCATTTATATTGGTAACTTATCTAAACCACTTAGAAAACACCTTCAAACCTTAATTTGTTCTCTAACATTGTATTTATCCTCAGCATTAGTTTCTGCAAATTCCCTAAACTGATTTAATTATTCATGTGGTTTAGGTCACATGGAACAAGTTGTAGTCTAAACCAGAAAGACATCTCTTTGACAAATTCCTCTTTTGTTCTCTTCATCTTAATAGCTACAAGGTCCTTCACATTTCAAAGGAGCTAGGATTATATTAATTTTAGAATTAGCATGTGATAATAGTAAATTGTAATTTACAATAATATTAATTACTATGTGTTGAGTGCTATCTCTGTGACGGTATAAAGTAAAGTGTTTTATGTGTATTACTTCCTTCAATTCTCAAAACTAACCAATGGAGTTCACATTTTACCAATGAGTAAAGTGAAGCTTCAAATGGTTAAGGTCATGTAGATAGAGATTTGAGTGCAATTCTGTCAGATTCTAAATGATGTAATAAAACATAAGGTTAGTGAAATAACTGGAACCCTACTAAACCAAAGTAACTCGTGTTTTCTCAGTATGTAATTTGGACTCTGAAAATAATGTAATATGCCCAATTACTATTAACATTAAAATGATAAAAGTCGTTTCATTGTTCAATGCTCTATTACACATCTAAAATCTGATTTACATGGACATTTTAAAAACAAAGTATACAAAAAGAATAATTTGAATTGAAATGTTAAGTGCTTCTGATTCCAGTGGAAGCATTAGAAGTTGTTAGAAATTCTTGAATGACTATCTATAAATTAGACATTTGCATAAAAGACGTTTTATTTCTGAAGACATATAATTTTGAATCAGCGGAGTGTATATGTAAGTGTTCGTGTATAATGAATTAAATTTGAATGCTGTTACCTGGGAGAATAGGACCTGTCATCTTTAGCACTCAAACGTTACCCGCATACAAACTATTTAATTGAAACAGAAAATAGTAACACTATGTTGCTTCTTTTGTGTGCTTCATATGGGATAAAATGTCAGAGTAAGAAAAGATTCTAGCAATTTGGCTTCTAATGACATTAATGACAGATGCCAAGTCTAAAAAACCCCATGTGGTAGCTTGAAAATTTATCCCACATGTACTTTAATCATATGTGCTTATTGTATAGACAAAAACAGACTGTTCTAGCTGTCAATATAGAGGATCAAATATAAATGTGAATGAAAATGGCACACTGTGTCTTGATTTTTGTAACATCATTCATACATACCACGAATTTCTTACCTGATTTCCTGTAACATTAATAATGAGCCATAAAACAAGATGAAATAGAAAATGAAAATAAATTATAAACTCATTTTTACTTCAAAAGAAAATAAGTATAAGGGGCTATAGAGAGTTGAGTCTTCAAAGCATCCTTATTCTAAGTGAATAATGAAACTTTGCTTTAAAATAATAAAATAAATGTTTTAACCTAAAATGCATTTTCTTTATTTCTAGAGTCCCCATTTACTTATTCCTTTCACCAGAAATATAACACCACTTTAAACTTATTATTCTATTAAGCCTGCAATTCAGGTCAGAAAATTGCTATTTTAGTATAAATTCAGAGATCGACTCTCAGAATTTGAAGCTACACAGTGTATTTTTACAGTAATGTTTGCAAATCTGCAATATATGAATTTACTTATTGACATATGCTAATGGAAAAAGTGATTGCATCAGTACCCTGAATTTTTTACCTTTCCCTATATTCTTGACATTTTTCATGTAACTCTGCCTTTCCATCTGCTTTCTTGTTCTTCTGCCTTTACCACGAGGGCATTCCAGTGATAGCCAGATCAATACTGAGGTAAATGAAGGAGACAAACCTACCCAGTGATCCCACAAAAGGCCAATCTGGAGCTGATCATCAGACAAATGAGTGAGTCTAGGCGAATCCAGACTAAACTGTCAAGCTATAGACTCGTGAGCTGAATGAATACTTACTGATTTAAGGCACATGATTTATTGACTATAATTGTAGCAATAGATAATTGATCCACACAACTTTTTTGAGTTTAGCTTTAAGCTTGAATTTAAAACATATTGCCAAACTAGGCTACATGTAAATTAAAGTTAAAACTTCGATTTTATATTTTTCGACATTTTTATCTGTAAAGAATATTCATTAACCTAAATAAATGTATGGTTTTATGACCAGATAGATGTTAAATCATGAGATAGTCAGTCCACTTAACTAGCATGACATCTTAGCACACTGACATGGAAAATAGCATATTGCTATTTTCTTCTCATCCATTTAATAGAAAGACTTGGTCTTTGCTAAGTAAACTTCCATTTCCAGACCAATTCTTCAAATGTAATAATTATCATATGAGTTGATTTTCAGTCATTTAGAATAAATATTTTGGAACTTGAAGATATGCCCTTGAGATTTATAAAAGGCACTAAATCTTTCTAAAGTAATTAATTTTCAAAGGTAGCTTTGGGCATTGGTGTTCAAAGAATGCATAATATTATTGCCTACAAAAAACAAAGGCCTGCAAACTATATTTTACAGGCCAAGTCCTGACTGCGACCTGTTTTTTCTTTGTTTGTTTGCTGGCTTTAAATCAAGTTTTATTAGAACATAGCATGCTGACTCATTTGCATATTATATAATGCTGCATTCATACTACAATAACAGAGTTGAATAGTAGCAACAGAAAACATAAGGCCCACAGGGCCTAAAATATTTACTATTTGAGCCTTCACATAAAAAGTTTGCTGAATCTGGTTTACAGCATTCATTTTTTTTAGTTTATCTTTCGTTTAATTTTGAATGCCAATCAATCATGCCTTTGTTCTATTTTCCATTGATTTTTACCAAATTCATTCATTATTTCCATGCATTTTGGTGACATTTTCCTTCACTTATTTTTATGTAAATAAGGAATGAGATCAAGTAAATAGGTGACAGACAAATGTGTCTTCCCCACTCCAGAAAGCAGACCAGGTCCAAATGATTCATTTGCATATTTAAAGCTCTCCACAACTTGGCCTAGATTTATTATTACATCTGTCACTACAATACAATTGATTCATCTTTATCCATTTCCCCTACCGTTCTTTAAAATCATAGCCCACAGAGAAAAGTTCTTCTAGTAACCTTCTACCATCCCTATCCCCTTCTATTCCCATTGTAAAATTTAATAACAAACATCTATGAGCATCATTTGTCTAAGTAAGTTTAAAAATCTAGATCTTTCAAATCTTCAAATACTAGTTACAAGTTTAACAAAGTTTTAGAATTGATTGTTAAACAGATATACAAGCATACTTAAGTATATATGCCAATTATAATCTCTTCATGTATTTTGCATTTTCTAAGAAATAAGCAAGTTAATGGTTTCAGAGTATTTAGTAATCTTGAATAAATATTGAATATTTGAATAAATAATTGTCCAAAGAGCTCAAATCAGCATTCAAGATGCCCAAAGAGTTTAAATTAAAACCAAGCCACTAGCCTTTAAAGAGTTGAAAACAAGAAGTTCAAGGCCAAATAACACAGTCTAAAAATAAAAAATTATAGAAATAGAACTTATTCATTGAACTAGCTATAAAACAATATAAAATAATAGATCCTAGCAAAAAGAATTGACTTATTTAAATGAACAAATCTTAATTGCTTAAAATGAAAGCATTAATTTTATGTGTCACAATAAACATGAAAATATAGCTATAGGATCAATTTCTAATATCACAACAATCTGCTGGAGCATAGTAATACTTTATTTTGTCAATCATTTACTTGGGATCATGTAGAAAGTCAATAAACACCATATACAAAAGCAGATAAGAGAGTTTTCTGAAGTCATCAAATGAGTTATAAAAAATTGCGATTGTAATTAATTGAATATTAAAATTAGTTTATGGTTACTAAAAATGCAACAACCCATCCCTAGTAATTATATCAAAAACTATCAGTTTTATGCCATTCAGATATTAATAATTGCAGCCACTCTTGATTAACAGGGAATGCTTTGTGACAGAATCTCATTATATCAAAATGATCTGAAATTGAAAACTAATTTATATAGACACTAAATATAATACACTTAAAATACTCTGGGGCTTTTGAAGTTGAAAAATGAAATTCTTTTGTTTGTCAAGTCATAGCATTAATAAAACATTTTTTAAAAAGAAAAATTAAAATTCTCCATTTTTATTCCATACTATATATAAAATCTTACATTTAAATATCATAAGAGAATTATGATTTTCTGATCTTTCAAAGTGAAGCTAAAGTTGCCTTAAGAATGGTGTCTCTTGAGAAATAACCCATTGACACTGTGCTATTTAAATATGAGCAGATTGGATTTCATGTGTTCTAGTTAGATATCAAATAAAAATAGCAAAGGCACTAAAATTGCTTTATTTTGTTTTGCAGTTTGAGAAAATGTTCCAATGGAAATTTCCCATGTTATAGTCTTACTTCTAAATCTTTTAAAACCAGAATAACTGATTAATTGCAAAAAAGAGAGTGTGGTAAGATAACAGTCAGAATTAGAGAAGCACTTGAAATAGGTATGATTTAATTACTTTCTAGTAAAAAGAAATAGTTAAAAAAATCAAGTAAAAAGAAAAAATAAGATATGAACTAAACATAAGGATGAGTTCATTTTTATGCACTTGTTACCATTTATGGCACTTGTCAAAAAGTTAATTTTTCCTATTCTCATTATTTAAGACAGTGCCTAACAAACAAAAGTGAATAAAACAAAGTTAATTGAATGATTGGTTTAATTTTTCAAGCCTTAGTATGCTCCCTTGCGATGAAAAGAATACCAATGCCAGTGCTGAGTTACAGATGACTACTATTGAATCTGTCTCTTTTTGAAAGGTGTAAGTATCAACATTTTCAGAATTATAAAAAGGATACAAGATAATACACAGTAAAATTTGATCTTGAGTGCAAGGAGTGCAGGCAGAGATAAACCTGGGAGAAAGTTTTAGCTCAGCAGGACACAAAGCTGAGCAGTAAGAACCTGAAAACCTTTGGAGGAGCTGAAAGTAAATTGCATAAGAAGAAAAGAAGGAACAAGATAAAAACAGGGGTAGAAAATGAAGACATAACATTTGTCTGTCTCTGAGAGTTGGCTTCATGTATTGCATGAGAATTTACAAATTCAACTCTGAAATTTTTAAGTCTGATGTTGTTGAAGCTAGGAAAATAAATTTCAACCTTCTCTGCTCCAACCTACAAAACTACATTTTACATTCTTTGGGAGTTAGTGCTCTTGTGAATTGAAAAACAAATCAGATTTGTTTCTGATAACTTACATTAACTACTTTAAAGTCCCTATGAAATTAAAGAGTAACCAAATAAATCAGTTTGTTGTATCACTTTGATTTTAAAAATACATAATTTTATATGTCTATCTTCTGTAGCCTAAGTTGATTTCCAGAATGCCCACCACATCTTAAAATGAAAGACCTAGGTTTTACTCATATTTGAGAAATGCTTAAAGTTCTCATTTACTTATGCATTCAATTTTTGTAACAAAAGAACAAAAATTAAAACTTTATACAGGTTGGAGAAAACATTGGATGAAAATGCATGACAGACCTGGAATCTAGGTAGACTTAATTTTCACTATCTTTGTTATTGTGTGTTCCTGTAGATACAGCTTTGGTTTTTATACATTTTTAATATAGAGAAGAGAAATATAAGACAATAAAATAGAGAGTCTTTAGACAGCACTACTGTACCACTGCATTTCACATAGGATGAAATTTAAACCAAGACAAGCATAAAGGTTGTCACAGAAATGTACTAGAATCCACGTGTATCTCAATTTAATTTCAATTGTTATCCTAAACTATCACATTATTATGGGTTGAATTGTGACACACACACACACACACACACATATACATGCACACACACACAAACATGTACACACACACACAAAAGATCTGTTGAAATCCTACCCCCAATACCTGTGAATGTGATTTTATTTTGAAATAGAATCTGCAGATGGCCAGGTGCGGTGGCTCATGCCTGTAATCCCAGCACTTTGGGAGGCTGAGGAGGGCAGATCACGAGGTCAGGAGACAGAGACCATCCTGGCTAACATGGTGAAACCCTGTCTCCACTAAAAATACAAAAAATTAACTGGGTGTGGTGGCGGGTGCCTGTAGCCCCAGGTATTTGGGGGGCTGAAGCAGGAGAATGGCATGAACCCCGGAGGCTGAGCTTACAGTGAGCCGAGATGGCGCCACTGCACTCCAGCCTGGGTGACAGAGTGAGACTCCATCTCAAAAAAAACAATAATTAATTAATTTAAAAAAATTAATTTAAAAAAATCTGCAGATGCTATCAAAAAATAATTAGAATGATCCTAATCCAAAATGACTGATGTCCTTATAAAAGAAGATCATTTGGATACACAGAGACTAATAAAGAAAATGCCATTGATAAAGGCAGAGATTAGAGTAATGCTGCTGCAAGCCAAGAAGTGTCAAGGATTGATAGCGTCCATCAGAAGCAAGGAAGTAGTAAGGAAAGACTCTACACTATAGATTCTAGAGAGAGTATGGTCCTTGATTTTGGCCACCCAGTTTGTGGTATTTTATTATGAGAGCCTAGCACAACAATTCAAATTTTGGTACCAGGGAGTGAGGTGCTACTCTAATAAATACCTAAAACTGTGGATGCAGTTTTGGAATTGGATAATAGGTAGCAGCTGGAAGACTTTTGAAACATTTAATACAAAATTTTTAGATCATCTTGAAGATATCATTCATAGAAATATAAATATTACTGGAAATTCCGTTGAAGGCCCAAAAAGAACAGGAGAGCAGTAGAGAAATGTTCCATCAGCTTAAAAAGTACATATATTTTCATGATCAGACTGTTGCTAGAAATATGAACATTAAAGGTGCTTTGTAGCCAGGCGTGGTGGCTCACACCTGTAATCCCAGCACTTTGGGAGGCTGAGGCAGGTGGATAGCTTGGGGCCAGGAGTTCAAGACCAGCCTGGCCAACATGGTGAAACCCCATCTCTACTAAAAATACAAAAATATACCAGGTGTCATGGTGCTTACCTGTAGTCCCAGGTACTTGAGAGGCTGAGGCACAAGAATTGCTTGAACCTGGGAGGCAGAGGTTTCAGTGAGTAGAGATGGTGCCACTGCACTCCAGCCTGGTGACAAAGTGAGACCCTGTCTCAAAAAATAAAAATAAAAATAAAAATAAATAAATCATGGTGCTTTGGGTGGGGTCTCAGAAGAAAATGAGAAACTTATTATTGACACTGGAGAAAAAACAATCCTTGTTATAAAATGGCAGATAACTTACCCGAATTGACTTCTTTTGAGTGGAAGGTAGAACTTGTATGTTATGCAGTTGGACCTTTAGCTAAGGAATTTTCCCAGCAAAGTGTAGAATATGCAGCTTGGTCTCTCTTTGTTGCCAACAGTGAAACATGAGAAGAAAAAGATACATAAAGGAAGAAATTGTTAAACATAAAGAAACCAGCATTTGATGACTGCACAATTCTCAGCTTATTCAGGTAGAATAATCTGGAAACAGAGACAAGTGTGTGGCTGAAGGAACACAAACTTTTGCTAAAAAGGTTAGCTGTGTGACTCATGTTTTCAATCAACCTTCTCAGCAGAAGACAGATATGTAGATGCAGTTATTCAGGAACGGTCTGTGGAGGACCCTCTTGTCTGATGCTTTAGACCCTCATGAATTGCAGGGGAGTCTGCTTTTCATAATAGAGTTTTGAGAATTTTATGCCAGCAGAAACATCGCCACCTGGACTGAAAGGGACAGAGGCAGTATAAAATGAAAGAAAATTACTCCTGAAGCAGAGCAATAAATGAAGAGGCCTTACCCACAGCCCTGGTGGGCCAAGAGAACAGAGTCATCACCCCAGCAAGCCCGGAGAACAGAGCATCAACCTACCGAAGATTGTTCTCAGGCTTGGACATCTAGGGGAATATTCTCTGATGGATTACAAACTAGCTTTAGACCAGCAGCTCTTCCATTTTTCTCCCTTTATGAATGGGCATCTTTATCCTATGCCTGTCCTTTCATAGTATCCTCAAAGCAGATAACTTGTTTTCTATCTTCCACAGGTCCACAGATGAGGAGAAATTTTGCTCCAGGATTAATCAGAAGTGGATTTCACAATAGCCAACATATATATGATTTATTATATGAGCTTTGAGATATTTTAGTAGATTATATTTAAAAGATTATATTTAGATAAGATTTTGGACTTAGAGTTGATGCTCGAATGAGTTAAGACTTTGAGGATGTCAGGATGGGCTATATTTATTTTACATATGGTACATAATTTAATATTTGCCCATTTGTTTTACTTTTTATTTAACTTTCTAAAGGTACTTATTCTTAATTAATTCGAAGTATTTCTGTTAGTAGAGAAAAATCCTTCTTTAAATGTGTTCAGCAACATAAGAATATATCTGATTCCTTTTACATGGAATTATTTGTATTACAATCTATTGCACTTACATTCCAAACTATATTATTTGCTATCTGGATATTTTTAAGAGCCATTATTCTGGGATTTCACTTTATCTATATCATGAAATTCCTTGTCATTGGATCCCAGTTTTGGGGATTTCTGTGGTCTGAACCGTTCTGTTTCCCCCAAATTTGTATGTTGAAACCTAATAAGCAGTATGATGGTGAATAGGTCATAAAAGCAGAGCCCTCATGGATGGGATTGGTATCCTCATAAATGAATTCCCAGAGAACTAGCATGCCCCTTCCACCATGTGAGGATACAATGGGAAGGCACGGTTCTAAGAACCAAGAAGTGGGCCGTCATCAGACACTGAATCTGCCAGCACTTTATCTTGGATGTCCCGGACTCCAGAACTGTGAGAAATCAATTTCTGTTGTTTATAAGTTATCCAGTTTATGGTATTTGGTATAGCCCCCAAATGAAGATAAGGATTCTATGTCTTCCTTTCATTTACTCTCTCATTCTGGTAGAGCAATCTTCTAGTAGTTTCCAGAAAAAGGGGGAGTCGCAGGTCAATCAACCAAACTTTGAACAGTGAAGTCAAACTGCTATTGATTTTAACATAAATAACTCTTTATATGGCTCTGATCTTCCACAATTGTGGGAAATGCTGTAGCACTCTCTGTAAGATGGTGCTTCTGCATCTGGTATTGAGCCTAAGGTTACTGTAGGTCAACAGGATTGGCAGCTGGAAAGGAAAGCTGAACGTGCAGAAGAGCAAGGGTAAACTGGATCCCATGAGGACAACTGGAACCTGCAAGGACATATTGGGCCTGTCTTCCAGCACCTTCAAACCTGGTGCTGTGGTTGGCTGGCTGGAGGCATTGATGCATGTAATTCAAAGGCCAGGTATAGGATGTCTCCTAGGGCTAATGCAAACCCAAAGCCATACAGAAAAGGAAATTCTAGAAAATGTTTCGTTGGGTTCTGAGTATAAGTAGAGGCAAACATGTATAGTCACATCTACAATAAATTCTTTCACTTCCATAATGCAAGATATGTGTATGAATTTATCATTTGTCATAGCTTTCATCAGCTGATGCCAGTTTGCTGGAATATGAACGTGGTGCATTTTTATAGTAAGGTAGTACTGACACGGAATTTCGTGGTGACATCTGAAATATTTTGCTTCCTTCTAAAGGTGTGCTGCTTTCATATAAGGCCAAATTTGGACTGATTGTCCTTCACGCGAGCCAGTTTAAATTATTCTTACATTTTATATCATTTAAGCCATTTTGTGAGGCCTCTTTGGCTTTAAAAAATACTTATTAATTCTGAGTAAATGTTTTGTGGAGTATGAATTTGAAGTTAATAGAGTAAGGAATACTTGAAATTTTAGAACTATAACAAACCAGTGCTTATCAAGATCTATTGCTCTATGTAGAGTTTCAGTTTAATGAGCACACTAACATTTCAGTAACCATTACACCCCAAAAAAAGTTTTCAATAATTAAGGATAATTGGCAACAGAATTAAAATGAGCAGATGAGAATGACTCTGCATTAGTCTTTGGCAGCCTGCTCTTTCAGCCTGTGCTGGAAAAAAGAAGGGAGGATGAGGATTTTAAGTGGCAACACAAACTGCCCAACTGTGTCCTTATTATTTTGCACTTTTATTACACTCATTACTTCAGCTTCCATTTTAAAATTGCAAGCTTTCCTCAGATTACCCACAACACACTATTCTAAGATTAAATACCAATAAAATTATGACTATATCTAATGATTATACAGCGTCATTTCCTGTGTCAATTAGCTTTAATTTGTAAGGTCATTTAAAAAGCCAAGCCTTTTTGAACACTCTACCTACTATTGTTTATTGTACTTTTCAGTACGATATCATTAAACCTAATATGATTTCATTAGGGAGATTTTTGTTGGTTAAAATGATCTTTAAAATGGAATATTTGGGGCTTTAATTTATTTAGGTGCCCACAAGGAAGAGGAATATCTTTCTTGTCACTAAGAAGAACATGCTAAAAAAATTACAGTCTATGCAGCGTGATTTAAAACCAGATTAGATACTTTTCTGTAACAGATTTACTTCTAAGTGTTCCAGTAACATTTGCAGTAAAAATATTTTAGTATTCAAACCTACATAGCATCTTTTACATTCTTTCCAAATGCTTATAAATATACCAGTAAATACGAGCACACACAGACACACAAGCACATAGAAACACAGGTGTGCATACAGATATGCATGCACACCTGCATATACAAATACAGTGCACCCATGAAATGAACATTCACAATGCTACCAACACCTGAAATAATTTGTTTGAATTTTGGAGGAATTATATTAAGTATAGGCCCAACCAGTAAAACAGAATGACCAAAAATGCATCTGAAATGTAAGAAACTTTTCCTTTATTTTTGGAACTTGCTGTCAATCCTCATCCTATTATAGTTATATACCAATAAAACTCTTACATCAAAATTACTTGGAAGGATTTGTTTAAAATCAGATTCATGAGCATTATTGAGACCTCCTGAATTATGTCTGCTGTTTGGCTTAGAAATATATATCTTGCATAGAGCCACAAGCTTCTTCAGTAGCATACTGAAGTGTGAAACGATTGTGGGGCAGTATTGTTGCTATATTTTTAAGACACATATATTATTGATCTGCATCCCCCCAACTAAAAAATCTCATAGACCATAACTCTAAGGAAGCAATAATGCAGGAAGAGATGATAGGAGGTGACATATTTTATTCTGTAATAGGCAAACCTCTTCGATGAAGTGTGTGAATGATGTAAAAGTATTAGAGAAGTAGAGAGAAAACATTTTAAAAAGCACGATGCAATTGAGGTATTAGTTTCACATATATTCTAGTCATAGCATGTCAGAGACACAGGCAGAGGGGCTAAGACTTATTTCAGATCATATTTTTGCTGGATTAAAGTTGGCAGTGAGAATTTTACCTGGATGAGTACATATCAAACCATCCCTAAGGTTTTTGAGATGAGGAGATATTAGATGAACAGAGACCAGAGTTTAGGGAAAGAAAGAAAAACACTAAACATCTCCTCTTCCAGGCCATGTATTCATATAAGAATTATTCACTTATCTCTTTTATATATTCCGGGCACTGAAGAGAACACATTAAACCACAAAAAAAAAAATCACACTCCTATGGATCTTACATTTTAGCGGAGAAAACAGACAAACCATGCAATAAATAAGTTAAAAAGGTCATAAGTGTTCTGATCAAAGAAAAAAGTGGGAAAAGGTACACAGCGCGTATAGGAGGAGAGATACTATTTTAAATAGACAAGTCATGGAGGATATCACCAAGAAAGTGACATTCAGCATAGGCCTAAAGTGGTGAGGGCACAAACTGTGGCCATTTCTGTGGTAGAAGCATTTCTGATCAAGAAAAGGGTGAATGTGATGCCCAGAAGTAGGAGCTGACTTAACATGTTTATGAAAACAAGGAAGCCAATGTGGCTGGAGTGAACTGGGAGAGGTGAAGCTTTGACACGCATGAAATGATAGCCTATGTGTGGCTATGTGTGCTATATAATGTTACATATGTGTCACATCTATCTACACATATTACTTCAAGTCAATGGCAAACTCTTGGAGGAGTTTGAGTAGCAGGATGTCATGATCTGACTAATGCTTTGAAATGGAAACAACTGCTGTTTTGATAATCCATTGTACATGAGAAGAGAAAGAAGCAGGGAGGGACCATTGGAGATTACAATTATTCAGAAGAAAGAAGATAGTAGCCCAGACAAAATGACTAATAGTGGTAGAAATTAAATGATTTGATTCTAGATTTATTTGAAAATTATTGTACATCACCCACACACCACAATATGATGTAATAGGAAGCATATATCATTTATGTGATATTCTTCCTCCAAATTCATAACCTCACTCTAATCATAAGAAAACATCAAATTCAAATTCAGGAATATTTTGTTGCATATCTGACTAGTACTCTCCAAAAGTCATTAACACAAAGAGAAAAGACTGAGAAAAACAAGACATAAAACTGAGAAGACCAGTGAGATATGATGACTAAATGCAATGAGATCCTCCTGGACTGGATATGTAAGAGAAAAAGAACAATAGTGCAAAATCTGGTCTAATCCACATAAAATTTGTAAATGAATTAGTATTATTGTTCCAATGTTAAGTTTTAGTTTTCATTAATGCACCATGATAGTATTAGATGTTAACATTTGAAGAACTGTGTTGAGCAGTATATAAGAACTCACGACGCTAGTTTTGCAACTTTCCTATAAACCTAAAACTGTTTTCAGTTAAAAACAAATGTTTTAAGTAAAGTCAACAAGATTTGTCAAATATTTTCTGTACGGCATAGGAAAACAAACAAACAAAAAATGATGTTGAGAATGACTCCAAGAATGTCACCTAATTGCAAAATACATTTTTGTTCACATTTTAAAAATAATTTGCCTTTCCCAAATAGTTTCTTAGATTTTTCAAAGCACAAAATTGAAGTCACAGCAGAGGAGGCAGGAACATAAAAATTGGAAGAACAAAGAAAGAAATTGGTAGATAAATAAGAAGTGAAAGATGAAAAAAATATTTGGGGTATTAAAATATTAGAGTAAAAACAGTTAGGGAAAATAGGAAAGGAGGGGTTAATGTAAGGGTTGCTAAGATTTATAAATTAGATCTATTTTAATGTTCTTCAGGAAAAGAAAATAAATGTTGAAACTTTTATTTTTATTTATATATTAATTTTCGGCCTGGGGCTATGTTCCTCCAAAGTATTTCACCACTGAGTTGGACTACTTGGTTCCCACACCCATTAGGGTTACCTAAATATTTTTTTGAATCTTCATATTGTCAAGGACAATAAGGGAAAAAACATATATAATGCATCAAATCTAATACCACAGAGTTAGAAAATAGGAAAACCAGCCTTAAAAAAGCAGACTAAGAGCATTCTTTTTACAATTAATCACTACACAAGAGGGTTAAGCAAATTGGCATCACAAAACTGAAAAAAATATATAGATGGTGAAACTTATTCAGAGAATTTAAATAAGATCATGCAATAGCAAATCCCTTGTTAGCCACAGAGAATTATTTTGTTTGATTGTAGATAAAGTTTTGGAGGAAAATGTACTCTATATTTGATATGTCAGAAAACAGCTAGTTATGTAATGATCAAAGGATAAACATATCAAATAAAGAGAAGCACTAGTATCAAATCCTTAAGGCTGTAGCTAGCAGAGTACATGCCAGACGAGAATAAAGGTTGATCCAGCTGCAGCATGGAAGGTAAAGTGGAGAGTAATAGGAGACAGAGTCACATCAGCAGGGTGGCATCAGATCATGTCTGTTGACCCTGGAAAACATAAACAGAAGAGTGATCCAATCTGATTTATAACTGTTAAATGTGTACTTCAGCTTATTGGGAAGAATGAAATTTGGAGAAGCAAAGGAGGAAGCAGGCAAGTTCAAAAAAAGAATAACAAAAAAGCTAAAATTTCAATAACATATAATACTTAATATATGTATATTTTGTATTATATGCTATTGAAATTTTAGCTTTTTTATTTATATACATATATAATATATGTATATTATATATTATGTTTACTACTTATATTTCAAGACAAAAATATATATCCATCTACTGATATAGAATAATATATAATATTTGCATATATATAGATACATATATACACACACATATGCATATATATGAGTTAAGAGCATGATTGGTATTGCCAAAAACTGAATGTCATTCCCTAACAAAGACTGCTAGTGCTCATTAAATGCTTAATGTGCTCCCTCATGTTTGCCAGCCTCTCATGGAAAGAAGTTGGGGACATATAAGGATTTCTGGCTAAATTCCTCTGAACAGAAGTGATGTGTGGTACTTCCGGTTTGAGTCAGATAAGAAACAATATGTACTTCTATTGCTTTCATCTCCAACTGTGATGGCATCAGAGGAGAGGGGCTACACCAGTGGGCCAGCTGAACACCATCAGACTTAACCTGAACAAATAGCTCAATCTTTAGTGTGTCAAGCCACAGAGATTTATGGAGTTTATCAGTGGCAGCAGCTACCATGAATTACCCTAATATAGCACCTACTAAAATTCTGTTAAGACAAATTCTTCAATTACCAGAGTCAATCAGAGCATATGATACTGTTAATGGCAAAAGTTGATGTGAAGCTGTATATGTACTATGACTCCAGACACATTATAGTACTGGTAGTCAAAATGAGTATCAGAAATTTTACAAAATGTTAACAATTATTACTAGGCAGATGATTTTAACTTATTTTTGCATGTTACTCTTTAACCTGTTGTAATTCTTTTGGCATGGAAAAACTCACATTTGTAAACAAGCCATATATATTTGAAAAGAAAATAAGTAACATTAAGAGCGGTTCTTTAAGAAGGAGACCTGCATTATTCTCCTTTGTTACTTTCTATCTGCAAGGTCTCAAGTTAATAATTTAGCTTCTTGAACCTCTTTATTCTCATTGTTAAAATGGGAATAATATTTTACCTCACTAAAGACAAGAAGCTCATACAGATCACCTTTTAAAAACCATGAAACCATATGTCTTTGTGGCCAGTCTACATAATTTTAAAAGTAAAGCCCTTCTTTATCTTCAGATTCTCTATAAAGTTATAGAAGCTCTTGCACTAAATCTTATGCACTATCTCCATGGTTGTTAATTTCTACATTATATATAAATCCAGTAATGTAGATTCATTTTATAGAACTCACATCAACATTAGTTATTTTGTGTATCTCTTTTCTGAACTCAGTCCAAGTTCTTCATTTACATCCCAAGTGGAATACAGAACTCTGATAATGTTCTAATTAATTCTGACTATGTTTCAAAATAATAGAATTTTATTTATATACTATTGGGAAACCAATTTTTAAAGTATAACTGAAATACATGCATGTATGTTTAATGCATGTATATATATATTTATATACACACACACATAAAGATTACAGAATTGTAAAACACTTAAATTATTTAGCCAAACTTTTGGTGGTTGGTTGTCAACTTTAACATTTACATACTTTTATATATTTTTAGTGTGCTTTTAAAGCATGTCTTCCTCTTCTGTGTATGCAAGGAAGTAAGTTGGGACCTTTAGTGTGTGTTTCCCAGACTACCCTAGTATATACAGAATTTGTGAATGAGAAGCTGTGGCGGAGATTAGGGGTCAGGATGGTAAGAGAATTTGGAGTCTTTTCCTCCCTTTCTAGCTCTGGAAGCACCACCTACAGAGGAAGTATCTTCTTTGTGCCTCCAGCTCCCAGTGTGCAGGCCTGCTGTGGTTTCATCTTCCAGTGGATAATGGTTCCCAAACTAGCCTTCTCCTTTTATTTTTTTCTTCAAACTAGAAGCACTGGTGATCTCTAGTTATCACCTGTGTGATTTTCTCCTAGTCTAGTGTTTAAGCTACACCATTTTTCAATTACCTGTGACCAGAGATTCCAAATACATAAAATGTTTTTCATGTTCCTGGTTGTACTTGCTACCATTCTTAGTACCTGAACATCCCTGGAAGCACAGCGATGGAGGATGGGATTCTGAAATACAATTTCTTGCTTGTTTCAGTGTGAACACAGTGATAATCTACTGTCAGGCAGAAAATCCAATACTGTGGATACTGTGATGTGCATCCCAGAGCTCCTTAAATTCAAGGAAATGCTTCAACTCCTAGGGATATAACTGGAAAACAGTTTTAGTTCTAAGCTCCTTCACGAATTGCTTCAGCTATAGAGAGTTATTGGGCAAAAGGTTACATTACTTCTATGAGCAGCTGACATAGAGTGACTGATCAAATAGATATTTAAAGGCTTTGCAATTGTAGCCCAGTTTGGAACAATCCTGAAGGTCTCTGTGTGGTTGACAAAGGCTACACTGGGCTTGCCTCATTGTTCAAAATATCCCTCCCCTCTTCCCACAGCTGTATATCTCAAAGATGCTGCTTGATAAATATCCTGTACACTACCCTCTGTGCAGAATCTTTTTCTAGGATACTCATTATAAAACAAGATAAATTATTAACTGCAGTTATTTAAGATGAAAGCAACATTTTAGTATATCAACTAGAGGGTACGATAATCATATGGCCACAATGTAATGATAATACAAATACCGCAGAGTAGGTTGGCTGCTTCTTTTTTAAAAAATAATTTCAGCTTTTATTTTAGGTTCAAGGGTTACATGTGCAGGTTTTTCACATGGGTTTATTGCATGACTCTGAGGTTTGGGGTGCGAATGAGCCCACCATCCAGGTAGTGAGCGTAGTACTCAGGAGGTAGTTTTGCAGGCTTCGCTAGTCCTCAGTGTCTATTGTTCCCACCTTTACATTCATATGCACTCAAAGTGTAGCTCTGACTTACAGGTGAGAACATGTGGTCTTTGGTTTTCTGTTACTGCATTAATTTGTTGAGGATTATGGCTTCCAGTTGCATCCACGTGGCTGCAAATTGCATGATTTCATTCTTGTTTATGGCTGTGCAGTATTTCATGGTGTGTATGTACTAAATTTTCTTTATCCAGCCCACCATTAATGGAGACCTAGGTTGATTCCATGTATTTGTTATTGTGAACGCTGTGATGAACATACAAATGTGTATGTCTTTTTTGTAGAATAATTGATTCTACTTTGGATATATACCCAGTAATAGGATTGCTGGGCCTAATGGTAGTTCTGCATGTTAGTGAAGGTGATACCCTGGCCCTTAAACAGTTCTGGAAGTAACTGTTTTCTGAAGGATGGAGTGGATATGGGAAATGTGGCTATTAAAATCGAATTCCTGAGTTTAAGGAAAAATTACGAAATTCTGAACCAAGAAAAGTCAGATAAAAGATTTAATATTTAGAAATGTACAAGTTACAATTGCCAGAATGAACACTGGGGATATGTGGAAGTACCTAATTGATCATGAGCCCTTAGCAATTAAATATATGTGTAAACTATTAAAATGTAATTTATCTATATAATTGGGAACAATCTAGGTCTCGTGATTAGAAACCTGGCTTGAATTTCTACAATAATTCTTGAAAATAAACGGTTCCCTAACATAGCCTAATCCCCACGCAACAGCCCCGTAATTGAAAGGGAGGCTGAGGAAGAGGAAGATATCCTAAATAATTCTTTGGGTATACACAAAAAATGTCCTTTCAAGCCTTCCCCAAAAGAAGTTGTAGCCCTGGTATTAGTGAGGAAAAGAAAATATCCAGAATTCACAGAGGTTGGGACACAGAAGCCCTGGATTGCTGCTATTCCCTGGAGACACAAAAAGAAAAGTCACCATGTTCCCCCGATTGTATTGGAGTCCCATTTAAGAGTATGAGATAAATGGATGTTTGGTGTGAATCTGTGTATAGTGGGTCCAGTGGGTACACACTCGCATCTAGTGGCTATTTCCCCATTTCCTCAGTCTGTAGTTGTAATGGGCATCCTCAGTGTTTCCAATAGGGTCCAATTAGGAAAGCAAAAAAAAAAAAAAAAAAAAAAAAACCTGTTATTTGAAGCAGAGGTATTTCTCTCAAAGTGAAGGGGCCAAATTATAGATCCTCTTTCATGATTGCTTTTCATCTCTGAAACTAGACGCTTTGCTGATTAGACGTGCCCAAGGGCAAAATGCTCCAGTGGAGGTCACAAAAATGGCCTCAGATAATTAAAATAAAACATGACCACTAGGATGTATTTGGCTCCCTACACCCCTAAACCAATAGGCAGAGAAAAAAATCACACTTTCAGCTGAGATTAATCCCCATAATTTCTTCAGGTGGAGATTATGTTGCTGTTACACAATAGAACGGGGGAGACTGTATCTAAATCCCCTGATTTTTTTTAGTTCAATTTTCATTAGCAAAGGATGATAGAAGACCATAGAAACCCAATAATGGCAGAAAAACTATGGGCTCAGACATATGCAGCATAAAGTTTTGGGTTCTCCTACCTCTAAATAACCCTGACCAAATCTTAAGGAGGCACGTTACAACCTGACAGGCTGGGTTGCTCATTCTCAGGGAATTCTGATCTGAGATGAATTCAAAGACTAATAGGACTTTGTGTACCCATTCTTTGAGGAGAGGGTAAGATTACTATTATTTTCTGTTTTTGAAGGTGAAGACATAAATACATTAAATGGTAGTAACATATGGAGAGAAGAAAATACATGCCAAAAATCAAAAGAAATAAAATGTTCCAGTACATTACCTATATCAACAATGAGAAAGCTTTAATTCTCTCTGTTTTAAATGTTTGAGGTGGTTTCGAGTTCCTGGTTGGATCATGACTGATATCGAACTCATATAACAAAAACATCCAACATACTGAATGCTTTCTGAACCCTTCATCTGAAAGTTGCCTTTCTAATTAAAATTGTAAAATCTGTTTCAGACCATGAGGTACCTATTTCCCCACGGAGAACATATTTGAGACATATATGAAAATCGGAGGAGATAATGCACTCGCAGAGAACTTCTAATCCTGTTCTACAAAAGTCCAAAGAAGGAGCAAATAATGCCAACTTCACTTTTCTTGTTTTCACATCAATAAAGACATTGATTTTAGTGTCACACTAGCACTGTATTCTCTCCCATATTTTAAATGTTAATCAACCTGGGATTAATTGGTAGCTCCAAGTGATATCGATCCAAGACCTTGTCTGTGAAGACTCTTGGAAGTGCAAGATTTCATTGGACAACTTCCCTTGCATCTCTGTAGGAGCAAATGCAGTGTGCAACATAAATTCTTTCACTAATTATTTCTTGGGTGAGGATTTTAGAGTTGGTAATAATGGTTAATTATAATATATATGGCACATTTTTTAATATTTTAAGTTTTATTTCAGTATGTATTTTCTGTTATATGAGTATCCTGAAAGAGAATTTACTAAGGCACTGACTCCTACAGAGAAACTCAACCAGTTTCACTTAGAAACTTTAGAAAAGTATTAAGTATTAATACCTCCTAGGCTGTTTTATTCTCCCCTAACCCTCATATCTGCAGTCTGAGCCTGCCCGTGCAGCCAGTCGTAGCACTATGTCATGCTATATTAACTCCCCTGCATATTCAAACTTTTACTTTCACATAAGGGTGTGTTGAATGCTTACAACTAGTGAGGGATTCTTTTTTTTTTTTTTTTTAGGCGGAGTCTCTCTCTGTCGCCCAGGCTGGAGTGCAGTGGCAGGATCTCGGCTCACTGCAAGCTCCGCCTCCCGGGTTCACGCCATTTTCCTGCCTCAGCCTCCCGAGTAGCTGGGACCACAGGTGCCCACCACCACGCCAGGCTAATTTTTTGTATTTTTTAGTAGAGACGGGGTTTCACCGTGTTAGCCAGGATGGTCTTGATCTCCTGACCTCGTGATCTGCCCGCCTCCGCCTCCCAAAGTGCTGGGATTAGAGGTGTGAGCCACCGTGCCCGGCCACAAGTGAGGGATTTTAAACGTCATTATTCATAAGGATGTTAGACTGGTGTAAAAAAAATTGTAATCTACACAATGACAGATTTCAAATCAGAAGGCACCAAAAATTTAATTTTTAACCAAGATATCAGGGAAATATTTCCCAGGTAACCTATGAACAGCAGTTTAAGAGACATTGGCTTAGATAACAGAAATCTCTCCAGCCTGGGATTTGCAATACCAAGTTAAAAGGATTACAGCTCTTGTCCCATGGAAAATGTGGTTAAACAGGGCAGAGGGCTTGAAATATATTGATACCATACTCCTATCAGAAAGATTTTGGGCTCACGTTTCTAATCTGTGTATGTTAATTTAATTACTCTCTCTCTCTCTGTATATATATATATATAGCACCTTATATTAACAAGTTACACACATTTTAGTAAAACAAAAATGAATTAGGCAACTACAGACAAAAGCAAAATAAAGGGAAAATTCTATGTATTTTTCACCTACAAATAGATAACTCTGTGCTCCGTGGGAGTGTGTACAACACATTGGTGACCATGGATCTGATATTGGATCACATGATAAGTTAATTGTGGAATAATGTAGGACACTTAAAGTGATTTTACCAGTGGCAGCAAAGGGTTCAGAATGTTATGAAACAACAGAAAAATACTTTCAACCAAACTAGAAAGAAAAAGTTGGAGGTTGCTTCCAAAATCATGAGAACTGGGACTTAATGAATAAAAAGCCGGGAGCCATTACAAGACAAACACACATGAGACAAAGAGGGACTCAAGATATATAAACAACTCATTTTGATGAGTCACGACATAAGAGGCCAAAGTAGCAAGAATTTAAATTCTAAAGAAAAGCGTAGTCAGAGGACTAACTACTCATCGTGACATGTTAGAGTCTGAATCCTATCCTGTTCATGGTGGGAAACATTGAAGCATTCTTAGAAGAGAGGTAGTGTGGTCAGGATAATATTTTAGTTACTTCTATAGATGAAGGATTTGAGGAGAATGTGATTGTTTTAGTCAGGGTCCTCTCCAAATCTGAATGCCTCAAAACCATGGAAGCTGACAGTGCAGCCTTCAGTCTGTGTCCAAAGGCCCGAGAGCCCCTTGGGTCTGCTGGTCCAAGTCCCAGAATCCAAAGCCCAAAGAGTCTGAAGTTTGATGTCCAAGGGCAGGAGGAGAGGATGCAAGCATCTGACACAGGAAGAGAGAGAGAGTGAGAAGGTGTAAGCAAGCTCTACACATGAGACAAATAGGTAATTAAGAATATAAGCAGTTCGGTTTGATGAATCATGGCATGAGGGGCCAAAGTAGCAAGAATTTAAATACTGAAGGGAAGTGTAGTCAAGTTGCTTAGCCCTTCTTCCAGAAGCTTTGTTCCAGCCTCACTGGCAGCTGATTGGATGGTGCCCTCCTACATCATCCTCAACGGTGAGTCTTTCCCTCCCAGTCCACGGACTCAAATGTTAGTCTCCTCTGGCGAAGCCCTCACAGACACACCAAAAAACAACACTTAACCAGTGGTTATGGTTTGGCTGTGTCTCCAACCAAATCTCATCTTGAACTGTAACTCCCATAATCCCCATGTTTGGTGGGAGGGACTGGGTGCAAGGTAATTGAATCAAAGGGATGGGTTTTCTCGGGCTGTTCTGATAGTGTGTAAGTGTCACAAGATCTGATAGTTTTATAAAAGGGGAGTTCCCCTGCACAAGCTTTCTTACTTGCCCTGTAACACATGCCTTTCGTCCTCCTTCCTTCACCTTCCACCATGATTGTGAGGCTCCCCAGCCATGTAAAACTGCAAGTCCATTAAACCTCTTTTTCTTTATAAGTTACCCAGTCTCAGGTATTTCTTCACAGCAGTATGAAAATGGATGAATACACCAGCCTTCTAGGCATCCATCAATCCAGTCAAGTTGACACCTAATATTAATCATTACAGTGATTGTATATCAGAAAGTAATTCAGAAGCTGCTGCATGACTTAAAGCAAGAAATGAGTGCCTGAACTGGGACAGTGGAAGGGCTGGGAACTTCACAGAAGAGAGGGTATGAATGTGAGAAAATAGCAGAGAAAAGGGTGACTCCAAAGTTCCTACCTTGCTCTACTCACTGCTTGGCAGTGCCAAAAAATGAAATGAGGCCTGTATAAGATTTTATGAGGGAAGAGGAGATGTGAAAGGAAGACAGGACATGTTTGGGCCTTCTGAATTTGTGGCTTTTATAGAGAATCCAAAAGGAAATAGCCAACAAACTTTTGGTTTTCGAAGCTCAGAAAACAGTCTGGAGGCTTGAAACATATATTTGGGAATTCTGTATATAAACATATTTGAAGTCATGGTGGTAGATTGAATCACCCAGAGGAAGTGTGTGGATTAAGAAGACTTGTCAGAGAAGAGAGCCCAAGAAAGAGACAGAGAAGAAATGATCAGAAATGTTGACGATAAATCAAGAATGTGTGGCGTCATGAAAGTCAAGCAGAAGGCAGTATTTTGATACTGCTACAGAGTGATAAGATTAAAAATAATGGAAGTGTAACTGTAGGATTGGGACGGTATGGGGGAAAAATGTTATTGATGTCAGTAGAAGAACAGTTTTAGTAGACTGGTGATTCAACAGTCAGACTGCATTGAGTTGAGGAGCAAATAAATTATGTGGTGTTGTATCTGGGAAATGAAGATTATTCTCAAGAGATGTAGGTGAAAAATTGAAAACGTTAACAAAAGGGTATGTAGGAATTGTTTTTGACTCAGGATATACATATATAGTAAGCAAGGTAAGCAAGTTTCTAGTTGAAAAGAAAATAGCAATAGCAATATAGCTTAATTGATGAAATAATTGGTAAGACAAGGTTTTAGAAGAGGTAAGAAGAAATGAGACCAAGGGTAAAAATAAATGATTTTACCTATAAAACTAAAAAAAAATTAGAAAAGACACCCTTCTCCTCCTTCTCCTCTTCTGTTTTCTGTTTTTTTTTGGGGACAGTCTCACTCTGTCACCCAGGCTGGAGTGCACTGGTGCAATCTTGGCTCACTGCAACCTCTGCCTCCTGGGTTCAAGTGATTCTCCTGCCTCAGGCCCCTATAGCTGGGATTACAGGTGCCCACCACCATGCCCAGCAAATTTTTGTATTTTTAGTAGAGACAGGGTTTCATCATGTTGGCCAGGCTGGTTTCAAACTCCTGACTTCAGGTGATCCTCCCCACTCGGCCTCCCAAAGTACTGGAATTGCAGGCGTGAGCCACCGTGCCCAGCCACCTTCATCTTCTGAAATGCAAAAAAGGAGGGTCCTGGAGTTTTGGAAAAGATTTCCTATGAAAAAATAGAAGTTAGAGAAAGTCAGTAAAAAAAAAAAATCAATTAATTGTAAAAATAGAAATTCAATTTATTTGCTAAAAGTGAAACAAATAGGAATTAAATAAGTGGAAGAGACACAGGGGTAATGACATTCAGGAAGAGTCAGGGATGGAAAATGCACAAGCCCTAATAGAAGTGTAAGCCTAAGGATGGGTGGGAGGGAGGCGAGCACAAGTCGGGGATGATTTATTGGCACAAATCTGCAATGTTGATTGATTTTTTTCCAGCAAATTTTAGCTGATTGGGTAAAGTAATAGGGAAAGAAGAATTTATAGTTAGTTTTTGCTGTGCAAATGATGAAAAAGGATAAGATTTCAAGAGAATCACATTTTCTAATAAAAGATTAGATGAATAATCATGGGGTACGATAGCATGTATTAATGACTTTTTCTATTTTAATATTTGGTGATGTCAGCTGTTTTGAGCTCTATAAATCCTATTAAATGAATACACACACATTCAGTTTTCTCGTTGAAATCTAAAAACTTAACAAGCCAACATTAAAATCCGTAACAAATGCTTGTAAAAAAACAAAAAAAAACTTTTTAGTTAAATTTTATCAATATAAATTAATGACAGTATAATTCTCAATGTCTCACTTTCTGTTACTGTTTATATTCAACTCATCATTGATTACTATTGACATTTGCTATTTTTTTCATATTTCTAATACTCACTGCAAAATTTTCTATTTATAGCAGAAGAGAACTAGCTTCAGATTCAAGGGATTTTAAGTTCAAATTCTGTTTCTTTATCTGAGATTTTAAGACACAAGATTTAAACATATGTGAACATGCACACTCATACACACATATGAATGTGTATGTATGTGTATATTTACTATATATACAATGTATAAATATACATGTATATATAAATATACACCTAAGTAAATTTTATATGTAATATTTATATATTTATACATAGTCTTAATATTTTTCTTCTTGACAGTATTATCATTATCCTTCTCCTCAGCATTGTTGTCTTGGTTCAGGAACAAACCAGCAAGTTCCAGCTGTCCTCCTGTCTGTTGAGAGACATAATCTGCCAGGGATCTTGAGCATGCCTGCATGTTTTTACTAGTTATGCAAAAAATGCAAGGCTCTGACAACTCTTAGGCCATTTCTCAAGGTTGTATTTGAGAGATGAGCTGGCTTTTTTCCACTTCCCATAAACACTGTGAATCTCTCTGACTCAATATTACTCTCCTGTAATGCAAGTCAGTGTGTGCAGCTATCCATAATAGTTTTCTGTAGACCTCATGGGACATGCGCTGGGAAGAGGGGGCATAGGGAACCAATACAAATGAACTTGAAGTTCTGGGCACTCATTTTGCCAAGAGTGATAAACTTATTTGCTACTGACCCCGGCATCTCATCTTATTTGTAAAAAGGGTAAAATCCTAGAATCTACACAGTACTTTACAGCATCCATCATTATACCCCTCTTATCTATAGTCCACATTACTGGCAGGATGATATTTCCAAAGGTAAATTGTACCTTATGTTCACTTATTTAAAATATTTCCATGACTCTTCATTGCTTATAGGAGCTGCTTCTGTAGCTTTGTTTATAATGTTGTTAACTTGTGTCTCACTTGAACTAGAACTATATATTTATAAGTCTATCTATATATATACCTTAAATTAGGTATTATTGTGTAATATCACATAATGCACAGCCTAAACTGCTTCTGAAGTGAACTGAGTTGGTAATATAACAAGTATAATATAATGAATGAAGGCATTGGTATTAAAATGAAAATGAAGATAAGTGCAGAATAATATATTTCTTGTCTAGTTGATGAAAAAATAAGTAAAATAAATTAAATCGAATTCTTATATTTCTTATGTACAGAGATATTGTGTTCAATTTAAATATTGTGTTGTATAGAGTATGTGTCCCAGTAATTCTTGGTTTTATCTGAAATTTGTTAATTTCTCAAATAAATATAGAAAGAAGGCAAAGAATGACTGAGTCTTATTTTCACATTTTTTAGTGAAGACTAGTTTAAGTCATACCTACCACTGTTTATAGCTGTCATTTGGACAAACTACCCTGCAGTTATGTTTAGCTTACAGTGTAACTAATTTAATTTTTATCTTGACATCATTTAAACATGACACATGAAATTATCTTCTTCAAAACATCTGATGTGGCATTTTAATTTCCTGGGGTGAAGCGTCTGCGTGTCATGTTTTGCATCTGACTTCCTTACATGAATCAGTCTACCATAACCAGGAGCAAGCACTGAAAGTTTCCTCTTGGATACTAAGACTTCCAAGCCCAACAAGACCAGATAAATCAAGAAATCAAGACCAATTTCTTCTTGAAAGAGGCAAGAAGCAATTTTTGAGTATGTCATTAGTGATAAGGGGTACTCACTTTACTCTTTGATTCCTGAACACCTATATGTAACTTATAGGAAAGAAAACTGTATGTGTTGGTAACTGGTTAGAAACACATAACTCATTTTCAAAATAATAACTCAGTTTATAATGTAATCTTTCTCTAGCAGTGCCATATAAAAATTGTCTATAGCTCATTCTATCAATTCATTAGTCAATCTGTGTTGGGATTGAACCTGTGAATCCCACATATATCAGTTCATGGATTCCTTTCTTTGGCTGGTAAATGACTATTTTGGCTGAAATTAATATAGAGTGAAATGTATTGATAGTGTGTAATGTACTGAAATGGTGATTTTAGAAAAATCATGAAGGCCAGAGAAACCAAATTCAAACTTATGTAAGTAATTATTTTGTAAGAATGAGTTTTTGGGTCAAACATAATGTAATGGCTATACAGGATAACAGTTTTCCTTTCTGCATAGTGCCACATCCAAGAACAGGATTGGTTGCTGTTATGAGGAAATTGAAGGCTGAAAATGAAGGACTTGACTGGGGGAATCTATGCTGCCCACACTATGTATAGCTTCTAATTTTATACCATGCCTGCTTTATACATGAGCACAGTAAACAGCACACTGTGTGGCAGAGAGAAGGTGGAGGATTCATATACACAGAGTCATCATGCTGCCCAACAGATTGCACAGAATATCTTTTTAGTGGGGAACTTTGGATGAGCATTTATATGCATTTTGAGATTTTCACTCATTGAGACTATATTAAAATTAGCCTTCCCCTGATACACTTTGACCAATCCTCAACCTTGCTTTTCTTTTGCATCTAGTGAGTCCATTAACCACTGACAAACAAGTAACAATTACATGTATTAAGTCATGAATATTCTCTACCATAGACACTCTTCCTAGGTTAAGGCTGTCATGCAGAGTCATTTATAAGCCAGTTTTGACATATACATTTTTGTCAAATAAAAGTAGCAGTAGCATTTTTCAGGATAACATTGGTAAAAGATGATAAGAATATATTCTTGCTTTGAGAAATTCTGTGCATGCCACCTCTGAGCAATGAAATATTATTATTGGTTTAATGTGTCTTTTGCTTGTTTGTTTCCCTCCCCCAGAAACATCCTCTGCCTTCTCTGCCTCATTCTGCTGTGCTGGAGGTGACAACTACAGAATCCATCTCCTGGAGCGTCTCACACTTTGGCCTCTTTTTGGATTTGACGGATGGAAGATGTTCATAGGAAATCAGAGGACAGTGGGAAACCGAACCCAGGGATTTTGTAATATTTTTCCCTTAATTATCTCAACACTATTTTGCCAGTTGCTGCATTCTTCTACATTTATAACTCCTGTTTGGAAGTGCCTACCTCAACCATCACCTTTCAACTGGGTTCTTATAAAATGATCCTTCCTTTGACACTTCTGACCTAGGATTCTAAAAGTTCCCTGCTACTGCACCTAGGTACTTGTTGATAGCTTATTCCTGAACATGCCTCCTTAAATATTTGCTATATTAAATGATCTTTGCTACCTTGTTAAATTTGCAACATTAAATTCTTTTGAGTATATATTGTCTTATGCTAATATCTTGCCTAATACATAGACTCTGCCAACATTTATCACTGAGCAGTTCATGAATGGAGGTCAATCCAAAAGATATCTATTACATTGTAATTTTTGATTGAAAGAGTTAGCATTGGAAAAACTTTATAATGTCCCAGATATTTGCAATGTGTTTCAAATATTTCTTTAATAATATCGAATAATATTGCTATAATTTGGTGACTATTGTGTTAACAAGGATGACAATTATTAATTCATAATATATACTAATCCATATCACTTATCATTCTTCATTAACATGTGCTACTTTCTTCTCGGTTATAAAAACAATCTTCCCTATGTAAATGTAGTACACATATGGCAATGTTAATAAATGAACAATTGCAGAGTGCTAAACCAATAGGAATACATTTACTTTCTCCCAAACATGTGTTCTGTTTTGTGTGTAAAATTCTGGTAAATCATTGCTGGGGCAATACCATTTACGTAATCACAGTACAACATAATTACTAGGAAATCTTTGTTTTTAGCATGTAATTTTTGGAACTAGGCATTGACATATATTATAAATTTAGTAGAAATCCTGCAAAATTTTAAGTAATATAAAAGAGTGCAGAATTGTGGTAGAAAATAGTAGCAGTGGCCCTCATAATATCCAAGAATACTAATACTAGTATTAAGAAGAAGGAGGACAATATGAGAGAGGAGGCAGCGAGGAGAAAATATTTTTTTTAAAAGCAAACTTACAAAGAATTGACAAGTTACTTGACAATGTAAGAGTGGCCTGTATTCTTTGTCTCATTTATCCATACAAACAGACCTAAGATTTAGGTACAATTATTATGCTTATAACATGAAGGTCTGAGTGACAGAGATAGATGAGAAGATGAACCAACTGAGGGTACAGAGGGGATGGGTTACTTGTTCATCCAGTCTGTTGGTATTGGAGCCACAACCTTGCACTGATCTCAGATCATAGTGGTAATTAACCTTGTCATTTTTATATTTTTGAAATTCAATTATTCTGCTGTGTTTTATCTCCTATATTTTAAAACTATTTTTGCTAATTTTTCAGGCGGACTGCATGGATCTATTGGCCCTGAAAATTTTTTACTGTTTGATCACCTCTTTTGTTCTACTATTTCCTTGCTCAGCTAGTTTAGATAGTATGGTTGTTTGTTCATGATTATAATCAATCCTATGTTTATATTCTCATTTTTTCTTTTCTTTTTTGAGACAGGATCTCACTCCTGTCACCAGGCAGGAGTGCAGTGGCATGATCACAGCTCACTGCAGCCTCAACCTCACAGGCTCAAGCGATGCCCCCACCTCATTTTTTATTTTTATTTTTTGTAGAGACAGGATTTCCCCATGTTGCCTAGGCTTGTCTGGAACTCCTGGGCTCAAGCCATCCTCCTGCCTCAGTTTCCCAAAGTTCTGGGATTACAGACATCAGTCATCGTGCCCTGCCCTCATTTTTGCTGAAAAAGAAGCAAAGATAAATTCTGCTTCTTTGTAAAGCCAATCCTCTCTCTTTGCTCTGTTTACTCACTTGACTGAACACATAAATAAACAATAAATCAATTCACATTAAACTCAGGTTACTTTTCAATGTCTCCTTACTCCAAAATTCTTCTAAAAGCTGTTCAATGTGGCTATAGAAAACATACAAACAGCTGACTGATTTAATGACCCCACGCTTAACGTGGACCATTGGTTCTGGTTGCTACTTCATAGTTCTCTTGTTAAATCATATTCCTATTCTTTTCTGTATCTTCTTTTCTCAGTCTTCCTGTACTTCTACATCAAAGTCCATCTCATCTTTATCTGAGAAAACAAGTAATTTTGAAAATCTTAGTTTCCTTTTAACCATACTTACTTACTCTGACATCTTTGTGCTTATCATAGAGAAAATGTGCTTCTTTCTAAATCCAATCCCCCCAACTTGTACACTATACCTCAACACCTCTCACCTACCCAAAACATCACTCCAAAATTGGCTACTACCCTCACACACATCATCAATTTTTAAGCAACCTTTTGAGTTATAATTACACATAGTAAAATGCACCCATTTTGTTATGTTTTGACAAAGGTATACGCTTTCGTAACCATCACCATAATGAAGAAATGTAATATTTCTATCATCCCAAAAAGTATTCTCCTGCCCTCTGTAGTCAATTTCCCTCAATTGTGGCCTCAGACGATCACTGATGTGCTTTTTTTAACTGGGAATTAATTTTACTTACTCATGAATATAAAAAAAGTAGAAACATACAGTTTCCAGTCTTTTGTGCATGGCTTAATTTTTTTCAGTATGTTTGAACTCCATCTGTATTTTTATGTGTATTAGAAGCTTATGTCATTTTTGTGATGTAATGCATGGCATTGTATGGACACTTCACGATATTTTTCTTTTCATATGTTGATGGACATTTGGGTTGTTTACAATTCTTGGCTACTGTGAATGAAGTTTCTACAGGCATTCTTTTACATATCTCCCTATGGTTATATGTATTCATGGCTTTTTTGTGGGTACCAAGGAGAGGATATTTGGGATCAAATAACAAGTATGGTGTGAGTTAAAAGTCAAAGTTTATTTTTTAGCAAAATATCCTGTTCATCTACATTATTTTTTGAAAAGCACTTTCCCCATTGAATGACTTTGGTGCCTTTTTCAAAAGTATTTAAAAATATATGCCTGACTCCATTTCTGTATTCTTTATTCTGTTCCATTGATCTATATGTCTCTCTTAATACAACTACAAGATTCACTTGATCAGTGTAGCTTTAAGGTATGTCTTTAAATCAATTATTAGAAGTCCTGTGACATATTTTATTTTAAAAATTGTTTTGGGTAGTTGAGGTTCTTTTCATGAGTCGTCATATTACTTCTGAGAATTTCAATGAAATCTTGTCGAATCCATAGATCAATTTTACTAGAATTAACATCACAACAACACAGAACTTTCCATTCCATAAAATTCATGTATGTGTCCATCTTATTTGTATTTTATTAAGTAGATTTTAGTGACATTTTGTAAATTTCAGTGAAATGGTCTTGACTATGTTTTGTTAAATTGATTTTAAGTTCTTCATGTTGGTCAAGATATTGTATATGGTAATTGAAAATTTATTTTTGTTATTTGTTACTAGTGTATAGAAATATATTTTTGCATATTTACCTTATATACTATGATCTAGAAATTTATTTATAAATTCTAGCATCTTAGGCTTTCTATGCATATTTTATATCATCTGTGAGTAAAGAAAGTTTTGTTTATTTTCCTTTCAAGTCGTTTAGCCTTTAATCCTTTTCTTGCTTTATTTCTCTGGCTATGCCCTCTAGTAAGATAGGGAAGAAAAGTGATGAGAGCATATATCCTTGCCTTGTTGCTGATATTACAGATGACAAGTTCTGTTTTTCAGCACTAAGTGTAATGATGGCTATAGATTTTTCTTTTTCAAAGATTACCTTTACTAGGTAGGGGAAGTTCCCCCCAATTTTAGTTACTATCTCTTTTGTTTTGCATGTGCATATTTAGTCATGAATGAATGATACTTTTTTAAATGCTTTTCTTTATCGATTTAGATCTTCATACATATGATCTTTTTTAGGAATAAATGGTGAATTACATTGATTGAGTTTTAAATGTTAAACCAAACTGGCATGACTTTGATAAGCCCAATTATTTATGATGTATTAATATTATTATGTATTGATCAATTTGGTCTGCTATTATTTTCTTAAGAATTGTAGTGTCTATGTTAATGGGGAATGTTATTATTTCCCCCATACCATAGCCCAAGGTCCATTTGTTGAACATTTGTAGAATAACTTTTCTATGGCCTTTGCTTCTATGTAAAGTCTTCAAATACAAATATATATATATGGTTTATATATTTATACAAAATTAACAAACAATATTAATTTGTACAAGATTATATATATGTAATTTTTAACTCTTACTTTCTAACCTGTGTCCTTATATTAAAAACATTTTTACACCTATAATTGGATATTCTTCTCTTATTTAATCTTATTTGAACTTTTACTTGGAGTTTAGAATATTTACATTAATGTGACTGGTGATTCTTGTGTTACATAATCATCTTGCTATTTGTTTCTTAACAGGACTATTTATTCTTTGTTCCTTTTTTTTCTCTTTCCTGCCATTTTAGGATTAATTGTGTACTCTTTAGTATTCAATTTTAGTCTTATCTCTTTTGACAAATTGTGAATGGTAATTTTTTTAGTCAATTATTCATTTTTTTCAAGTTGTCAAATATATTTCCATACAATTTGGCAAATTATTCTCTTGGAATTTCAAACATTTATCTTGCTGCTGTGCCTGTTTCTCTTTTTTATTTTTTAAACCTCTTTATGAAAGTAAGACTAATAGATAAAATGCTGTACATATTTAATGTGCACTTCATTATACATTTAGTTTCTCCTTTGATAGCTTTAATCTTATTTGTTTTTCTCATTTTCATAAACATTTTGTTAATTTTCCTCTGAGAAAGTTATTTAATGAATTTAACAAATGAATTCATTTCTTTTAATATCTTCATTATTATTTCCTTCTACTCTTCTTATTGTTCACTTTTTCTAAGTTTATTTATTTGAATAGGTAATGCAAGTTAATGTAATGTGCTCAAGACAAACTTACAGCCTTAAAAACTTATATTACTAAATATAGCATAAAAGGTGCATATAGTTTTTAAAACAATCTTCTGATTCCAAATATAAGAAACAAACATTCTAAATATCCTCTGAAAGCTCACTAGTGATTATTTTATTTAACAAGTAAGAATATAACTTTTAAAGGACAATTTCAGGCACAGCAAATACACAACCACTATATGAATGAATGTAGCAATGACATGCCTTTGTTGTCACTAACTTCCATTTACGTGTCTATAAAATGAAGATGATGCCAGTCTCCGTGGTTTATTGTGATGAGGAAAGAATAATAATCTTAATAGTAATAGTGTTAGTAGTAGTCTCAGCAGCACTTTTATATTACATACAATGTCTTAGACACATTCTATGCTTTTAAAATACAACATTCCTGATTTCAGTAAATATTACTTTCTTTTCTTCTTTCATTTTAAACATTTCATCAACTTAACAATTACACTACGCAACTGAATTGTAAAACAGTTGATTATCAGATTTTTGGCCAGAGTATTCTGTCAATTTAAAGCTTTTACAAAGCACATATAAGCATCTACCTCATCTCACAAAGTTCTATTAACTTACTTAACTAGCCCTAAAAAAGATAAAATTGGAATGAGAGCACATATTCCTTGTTACTCAGTAGGCTATCCTTGCTTATGCTTGCCATCATGCTTAATTAGAGATTTAAAGATATGTTCCTTGAGAATTACATTTCTGTCAACTACTGTCATTCAGTTCTTGATTTCACGTCACTCTTGAGTAATATAATACTTGACAATCTTCTGACAGAATCCCAACTGTCAGTCTACTCTGCTGATTGCTAGTGCATCCCTTCAACCTAATTAAATATTTATTATTTTCACCAGACTAAAGATACCCCTTGCTGTTTCAGTCAACTTTAGCCCTGAGATGCCCAAGTATAATAAGGCTATATTTTTTCTCTGAGCTCATCCAATTTTTTTCTCCACATGGCTAAGACGGAATATCTTTGGTTTACTCTAAGAAGACAAGGTTTATTCTATATACCAAAGTTCTTAAGAGAATGTCCAGCAATTTATGTCATACAGTATAGATGTTATAGCATTGTATATATAAAACAGGATTATCAGTTTTTAATATAATGGAATACATGGAAGCGGGTTGACTAATTTCAATAAGGAGCCTCTGCTCTTTTGGATATCTAATTTTTAAGATCAGATATGGACATAAATGTAAACTCTTACCAAAAAAATGAGGTAGACCAACACATAATTTTCTTTCACTGTACATCACAATATAGATATGCATATGGAAATATGATATTAGTATTTATGTTTTTTGTTGCTGTCTTGACTGTGGTTTATTTTTTAATCTCTTAATGGTCCTAAAATTTTCAAAAAGAAGAATCTCGGCCAGGCGCAGTGGCTCATGCCTGTAATCCCAGCACTTTGGGAGGCTGAGGCGGGTGGATCACAAGGTCAGGAGATTGAGACCATCCTGGCCAACATGGTGAAACCCCGTCTCTACTAAAATTACAAAAATTAGCTGGGCGTGGTGGCGTGTGCCTGTAGTGCCAGCTATTCAGGAGGCTGAGGCAAGAGAATCACTTGAACCTGGGAGGCGGAGGCTGCAGTGAGCTGAGATTGCGCCACTGCACTCCAGCCTCAGCAAAAGAGCGAGACTCTGTCTCAAAAAAAGAAAAAAAAAAAAAAAAAGAAGAAGCAGAAGAAGAAGAATCTCATTTGTAGAGTGATGCTCACACTGTATATGTCTGCAATTGCTTTACAAAATTTCCGGTACCTTAGTGATCTTGAAAGCAAACTTGAAACAATAAGTCCTATCAATGCCTTATATTTTTATTTTAGAGAGAAATTAGTCTACGGATAGAATCTTATTTTTCTACAATATTCTAGCACGTGGTTTTATTGATGATACTAGAAAAATGAATGATTGCGATCTCCAATAGCACCTGTCTCTGTCTCCAACACCTGGGAGCACATGCATTTATGTACAGACACACACATAACACACACATTTCTGCAAATACTTGAATCCAGGAAAGTTATGCTTTGTTAATGATAAGGGAACTATTCTCTTCAAGTTGTTTATTTCAAATAATCTCAACAGGACAGCAATGGCACTTCACTCACTATTGTACACAGAAGGAAAAGGAAGAGAAGGAGGACAAGAAAGAACAGAAGCATTATTCAGTCCTGATATATGTAATGCATGTTTAAGGAATAATATATATTTTAAGGAATAATGTATGGTAGCATCTATTACATTTGCTTCTGCTAACTAAATTAGGTGCTTACCTGTGTATTCCCTCCCAAATATTACACAATAGAAGGTGCTTGATTTTCTAAGTCTGAAATAATCTCTGTTCAAATTCCTTTTTTTGTTGTTTTTGTTTTATGAACAAATTAAATCTCAATTCCAAGCAGCCATTTCTATTGTCTTTGGAAGATACCTACAATAACAAATTACATTTTTTAACTTGAGAGAAATACTTGGATGAAAATCACCAGCAGAACTGGCAGGAGTTAACAGAATGTACATCTATAATACTTGCCTGATGAAGGAATTGCCTTCACACAATAGTTAAAAATGCAACAAACCAGCTCCAATCACTGGTGGAAAAGTCAATTATAACCAATAAGCAACATATATATTATTTAAGAAGGTGCTGGATTTATCTGACTGCTGTAGACAGCAGTGATTTTAATTCTATAGAACCACTTGAAAAAGATGTGCAAATGCCACCTGGAAAAATTTAGGAAAATACGCATTTTTGAAATTCTGGAAGACAATATGTATTAACAACAGGTACATATTAAATATGACAAATATATCTTGAAGTAAATGGTTCATAAAATGATTTCACATACAATTTTAAGAGTTTGATGCCATCACTTATTATAAGTAAAAAAAATTAAGATATAAATTAGAGAAAGCAATCAGGGGATTTGTGGCATACTCAGTCTTTTACTTCTAGGTCACCAGTTCAGATTTGAGTCAGGTTAGTAATGACAAAAAGTCATTAACCTCAGTGACTGTTTTTGGCCCATGTGAAATGAGCTTGTACCTTCAGCCTAGATTGCAAAATCTGCTCTAATAATTGGAATCAAATAAGAACCCCCTGAGAAGGCTAACATTTGTGTCTTTTATTTCATCTTAACCTATACTACTACATACATCTAGGGGATGTCTGCCACATACAAATGAGACAGAATCTTCCTACATGATCCCTACATATGTAAAAACTTTAGTGCCCTAGTTTCCTTATCTAAGGTATACAAAGTAAAAGTCTTCCAATATGCCATGAGTTAAAATTTACTAAAGACAGGAAGTATGTACAATTTTAGTTCTCAGATACATAATTTTAAGAAGAAAGCATAACTCAAAATGTAATATGGAAATTATTACCATATTTATTTCTCGCTACCACTGTGATTTGAACAATCCTCCTATATATAAAAATAAACACAGATCAACAGAGAATTATATAAAAAGTGAGCATGATGTCTTAACTGAAAGTTAAGAGGCTATTGAATCTTGGTAATGATCAACTGTAATATGAAAAATTGCTGTTAAGCTTGACAGACCTCAAAATAATAATTACAATTTTTCTTAATGTAATAAGGCACTGATGAATTTGACTAATAATAACCAAAACTTAAAGCTAATTTATTCATTTTCAATAATATATATAACTATCTTGAGTATTGAAATACATACTTGTGCTGATAAAATCCACCCAGACCAGTACCAAATATAACATTAGAGGTAGAGGGAATTAATATACTACTACCAATATCAGGGTAGTGCTGGGCTGTTTGCAACATTATTTCATTTAACACTCAGAAGACCTATTGTATTATTTTGTCTATTTTATTATACAAAATAACTTTTAGAAAGGATGAATGTGCTCTGAAATATAACCATATGATGGTAGATTTTCTTTTTTTATTATTTTTAAATTTTTTTGTCAGCAAGATGGTTGACTAGAGGCAGCTGGAAGGAACATCTAAGAGGGACCAGGACGTGAGGAAGAGAATGAAGCTGGACGTAGGGAAGGCACAGATGCTGTGAGTGGGGAGGAAGCTGGAAACCTTGTATGAGAGTACTATGCACTGGGACTTTTTACTAGTCCCCAGTGACTCCTGGAGTAGGGATGAGTCAAGCAGGTGAGGAGCAACCCACTCTTACCACGGATCTCTGGAATCCTGACAATAGGAGACCCCAAGGCCCCCACAGACACTTGAGCTGGCAGGGAGGCTGCTTAGACAGGTGGTAGGGGCAGGACTCTAGCCTGTGTGGAGCCCAGAGGGCTTGGAGTGGGAATATTTGCAGGGAGCACAGCCTGGGACACCTATCCCCCAAGGCTCACAATGCTCACCTAGGACACTCTAGCCTTGGGGGAACTGTTGGATCTCAGCAGAGTAGGGTGATTTTGCTGGTGAGATGGGGCCAGTTTGACATGAGCACCCTTCTGTCTGCTGGCCTCTTCCAGGGCTCCAGGCTGGTGGTGCCTGCTTGCGTGAGCAGGCAGCCTCAGATGTCCAGCCTTAGTGCCTCCAGGGACCCACATCCTAACTCCTGTGCTGGCAGGCAGCATCTGACTATTGAAGAACTCCAGCGGCGTGGCCCCTGCCAACAGACCTGAGCCCATCTGCACCTTTCCCTCACTGCCGCCTCCCACATGCTGCTCTGCCAGCACACACTCACCCATGGCCACCCCTTCATTGCTTTGCTGCTGTGCATGTACATGGACAGGCCTTGCCTCCCCTTCCACATTGGCTCATGTGTGTGTGTGTGAACCCTACTGTGCCATTGCTACCAGAGTGAGTGAACTCACTCCTCACCCTGCTGCTGTGCCATTTTGCCACATTACCAGCAGAAACAGGCACAGGGACATGAGTGGCCCCCAAGCCCCACACCATGCCATCATTGCTGCTGGCATGAATGTGTGCATAAAAGTTACGAGCCCCATGCCCACCAGTGCCCTGTCCCCACATTGACACCACGGTGGGTGCAGACATGCACACTAACACCAGAGGTGCCAACCCTGCCCAGTGCCACCACCATTGCCGTTGTCAAAGGCTGCATGGAAAGCTCTAGCCCAGAGCCTGCCATTGGCCTGCCCAGGCTGATGAGCATGAGTACAATAAAGGAATATAATAAAACTATATGGGAGATGAAAGATGAAATTGCTATTTTAAGAAGGAACCAAATTGGGCTGATAAAGCCAAAAACTCACTTCCAGAATTTCAGAATACAATAGCAAGTATTAACAACAGAATAGAATAAGCTGAGAAAAAAGAATCTCAGAGCTAAAAGACCTGCTGTTCGAAAAAATAATCAGTCAGACAAAAATGAAGAAAAAACAATAATGAACAATGAACAAAACCTCTGAGAAATATGGGATTATCTAAAGAGACCAAATCTACAACTCTTTGCTGTCCCTGAATGACAGGGAGAGAAAGCAAACAACTTTCAAATATGTTGGATAACATACTTCACAATATCATCCATAAAAATTTTCCCAACCTCGGTAGAGAGGCCAACATTCAAATTCAGGAAATATAGAAAACTCCTGTGAGATACTATACGAGATGACTATCTCCAAGACACATAATCACCAGATTCTCCAAGGTCAAAATGAAAGAAAAAAAATGTTAAAGGCAGACAGAAAAAGTGGCAAGTAACCAACAAAGGAAACTCCATCAGGCTAACAGTGGATCTTTCAGAAGAAACTCTGCAAGGCAGAACAGAATGGGTGTCTATATTCAGCATTCTTAAAGCAAAGAATTTTCAACCAATAGCTGCATATTCAGCCAACTAAGCTTCATAATCAAAGGAGAAATAAGATCCATTTCAGAAAAAGCAAATGTTAAGGGATTTTATCACCAGACCTGCCTTACAAGAGGTCCTAAAGGGAGTGCTAGACATGAAAAGTAAAGATCGTTACCAGACACTACAAAAACACACTTAAGAATACAGACCAGTGACACTGTAAAGAAACCACAAAAATAAGTCTTCATAGTAGCCAGCTAACAACATGATGACAGGAACAAATCTGCACACATCTATTCTAACCTTGAACATAAATTGGCTAAATGCCTGAATCAAAGGGCACAAGGTGGCAAATTGGAAAAAGAAGCAAGACCCAATGGTATAGTGTCTTTAAAAGAGCCTTCTCATATACAATGGCACCCATAGGCTCAAAGTAAAGGAATGAAGACAAATCTGCCAAGCAAACAGAAAACAGAAAAAAGCAGGGGTTGAGATGCTAATTTCAAACAAAACAGACATTAAACCAAAAATGATCAAAAACGACCATGAAGGACACTACATAATGGTAAAGGGCTTAATTCAACAAGAAGACGTAACTTTCCCAACTGTATACACACCCAATACAGGAGCATCCACATTCATAAAGCCAGTTCATAGAGACCCACAAAGAGACTTAGATAACCACACAATAATAGCGGGCGACTTCTACACAACACTGACAGTATCAGATTACCAAGGCAGAAAACTAACAAAGATATTGGGGACCTGAACTCAACACTTGACCAAATAGACCTAATAGAAATCTATAGAATTCTCCATCAAAAAATAACAGAATCCACATTGTTATCATCTGCCCATAGCACATATTCTAAAGTTGACCACACAGTTGGTCTTGAAACAATTCTCAGAAAATTCAAAAACAAAGAAATTGAACCAATGATGCTCTCAGACCATAGCACAATAAAAATAGAAATCAATACCAAGAAGATAGCCCCAAGCTATAGAATTTCAGGCAAATTAAACAACCTGCTCCTGAATGACCTCAGGGTAAACAGTGAAATTAAAGCAGAAACAAACAAATTATTTCAAACTAATGAGAATGATGATACACCATAAAAGCATCTCTGGAATACAGCTAAGGCAGTGTTAGAGGCAAGTTTATGGCATGAAAAACTCACATCAAAAAGTTAGAAAAATCTCAAATTAACAACCTAACATCACCATCAGAGGAACTAGAGAAACAGGAACAAATCAACCCCAAAGCTAGCAGAAGACAAGAAATAACCAAAATCAAAGCAGAACTGAAGGTCATTGAGAGGCAAAAAAATTACAAAAGATCAAAGAATCTAAAGGCTTTTTTTGAAAAAAATAATAAGATGGATTAACCACTAGCTAGAATAATAAAGAAAACATAAAGAAGATCCAAATAAACACAATTAGAATTGACAAAGAGGATGTCATCACTGACCTCACAGAAATACAAAAAAACCTTCGGAGACCACCTTGAAAATCTCTATGCACACAAGCTAGAAAACCTAAAAGAAATTGATACATTTCTGGACACACAGAACCTCTCAAGACTGAACCAGGAAGAAATTAAATCCCTGAACTGACCAGTTTCCAGATTTCCAAAATTAAATCAGCGATATGAAGCCTGCCAACCAAAAAAAAGCCCAGGACCAGATGGATTCACAGCCAAATTCTACCAGATGTATACAGAAGAGCTGATACCATTCCTTCAGAAACCATCCAAAAAATTGAAGAGAAGGGACTCCTCCCTAACTCATTCTATGAAGACTGGCATCATCCTCTTGTCAAAACCTGGCATGGACACAACAACAACAACAAAAACTTCAGGCCAATATTCTTGACAAACATAAATACCGAAATCCTCAACAAAATACTAGCAAATCAAATCCAGCAGCACATTAAAAAGCTAGTTCACTATAATCAAGTGGCTTTGATGCAAGATTGATTGGTTCAAAATATGCAAATCAATAAATGTGATTCATCACATAACCAGGACTAAAAATGAAAACCACATGATTATCTCAACAGATGTAGAATAGGCTTTCAATAAAATTTGACATCTCTTTATGTGAAAAACCCTCAACAATCTAGGAATTGAAGGAACATACTTCAAAATAATAAGAGCCATTATGACAAACCCATATCCAACATCCTACTAAATGAACAAAAGCTGAAACATTCCCCTTGAAGACTGGAACAAGACAAGGATGCCCTCTCTCATCCCTCTTATTCAATAAAGCACTAGAAAACCTGGCTAGAGTAATCAGGAAAGAGAAAAAAAAATCATCCGAATAGGAAGAGAGGAACTCAAACTATTCCTGTTTGCAGATGATATGATTCTATATCTAGAAGTCCACAGCCTCTGCCCAGAGGCTCCTTGATCTGACAAACAACTTCAGCCAAGTTTCTGGATATCAAAATTAATGTACAAAAATCAATAGCATTCCTACACACCAACATACAAGCTGAGAGCCAAATCAAGAACACCATCTCATTCACAATTGCCACAAAAAGAATAAAATACTTAGGGATACAGCTAACCAAAGAGGCAAGATATCTCTATAACAAGAACTACAAAACACCACTCAAAGAAATAAGAGATAGCACAAATAAATGACAAAACATTCCATGCTCAAGGATAAGAAGAGTCAATATTATTAAAATGGTTATACTGCAAGAATCAATTTATGGATTCAATATTATTTCTATCAAACTGCCAATGATTCTTCACAGAATTAGAAAAAAACTATGTTACAATTCATTTGAAACCATAAAAGAGCCCAAATACCCAAGGCAATCCTAAGCAAAAAGAATAAAGCTGAAGACATCACATTACCTGACTTCAGGTTATACTACAAGGGTACAGTAACCAAAACAGCATGGAATTGGTAAATAAATAAATAAATAAATAAAAAATTTTTTAAAAATTAAAACAACAGACACATAGACCAATGGAGTAGAATAGAGACCTCAGAGATAATGCCACAAACCTACAACCATCTGATCTTCAACAAAGTTGACAAAAACAAGCAATGAAGAAAAGACTCCCTATTCAACAAATGATACTGGGGTACGGGCTAGCCACATACAGGAGATTGAAGCTGAAACTCTTCCTTACACCATATACAAAAATCAACTCAAGATGGATCAAAGACTTAAATGTAAAACCTAAAACTATAAAAAATCCCTAGAAATTAACCTAGGAAATACCACTGTGTATATAGGCCCTGGTAAAAATTTTATGATGATGATGTCAAAAGCAATTGCAACAAAAATAAAAATTGGCAAATGGTACTTAATAAGCTAATGAGCTTCTGAACAGCAAAAGAAACTATCAACAGAGTAAACAGGCAACTGCACCTTACAGAATGGGAAAAACATTTGCAAACTATGCAAGTGACAAAGGTCTAGTATAAAGAATCTATAAAGAACTTAACTCAGCAAGTAAAAAAATAAATTATCCCATTTATTTTTTGGGCAAATGATATGAACAGACAATTTTCCAAGAAGACATAACATGTGACCTACAAGCATATGAAAAAAAGCTCAACATCACTAATCACTAAAGAAATGCAAATTAAAGTCACAATGAGACACTAATAGCAGGCAGAATGGACATTATTAAAAACTAAAACATATACTGTTGGGGTTGTGGAGAAGAGAATACTTATACACTGCTGGTGGGAATGCAAATTATTTCAGCCATTGTGGAAAGCAGTCTGATGATTTCTGAAAGAATTTACAGCAGAATTCGACCCGTCAATAATACAAATGATATGCATATGTATGTGTATTGCAGCACTATTCATGATAGCAAAGACATGGAATCAACCTAAATACCCATCAGTGGTAGACTGGATAAAGAAAATGTGGTACATATACACTATGGAATAGTATGCAGCCCTCTGCAGCAGCGTCGATGAAGTTGGAGGCCATTATTTAAGCAAACTAAAGGAGCAGAAACAAAAAACAAAACACCATGTGTTCTCACTTATAAATGGAAGCTAAGCATCAAGCACATATGGACACAAAGAAGGGAACAGACACTGGGGCCTACTTGAGGGTGGCTTGTGGGAGGAGGGTGAGGATTAAAAACTTATTGGGTACCATGCTTATTATCTGGGTGATACAATTTATTTGTAAATCAGCCCCCTATGACATGCAATTTACAAATGTAACATATATATATAACATGTATCTCTGAACCTAAAATATAAGTTTAAAAAATTAAAAAGTAAAAAATAATAAGTCAGCATTCACCAAATTGTTTGCTGAATATTCTCTCATATAAAATAACATTTCAGAATATCACGGGATAATTGTATGGAGTAGCACTGGCTGATGCATGGAAGAGAGCACCAACACAGCTCAATATGACAGCTTAAGATAACCATGTGTTATCTATTAAAATGTCTTTATTAATTGCATACTAACTTGCTTCTGATTTCTACTTTTCTTTTTGACTCCAGTGACCTTGTAAATGCTCTACTCTTTTCATAACACATTTTTTACACAACATAAGATGTTGTTTTTTTGATTATGTAGGGACAAATTTTACTCCTTAATATAGTTATATGTATTTTTGAATTGATAGGATGCTAAATATATTAAAATTATTTTAGGAGTGCCCCATATAAAAAGCAGTCCGAAATTGACAAAGATAAATGTTTACCCTAAAAGTCTCCTATCTCCAATATTTCAATGTTTTTAATAAAATGAAAATTGCTGTTTTTAAGTCTTAGTATATACTATATATCATATACTTTCATATATATTATCTTATTTTGTTCTTATCACAAACATGCAATTTTACAAATATCCCTCCTTTCTACAGGAGGAACATAAACTATCATTTTAAAAGGTTAAGAGGTTTTGTATGACAGATTTTATGACACATTTGATTGTGACAGAGAAAGATTTTGATGCCATGGTTTCTGTCTTAAACTTAGCAATATTTCTAACAACAACTATTGCACCTTATTTAATATTTATTTGCTCTTTGTAATTATCAAAGAGAAGTCCAATATATGTATGTAATTAAAATATACACTAATATTCCCATCTTTCATATATAAGCATTAATGGGCTTGGCTTTTTTTTTTTTTTTTTTGAGACCGAGTTTCCCTCTTGTTAGCCAGGCTGGAGTGCAGTGGCACGATCTCGACTCACAGCAACCTCTGCCTCCCGGGTTCAAGCGATTCTTCTGCCTCAGCCTTCCAGAGTAGCTGGGATTACAGGCATGCGCCACCACGCCTGGCTAATTTTGGTCAAGCGGGTCTCGAACTCCCGACCTCAGATGATCCACATGCCTTTGCCTCCCAAAGTGCTGGGATTACAGGCGTGAGCCACTGAGCCCGGCAACTTTTTTAATAGGTAATTTTAACTGTAATTTGAATAGCTACATTTATCAGGGTGAAATTAAATTTGATGGGAATATCTGGGTCAAGAAATCCAATATAAACATAGAGACATTATTATAAATTGAATACATAATTAATGTATCAAATCGTGCACATTTTATTTCATGCAATTGTTATACATGCACATATACATAATGCTTTACAAATATATATTTATGCTAAAATATATATGCATTTCTTCATGTTCAAAATAATATTGTGTTCGTTTTTGTATCTTCTTTCTTATTTTTATTGAGACATAACTGATGTAAATATTTTGGGGTACATGTAAAAATTGTTTAAAATTGTGTTATATTTTATTTTACTTTGTTTTATTTTTTTAGAGACAGAATCTCTGGTCACCTGGGCTGGAGTGTAATGGTGCAGTCATAGCTCACTGCAGCCTCAGAGTCCTGGACTCAAGCAATCCTCCCACTTCGGCCTCCCTAAGTGCTGAGATTACAGGCATGAGCCACCATGCCTAGCCACATGTGAAAATTTAATACATTCATATAATTTGTAAAAATCAAATTACTGTAGTTACATTATCTATCACCTTAAATATTTGTATTTTCTTTATGCTAGAAACATTCTCTGCTAATAATAAGGATGGTTTGGATTATTCTCTTCTAGTTATTTTGAAATAGCTGAAATAGTTTACAATATATTATTGCAAGCTGTAGTCCATCCTATTGATCTGTCAAACACTAGGTTTTATCATCCATTGGTGGACACTTAAGTTGATTCCATATCTTGGCTATTGTGAATAGTGCTGTAATAAACACGAGAGTGCCGATATCTCCTTGATATGTTGATTTTCTTTCTTTTGGATATATACCCAGTAGTCGGATTGCTGAAGCATATGGTATTTCTATTTTAATTTTTTAAGGAATCTTCATACTGTTCTCTGCTTGGCTGTACTAATTTACATTCCCACCAACAGTGTATGGGAGTTCCCTTTTCTCTACATCCTCACCAGTATCTGTTACTGCCTGTCTTTGGATAAAAGCCATTTTAACTGGGTAAGATGATATCTTATTGTAGTTTTGATTTGCATTTCTCTGACGATTAATGATGTTGAGCATTTTTCATATGCCTGTTGGCCATTTGTATGCCTTCTTTTGAGAAATGTGTATTCAGAACTTTTATGGATTTTTTAACTGGATTATTTATTTGTTATTGAGTTGCTTGAAATCTTTACATATTCTGGTTATTAATCTATTGTCAGATGAATGGTTTGCAAATATTTCTTCCTGTTCTGTGGGTTTTCTCCTTATTTTGTTGATTATTTTCTTTCATGTATAGAAGCTTTTCAGTTTTATATAATCCCATTTGTCTATTTTTGCTTTGGTTGCCTATGTTATTGAGCTCTAACTCTCCAAATCTTTGCACAAACCAGTGCCCTGGAGCATTTCACCAATAATTTTTTTCTAGTAGATTCATAGTTTCAGGTCTTAGGTTTAAGTCTTTTATCCATTTTAATTTGATTTTTTTATGTGGTGAGAGATAGGGGTCTAGTTTCATTCTTCTGCATATGGATACCCAGTTTTCCCAGCATCACTTATTGAAAAAAAAAAAACTGTTCTTTCCTCATTATATATTTCTAGTGCCTTTGTTAAAAATGAGTTGGCTGCAAGTGCATGGATGTAGTCTGTGTTTCTATCTCTTCCAGTGGTCTATGGGTCTGTTTTTATGTCATTATTATGTTGATTTGGTTACTATAGCTTTGTAGAGTATTTTGAAGTCAGTTTGTGTGGTACCCCACCAGCTTTCCTCTTTTTGTTGTGGATTGCTTTGTCTATTCAAGATATTTTGTGGTTCCACATGAATTTTAGGATTTTTTTTTCTATTGCTGTAAATATTGTCATGATATTTTGATAGGGATTGCACTTAGTCTGTAAATTGCTTTGGTAGTATTGTCATTTTAACAATATTAATTCTTCTAATCCATGAGCATGAAATATCTCTCCATTTTGTGTGTCCTCTTCAATTTCTTTCATCAGTGTTTTATAGGTTTTCTTGTATGTAAGTTTCATGCCTTTGGTTAAATTGATTCCTAGGTATTTTAAATTCCCGTTGGCTATTTTAAGTGGGAATGCTTTCTTATTTCTTTTTCAGATTGGTCACTGTTGTGTATGTATATGGTGTGTGTATAAAATGGTGTATGTATACAAATATGTATAAAAATGCTACTGATTTTTGTATGTTCATTTTGTATACTACAAATTTACTAAACTTGTTTATCAATTCTAAGAGTTTTTTTAGTAGAGTCTTTAGGTTTTTCAAAATATAAGATTATGTCATCTGCAAGCAAAGCTAACTTGACTTCTTCCATTTTAATTTAGATGTATTTTATTTGTTTCTTTTGTCTAATTGCTCTGCTTAGGAGTTATAGTACTATGTTTAATAAAAGTGGTTAAGGTGGGCATTCTTTTCTTGTTTCAGGTGTTAGTGGAAAGGCTTTCCATTTTTCCCCATTCAGTATGAAATTAGCTGTGGGCTTGTCACAAATGACATTTATCACATTACAGTATGTTCCTTCTATACCCAGTTGGTTGAAAGTTTTTACCAGGATGAGATGTTCATTTTTTTCAAATACTTTTTCAGATTGTATTTAAATGACCATACAAATTTTGTTCATGATTCTGTTGATGTGATATTTATGGATTTGTTTATATTGAACCATCCTTGCATCACTGGGATTAATCCCATTTGATCATGCTGAATTTTTTTATTGTGTTGTTGAATTCTATTTGCTAGAATTTTGTTGAAGATTCTTGTATCTATATTCATCAGAGATATTGACCTGTAGTGTCTTTTGTTGCTGTTGTGTCTTTGTCTGGTTTTAGTATCAAGGTAATACTGCCCTCAGAGAATGAGTTTAAAAGTGTTTCCCTCCCTATCAATCCATTGAACTACAATTCATCAGGAAATCTGAGTGGACCCAAGTATTTAAACTATATCATTTTTCTCCTGGCCCCTTCCAAATTTTATGTCCTTCTCATATTGCAAAATATAATCATGCCTTCCCAACAGTTCCTCAAAGTCTTAACTCATTCCAGAATTAAATCAAAAGTCCAAAGTCTCATCGAAGACAAGGCCAATCTCTTCCACCTATGAGCCTGTAAAATAAAAAACAAGTTGGTTACAAGATGCAATGGTAACATAGGTTAGCATTCTCATTCCAAAATGAATAAATTAGCCAATGGCTGACTTTAACTTGAAGCCCCATAGCACTGGCCAAAGCTTTCTTGGAATGATAAAGCAATATGAAGTTCCTCTTACTAAACCTTCCTTTCTTTCCACTTTTCTTTCACAGGTATCAAGCATACACTATGATTTCTGCATTCTCCTTTTCCCTCCCTCAATAAATGTTTTGCCGTCTTATCTACAAAATGTTTGTTTGTAGAACTGAACTAAAGCTGATACTGAAAATAGTCCAAAGAGACAGCAATAAAATAGTCTAAAGAAACTAGTCTAAAAAAACAGCAATAAGATGATGAGTAAGGTCTAGCTAACTCACTATATGATGGGTGAAGAGGACACCATGATCACTGTCCTGAAAAGAAAGGAGTTATAGGCCCCATGCAAGTTCAAAACCCAGCAGGGCAGCCATTACATCTTAAAACTCAAAAGTATCTTCTTTAACTCCATGTCCCACATCCAAGGCAAACTGATGCAAGAGACAGGCTCCCAAGGTCTTGGGCAACTCTGCCTCTGTTGCTTTGCAGGATTCAGCCCGAAGCTGCTCTCACAGATTGTTGAGTCCCTGTGGCTTTTCCGGGTTCAGGGTGAAAGGTGCTGGTGGGCCTGCCATTCTTGGGTCTAGAAGGTGTTGATCCACTTCTCCCAGATCCACACAGTTCACCACTGGGGACTCTGTGTGGGGGATCCAACTCGACAATTCCCCTTGGCCCTTCCCTAGTAGAGGTTCTCTGTGGTGGCTCTATCCCTGAAGCAGGTTTCTGCCTGGGCACCCAGGCTTTTCTATATATCCTTTGAAATCTAGGCAGATGCTTTGCTAGGAATCTATCACTTTTGCATTCTGTGCACCTGCAGGCTTAACAATACACAGAAACTGCCAAGGCTTATGACTTGTGCCCTCCAAAGTGGCAGCCCAAGCTGTAACTCTGGCCCTTTGATCTGAGGCTGGCACCAGAATGGCTGAGATGTTGGAAGCAGTGTCCTGAGGCTGCCTAGGACAGCAGGGTTCTTGGCCTAACATATGAAACCATTATTTCCTTCTAGGCCTATGGGTCTGTGATGGGAGGGGCTGCTGTGAAAGCCTCTGAAAAGCCTTGGAGACCATTTCCCCATTCTCTTTGCTATTAACACTTGCATCTTTTTTAGTTATGCAAATTTCTCTAGCAAGTTGTTGCTCTGCAGCCCGCTTGGATTCCTCTGCCAAAAAAGCTTTTTCTTTCTCTGACACATGGCAAGGCTGCAAATGTTTGAAATTTTATGCTCTGCTTCCTTTTTAAATATAATATAAATTCGAATTTTTAGTCATTTTTTAGTGCAGCTAAGCTCTTTGCTAAGGTATAGAACACATGAACTTTGCTCCAGTTCCCAATTTCCTCATTTTCATCTGAGACTTTGTCAACCTGGTGTTCACTGTCTATATCACTGTCAGCATTTCAGTCACAATTATTTAACTAGTCTCTAAGAAGTTCCAAACGTTCCCTCATCTTCTTTCTGTCTTCTTCTGAGCCCTACAAACTCTTCCAAACTCGGTCGTTTGCCCAGTTTCAAAGTTACTTTCGTATTTTCAGGTATCCTTATAGCAATCCTCCACTCCTGGTACAAATTATCTGTATTAGGCCATTCTTACATTGCTATAAAGAAATACCTGAGATGGGGTAATTTGTAAAGAAAAGAGGTTTAATTGGCTCACAGTTCTGCAGGTTTTATAGGAAGCATGGTGCTTGTATCTATCTGTCTTCTAGGGAGGCTTCAGGAAGCTTCCATTCATGGTGAAAGGTGAATGGGGAGCAGGCATGTAACATGGTGAAAGCAGGATAAGAGACAGAGAGAATGGGGGTAGGTGCCACACACTATTAAAAGACCAGATCGCAAGAGAACTCACTATCACTGACACAGCATAGAGCCATGAGGGATCTGCCCCCATGATCCAAACTCCTCCTACCAGGCTCAACCTCCAGCACCGGGATTACAATTCAACACGAGATTTGTGTGAAGACAAATATCCAAACTATATCAGCTAGGAATGTCTTGATTGATTCTTCTGAGGTAGCCGGCCCTAGAGAGCCCCTCAAATTTTCAAACTGCTAAAGAAAAATATATGTCAACTTATAATTATACTTTCTGATATGGTTTGGCTCTGTTTCCCCACTCAAGTGTCATCTTGAATTGTACTCCCATAATTCCCATGTATTGTGTGAGGGATCTGGTGTAAGATAATTGAAACATGGGGGCAGTTTCCCTCATACTGTTATCATGGTAGTGAATAAATCTCATAAGATCTGATGGTTTTATCAGGGGTTTCCACTTTTGCATTGTCCTCATTCTCTCTTTGCCTGCTGCCATCCATGTAAAATGGGACTTGCTCCTCCTTGCCTTCTACCATGATTGTGAGGCTTCCCCAGCCATGTGGAACTGTAAGTCCAATTAAACCTCTTTCTTTTGTAAATTGCCCACTGTCAGGTATGTCTTTATCAGTGGCGTGAAAATGAACTGATACATTAAACTGGTACCGGTAAACTGGGGAGCTGCTGAGAAGATACTTGAAAATGTGAAAGTGACTTTGGAACTGGGTGAGAGGAACTGGGTAACTGCTGGAACAGTTTGGAGAGCTCAGAAGACAGGAAAATGGAGAAAACTTTGGAACTTCCTAGAGACTTTTTGAATGGCTTGCCCAAAATGTTGATAGCGATATGGACAATAAGATCCAGGCTGTGGTAGACTCAGACAGAGATGGGGAACTTGTTGGGAACTGGAGCAAAGATGACTCTTGTTATGTTTTAGCAAAGAGACTGGCAGCATTTGCCCTGCCCTAGAGAATTGTGGAACTTTGAACTTTAGAGAGATTATTTAGGGTATCTGATGGAAGAAATTTCTAAGCAAGAAAGCATTCAAGAGGTGACTTGGGTGCTGTTGAAAGCATTCATTTTTAAAAGAGAAACAGAGCATAAAAGTTTGAAAAATTTGCAGCCTGACAATCTGATAGAAAAGAAAAACCCATTTTCTGAGGAGAAATACAAGCCCACTGCAGAAATGTGTATAAGTACCAAGGAGCCAAATGTAAATCCCCAAGACAATGAGGAAAATGTCTCCAGGGCATGTGAGAGGTCTTCATGGCAGCCCTTCCCATCACAGGTCTGGAGGCCTAGGAGGAAAAAGTAGCTTTATGGGCCAGGCCCAAGGTCTCTGGGCTGTGTGCAGCCTAGGGACTTGGTGCCCTGTGTCCTAGCCGCTCCAGTCATGACTACAGGGGGCCAAGGTAGAGCTCAGGCTGTGGCTTCAGATGGTGCAAGCCCAATGTGTGTCCGGAATTGGTGGGTTCTTGGTCTCACTGACTTCAAGAATGAAGCCGCGGATCCTCGCGGTGAGTGTTACAGCTCTTAAGGTGGCGCGTCTGGAGTCTGTCCCTTCTGATGTCCAGATGTGTTCGGAGTTTCTTCCTTCTGGTGGGTTCGTGGTTTCGCTGGCTCAGGAGTGAAGCTGCAGACCTTCGCAGTGAGTGTTACAGCTCTTAAGGTAGCGCGTCTGGAGTTGTTCGTTCCTCCCCGTGGGCTCGTGGCCTTGCTGGGCTCAGGAGTGAAGTTGCAGATCTTTGCAGTGAGTGTTACAGCTCATAAAAGCAGCGTGGACCCAAAGAGTGAGCAGTAGCAAGATTTATTGCAAAGAGCAAAAGAACAAAGCTTCTACAGTGTGGAAGGGGACCCCAGCGGGTTGCCAATGCTGATTCGGGCAGCCTGCTTTTATTCTCTTATCTGGCCCCACCCACATCCTGCTGATTGGTAGAGCCAAGTGGCCTGTTTTGTCAGGGCGCTGATTGGTGCGTTTACAATCCCTGAGCTAGATACAAAGGTTCTCCACGTCCCCATCGGATTAGTTAGATACAGAGTTTCCACACACAGGTTCTCCAAGGCCCCATCAGAGCAGCTAGATACAGAGTGTTGATTGGTGCACTCACAAACCTTGAGCTAGACACAGGGTGCTGATTGGTGTATTTACAATCCCTGAGCTAGATACAAAGACTCTCCACATCCCCACCAGACTCAGGAGCCCAGCTGGCTTCACCTAGTGGATCCCACACCGGGGCTGCAGGTGGAGCTGCCTGCCAGTCCTGCGCCGTGTGCTCACATTCCTCAGCCCTTGGGTGGTCGATGGGACTGGGCGCCGTGGAGCAGGGGGTGGCACTCGTCCGGGAGGCTTGGGCGGCACAGGAGCCCATGGAGTGGGTGGGAGGCTCAGGCATGGTGGGCTGCAGGTCCTGAGCCCTGCCCCGTGGGAAGGCAGCCAAGGCCCTGCGAGAAATCGAGCGCAGCGCTGGTGGGCCAGCACTGCTAGGGGACTCAGTACACCCTCCGCAGCCACTGGCCCGGGTGCTAAGTCCCCCACTGCCCGGGGCCAGCAGGGCTGGCTGGCTGCTCCGACTGCGGGGCCCACCAAGCCCACGCCCACCCGGAACTCCAGCTGTCCCGCAAGTGCCGCACACAGCCCCGGTTCCCACTGGTGCCTCTCCCTCCACACCTCCCTGCAAGCTGAGGGAGTGGGCTCTGGCCTTGGCCAGCCCAGAAAGGGGCTCCCACAGTGCAGTGGGGGACTGAAGGGCTCCTCAAATGCCACCAAAGTGGGAGCCCAGGCAGGGGAGGTGCCAAGAGCAAGCAAGGGCTCTGAGGACTGCCAGCACGCTGTCACCTCTCAAAAGCATTGGCAGATTCCATGTGGTGTTGAGCCTGCAGGTGCACAGAAGTCAAGAATTGAGGTTTGAGAACCTCCACCTAGCTTTTAGAAGATGTATGGAAATGCTGGATGCCCAGGCAGAAGTTTGCTGCAGGGGTGGGGCGCTCATGGAGACCCTCTGCTAGGGCAGTGCTGAAGGGAAATGTGGGATCAGAGCCTCCACACAGAGTCCCTACCAAGGCACTGCATAGTAGAGCTGTGAGAAGAAGGCCACTGTCCTCCAGACCCCAGAATGATAGCTCCATGGACAGCTTAAACTGTGCACCTGGAAATGCTGCAGACACTCAATGCCAACCCACAAAAACAACAGATAGAGGGGCTGTACCCTGCAAAGTCACAGTGGTGGAACTGCCCAAGTCCATGAGAACCCACCTCTTGTATCAGCATGACATGGATGTGAGACCTGGAGTCAAAGGAAATCATTTTGGAGCTTTAACATTTGACTGTCCCACTGGATTTCAGACTTGCATGGGGCTTGTAGCCCCTTTGTTTGGCCAATTTCTTTCATTTGGAACAGCTCTATTTACCCATTGTCTGTACTACCACTGTATCTAGGAAGTAAGTAGCATGCTTTTGATTTTACAGGTTCATAGGTGGAAGGGACTTGCCTTGTCTCAAATGAAACTTTGGGCTGTTGACTTTTGAGTTAATGCTGAAATAAGTTGACTTTAAGGGACCGTTGGGAAGGCATGACTGATTTTGAAGTGTGAGGACATGAGATTTGGCAGGAGCCAGGGGAGGAATAATATGGTTGGCTTTGTGTCTCCACTCAAATCTAATCTTGAATTGTACTCCCATAATTACCATGTGCTGTGGGAGGAGCCTGGTGGAAGATAATTGAATCATGGGGGCAGTTTCCCTCATACTGTTCTCTTGGTAGTGAATAATTCTCACAAGATAAGGTGGTTTTATCAGTTGTTTCCACTTTTTGCCTTCTTTCTGCCTGCTGCCATCCATGTAAGATGAGACTGGCTCCTCCTTGCCTTCAGCCATGATTGTGAGGCTTTCCCGGCCATGTGGAACTGTAAGTCCAATTAAACCTCTTTCTTTTGTAAATTGCCCAGTCTCTGGTATGTCTTTATCAGCAGTGTGAAAATCTACTAATACACTCTCTTATAAAATTGTTATAAATGAAGTAAAATAAGAGACACAATTAGTTAATTGCGAATATCCTTTTGCCAAAACAAAAGAAAAATCTAAATAGTAGACTTCAGTCAAAATAAAAATGAAGGTAAGTACAAATATGATGATAATGTAATTAATAAAAGATATTGATATTTTAATATCATAGTAGATATTTAAAATAACAAAAGTTGCAAAACAAATTTATACAACAGTAATGTAGAATAGAGCATGTTTTTTAAAGTGTTAAGCTATTAGGGATTTTTTTTGTTGTTCTGGTGCTAGATTGAAGTACTGATGGATATTATACTTTGGTAGGCAAATTTATATTTAAAAATGTTATTATACTTCTAAAGGAACCACCTAAAACAAGAGAGGTAAAATCTGTAGAGTTTATGTAATTAAAGGAAATAAGAAAAATAAAAACCTATCTGTGTACCATGAATAGAAAAAAATTTAAAAAAAAGCTTAACAAATGCGCAATACAAGGAGTTAGAAATAAATTAAAATTAATTTATGGTAAATACCTATACAGAGATTATCTAATTGGATATAAAAATCCTGCTATATGCTACTTATAATAGTTAAATGGAAAGAACAACTTCATATGCAGACAATTCATGGTCTATAATACACCAAAAAAACCCAAGCATCATCATTCTGTAGACTGATTCTTTACATCATTGAGCCTTGACTTTTCTTCTTCTCAAAGTAGTGATAATAATACTCATGTTGAAGTTTCCTTGTAAGGATCAATTATCATGTATTTAAAACACAGTGCCTAGTTCTGATTAGGAACCTCCATAAACAGTTGTAATAAGAATATTGTATTTCTTAAAAAAGTTAACATAATTCAGAATTGGAGTAATAATTCATCTTACCACTGCTCATTTTCTGTTTAAGTGGATTAATGAAGGCCTAATTTAATTTGATTGAATATATATTTTTAAATCTAATTTTGTTCAGAGGAACTGATTAACTTTGATAGAAACGTTAACCTTCAGGGTTGGACAGTTTATCACAGAAAAAATTATTTATGGCCTTGGCAAAAACTAAACAACAACACGCTGCTAATTATGTATTTAGTAGCCCTTGGACACACACTAGCTCACGTTTGGTATGTGGCAATGCTTTGTCAGAGAAGAAATCAATGGAAATTAAAGAATTTTGTTCATTTTGAGTTATTAAATGTCACAGTCTAAGGACTATAGTTTAATCTCTAGAATAATAAATGTTGTATTTTGTTCCTATGTTTTTCCTGGAATAATCCCTTATTTACATACTTTAAATAATACTTTCTTTCTACTGAATGATTTCTTTGTTTCTTTTAAGATTTTATTTCTTCTTCTCATTGGATATTAGGCTTAGTTATTAGTGTTTTCTCTTAAACCTTTTAAACTTAATGGGGTTTAATGTGACAGAGCTTCAGAAATAGGTTTTCTAAGAAAACAGATTATAAAAAAGTTTTATTATTTCACTCTATTTCAGGGGCTACATACATGATGTCTACGCCTCTGTAAAAAGAAAGAAGAAAAGAATAGATAACTGAGTAATACTGGCCCCTGAAGTTGACTTTTTATTTTCTGTATTTTTCTTGCTTTCAAATTAGTTTTATAAGTATTACATAAATAATAGAATAATATTAACAAACATTTTAAATTACTATCAATCTGGAACTGTAGAATGCATTGTGTTGCCAACACTTGAATTTAATGCTTATTTTCACAAGTCCAAAATTGGTCTGATCAAACTTGGTCTAACCACCTAAATTATAAGGTATATTTCCAGATTATTTTCCTCTCCCTTTTCTCTAAGATGGCCTCTGGTTTTGTAGATGAGAGGGTTCCATGATCTCTTGGCACTGAAGATAAAACAGGCAACTAGAAAATGTGAATGTCCTTCCCATAGGAATTCTTTTTTTTTTTTTTTTTTTTTTTTGAGACTGAGTCTCGCTCTGTCGCCCAGGCTGGAATGCAGTGGCACTATCTCGGCTCACTGCAAGCTCCGCCTCCCGGGTTCATGCCATTCTCCAGCCTCAGCCTCCCAAGTAGCTGGGACTACAGGCACTCGCTACCACACCCGGCTAATATTTTGTATTTTTAGTAGAGATGGGTTTTCACAGTGTTAGCCAGGATGGTCTCGACCTCCTGACCTCGTGATCAGCTCGTCTTGGCCTCCCGAAGTGCTGGGATTACAGGCGTGAGCCACCGTGCCCGGCCAGGAATTCTTGTTAAGGCAAAACCTTACCACCTGCCTGCCTGAGATTTCGCCTTCCTCTCCCTGTATGGATCTTCCACTTCGTCATTTCCTTCTCCTTTACTAGATAACATACCACTACCTTCTTTCTTTCTTGGAACTATAGTGGTTGACTAGGTGTGTTGAGAGAAAATCTAGGTAACTGAAAAAGAATCACACAGAGGTCAAAATTACCACACCAGTTATAACCATGCATGTCTAGGGAAGAATACTATTATTTGTACGAAAACTGAGTACACCCAATTCTGCTTTATTACAAAGGGAGTACATGGAAAACCACCATGAAAGCAATATCTTTTCTAGTCATTCTAAACTTGCTTAAAATTTAAAAGGAAAAAAGGAATACAGAAATTTAAAAATTGCTTCCCCTTCTTCAATGGAGTTACACTGTAAATAGATGACCTATTGGTTAGCAGAGAATATCTAGAAGGCTTAGTTCGGAGATGGAAAGGAATCTGCAAAGCTGAACTTCTCTACAAACAGTAGCAGAAGATTTATGCTTCTTACCAAAACCTGAAAGGCAGAGACTTGAAAAATCAAGAGTTATAGATTGTTTAAAGAATATAAGAGTACCAAACAAGATAGTAGTGTAAAATCCACATCATTTTGAACATTCTTCAAGGACTGTTGCACACAAAAATGAGTGAGCCTTTAGAAAGTGAAGCTAATATACAACACATGTATCTTAAGAGTTGTATAGTGGAAAATTAGATGATTCATTCCAGAAAATAATTCAGTGCCTGTGTTGCTAGAAAAATGTAAGCCATTCCCAAGTCTTTGAATCCTGAAAAAAATCAAAAGAACACAGAATATGCATTAGAGAGAGTACAGGCTTTGAATCTCAAAGTAGTGGAAACCACTGGAGACATCTAAGAAAAATGTGTATTAAGATAAATGTCCTTATTTTGGTAACAAGAAAAACAAAATGTGTAATAAATTTCTCAAATAAAGTTTTATTCGTGACTCTGTTTTTCAAGAATTCAGGTACCAGGGTAGACCTATAAAGCAAATCTCCTGAATAGGATGTTTGATTTTTATTGAAAACTGGCTTGAAGGCCATAACAGCTCCTTTCCTGGCTTTTAGAGTGATGAGAAAAGGGAAGTGATTCCAAAAAGGAGGGAAACAAATGCAAGGTAACATATTGCAGAGCTGCCTACAGCTTCTCAGGAAATCGTTGCTGATTGAGTGGAAATTGGAGACATTTATAGAGAGACTTCTGGAATCACTGTGAATAAGAACATTTGATCACGAAGAGGAAGGATGATAGGCAATTTATCTACTGGAACCTTTCAGTTTATCTTCCACTGGTATTCCATGGAACGTGAACCTGCTAAACCACAGTTTCATTAATGGATGCCTGGATTAATTACTAAATATGATATTCAAGGATAGTTTAGTGTATTCACATTGACAATAGTTCTACATGTTGGTTCATATCTGTCCATCTGATGTCTATGCAACTTTGCCTACAGAAGTTAATGTAATGTGTGCTGGTGAATGACATGGGTATTAATCATTATGTAAGGTTTGTGGCAGTCTAGGAATCTACTGCAATGTTTAAAACAGTCTTCACAGGGCTGATAGTTATGATAAAGTTTATAGTTACAGTGAAGATTTCATGTTTCTGGAGAGACATATGAACTAAGATTATCAAAGATTATAATAAGCAAAATGAGATAAGAAGAATCAAAATCAAGGCCCCAAAAAAATATTTGCACACCCATGCCCATAGAAGTATTATTTATAGTAGACAAGAGATGTAAATAACTCAAGTGTTCATAGGAGGTGAATGGATAAACAAAACATGGTGTATTCACACAATGTAATAATATTATTCAGTCTTAAAAAATATCTGGCACATGAAACATGGGGAAACTTGATGACATTATGCAAACCAAAATAAGTCTGACACAAAAGGAAAAATGATACGAGATTTCTGGAGTACTCAAACTCATAGAGGCAGAGAATATAATAGTGGTTTCCGGGGTCTTGGGGGACAAGGAAATTGGAATTATGGCTTTATGGGCATAGAGTTTCAGTTTGACAGGCTAAAAAGCTTCTGGAGATGGATGGTGGTGATGATTGCACAACAATGTGTCCTTAATGCCACAGTTTATACTCTTTAAAATGGTTAAAATGCTAAATTGCCTGTTATGTATATTTTCCCATAATAAAAAAGGTATCATCCAAATTTGAAATGGGAAGGAAGGTTTGAGAAAATATGTTTTGAAAAAAAATATTTAATTAAAAATATTGATTTGATGTATGTAGCATATCCACCCTGTGTTAGGCACTTTAGATGAAATAGAAATGTGTTACTAATTAGCTGTGAATTAGTCGGCTCATCAATTACTCTACCTTACCTTCTTCTGGATCAGTGAATTCCAAGATTTCTTGCACCTTCAAACACATGTTACATCTCTGACAATATTCATAACTTGCTCAAACAGTTTGGAATATTCACTCAAATTACATCCAGGCACCTTATTATGAAAACTAAAAGCCACCCATATCCCGTTCCAACTTGTCTTCCCTACATCTACTAATTCACTGCCAAGGTCTAGCCTTGTTGACCACTTACCATTCTCTAAAGACATCTTGCTGCATTAATAGTCTTTGTTCAGGGAGTTTCCAAATCCTTGCACTAGGAAGTACCCAGTAAAAATGTTTAATTACTTTGAAAAATAAGTGATATATGTATTTTACTATTTATGACTTTGAATAATTTTCTAGTTTTTATTTTTCTAATACTCACTTTACTATAAAATTGAATTGAGAATAGAACTTCGTAGAAGTGAATTATTTTAAGGCAACTATAAAGAGTCTCTAGAATAACTACTGACACAATTTATTTTGATTTTAAAATAAATCAGGGCTAGAAGCCTAATGAGAAATAAAAATGAGTAGAAGTAAAATTAGTCAGTCCTTTTTCTTTCTCTTTGTTGTGATAGAATATCATATTTGGGAAATAGAATAGTAGTTGGGTATAAAGTTACTGTGGTTTCTCCAATTCATATAAGAAGAGGAAATGAAAAGCTGGATGTTGAAATTGGGGGTAATAATACATGTGGAATAAACCAATGAAAATTTTATGGACTATTAGTCTGTCACATTTTAGACACCTTATTTGATTTAATTTGTGAAAACATAGCTCAGTTGAAAGTGCACAATATTTATGTAGTTATATTTAAAAAGAATCTTAAGGACTATAATTATAGAGCCCTATAATAATAATTCAATGTCTCAAATTTAGCTTAGTAGGATAGGTGCACTTATGTGAGAGCACTGGCACTGATATAACATGTTACAGAAAAAAACAATAATCCTAAGAAAAAAATTAATTTATAAAAAAATTAAAATGAAGGCTGAAATGTAGTGATTTAAACGAAAATTATTATTATTATTATTATTATTATTTTGAGATAGAGTTTCAAATGAGCCTCCGCCTCCTGGGTTCAAGTGATTCTCCTACCTCAGCCTCCTGAGGAGCTGGGATTACTAAGTCCTAGGATTTACTTTTTGTTAGATTGAGTGAGAATTATAAAATAAGAAGAATGTCATGCCTGTAATCCCAGTACTTTGGGAGGCCGAGGCGGGCGGATCAAGAGGTCAGGAGACCAAGACCATCCTGGCTAATGTGGTGAAACCCCATCTCTACTAAAAGCACAAAAAATTAGCCAGGTGTGGTAGCACGTGCCTGTAGTCCCAGCTACTCGGTAGGCTGAGGCAGGAGAATTGCTTGAACCCAGAGGCAGAGGTTGCAGTGAGCCGAGATTGCACCACTGCGCTCCAGCCTATGTGACAGAGCGAGACTCTGTCTCAAAAAGGAAATAAAATAAGTAAATAAGAAGAATGAATCAACATGGTATAGCTCTTAAAACCACATCTCTTTCAATTACTAAAAAAAGACAGGAAGAAGTTACTGATGACAAGTTCCTGTTGTGTAATATTCCCAAGCTTACATTAACAGTTTTTTTATTATTATTAAGGCAGATTATATAGTTCTGCAAAATCCATGTAATAGAACAGCATCTGAATAAAGAAGTATTAGTCCTGAGTTGCTGTAAAATCTTTTCTTGTTAATATACTCTGAGGATGGTTTTAGAATCCAAGTTTACTTGTGCTTATCTAAAGCTTTCGATCTCAAGGCTAATGAAGAGATTCTGATAGCTTTTCTGCAATGTCAGTTGAGAGCTTTAATGACTAGAGATTAATCATTTCCAAGGCAGCAATCTTTAGGGACTTCCACCCCATAAAGGATAGAAAAAGTACTGGCAAAAATTTATACCAGCAAATAGAAACAAACAAACAAAAACAAAAAAACAAGGGAAGAACACTTCTGCTTCTTCATAAAATTGCAGCAGAAGAGTCTAGATTTAGTGGTGCATTCACCTAATTAAGACGGCCAGGATTTTCATTTTCTTCTCAATGTAAATCACTATTGAGAAAAGCATCTGCCACCTCTGATATTTCCTGGGCAATAAATTTAAATGAATTAATCATTCTGCTTATTCAGAAATTCTGAAGAGTCGATAAGCACTTGCCAATGGCCTGTAGAATTCCTGGCTCATTATTTTTAGGTGCCAGAGGAGATTCGAGAGGCTGTAAAATGATTTAAACAGAAATTAAAAAAAATTATTCCAGCCTTATTTTGCCTACTTTTCACTTCTAATCAAACACCAATTATAATATTACATATACATAATTGTACAATAACATTCATGTAAAGTGTTCTTTGTGCTTAAAGTTTGTATGATCACCATGAATTTGAACTGTGTATGAATCTGAATTTAATTTTGAGTAGAAACTTTTTAGAATTCTGATATATTATTGAGCAAGCCAAGTCCCTTAAAATAGAGTGTCATATCATTTATCATTTAAACAAGGCTATTTTTGAGAGTGAAAAAAGGCATGAACAATAATTAGGTCCAACTACAGATATAAAACAGGCAGTCTAAGACCAACTGGGACATGTGCTTACCATATTTAAAACTAAAGTATTAGTAAATATGCATTATATGAGTATTGGCAGGATTTGATCCGATTCCTCAAAAACATTTTTATTGAAGTATAAGCTATGCTGCCATAACAAAGAGGGCAAAAGTATGGAGACGCATATCAGCCCAGAGGAAGGCAAGTGGTCCGGGATATCCAGGGTGATCTACTTTTCTGCTAATACTCCCCATTTATTTATTTATTTTTGTCTACTTGGTTAAATGTGACTCACCAGCAGCATAACCATGTTACAGACTGTGAAGTGGGCGAAAAGGAGCTTACTTGTTAAAGAAGTGGCAAAAATTTGCATATTTAATTTATACTTTCATTTAGATGGAGAGAACTTAGTCACATTGCCAAAAGTATCCAGCTAGTTATCTGACATGCTACTATGCAGATGTGGGTCTTGGGATATTCTATCCCTAGAAGAATGGGTCTCTTTCCCCACAATAGCACTTCTGGAAGAGGAAATACTGAAAATTATCATCTGGATTCCATGGAATGCTTTTTAAATTGTGTATTGTGAGCGCCACGCTTGACATTTCCTAACAAAATATTTGAGGGTGGGAATCAGAAATAGATGTTTGTCAACAAACTCAGGAAATTATTATGCACACTATAGTTTGCAAATTACTTCAAATAAGTATTATATGATTGAGAGTATAATTTTAGAATAATTGTTACATTTCACAGCTACTTTTATTTAAACAAAAGACAATTTCTTTAAATTTTTATTTGCAAAAGTACTACATTTTTATATTGTATGTAATTATTCACCTACACATAAATAAATAAAATGAGTTAAATTAACCTATAATACTCTCCTTATGAGCCAACTTTTTTTTTTACTGTATTTCTGAAACAAAACGTGCTAAACAGTGTGGCTTAAAGTGGGAGTTTCAACATAATTACTTTAAAATACCATGTAGTTTCACCTTGTACTAAGATTAGGCATCTACTATTGCATGAGGCAAATATTTCACATCAAAAGTTGCCCTTGAATATATCAGATTATATTGTATTGGATTATAACCCCAAACATAAAGAAGATGTCGCGATTGAATCCATTATGTTATAAATAAATGATTGAACAAATAATTAAATGACAGAGAATGGACAAATCTCTCCTGCAGAAGAATTTCAAATAGTTTATACAGATACTTGTCCCTCAAGTAGGTGGAACAACCCAGGAGGCGTGACAACCAAATATATTATTTTGGGTAGGATACTGGGCCAATAAAAGAACATTGGGTAGGAACTAAGGAAATCTGAATGCAGTATAAATTTTGATTAATATAATCTACCAATATTGGTTCATTAATTGTGACAAAAATACCACACTTCTGTAAGATGTTATTTTATTAAATTCTTATAAGTTTATACTTCCTTGGCATCTATTTTAAATAAAAGCTTAACTTTCTCATACAGAAGCAGAGCTCAGTCACCCTTGACACAGTTTCCAGTTCTATATCATATCCAAATGGCTCAAGCCAGTGGCCAGAGTGGCCACAGATAAGAACTTAGAGGCATCTGTTCCGCCTGGCTGACTGGGCTCCCTACTTTCCTGCCTCTTCTTTTAAGCAGACCATTTAGGTATTTGCTTATGAACTTAAAGTGACCCACACCCTATTCCTTATATATACTGCTATTTGCTCCTCTCCCTGACCCCCACCTCGTTTCCCTCTCTCTCCTTGCCTAGAATCTGTACCTTAAAAGATCTTTGAACTCATTTCCTACTGTGGCGCTGTATTCAATATGTGCCTTTCATGTGAAGAACCAGGGGCTACTCCAGGCTAGATTTCCCCATGATGCCAGGAGAGAAAAAACAGTCAGGCTCCCAGCAACAGAACAATGGGCAGGCAAGCAAAAACCGCACACAGGTCAGAGAAGAGCCAAAAGGGTGTCTGCCAATAGAAACAAATTTCCTGTCTCAGCGACCCCCTGGCTGTGGGTCAGACAACTAGTTATCAGGCCATCTGCCAGGTAAAACATGTGTTGCATAAGAGGCACACTGCAAACACCCACCTCCAGTTCCCCTTCATTTCCTGTTAGGGCCGGACTGTTAGTCGGTCTGGCACTGAAACTCCAATTAAGCTGTGGATGCTCCAGAGTTAACAATAGTAGAAACTGTGAGGGGAGATGTGTGGAGTATATGAAAACTCTCTACTATCTTCACATTTCTGTAAATCTAAAACTATTCTACAATTAAAACTTAATTAAAGCAAACGAGCCTCGACAACTATTTCTTCAGTTGAACTTAAAAAAAAAAGACTGGCATAAGCCGAAGAGATATGTTCTACAAATAGTATGCTTATTAAAACTTTGAATGCTTATTTTCTATTAAGATATGATTTTGCCTTGTGAAACACAACAGATCTGAGAACACCGAGGATTGGGTATATGTAAGTCACCTCATCATAATCACTAGAAGGCAAAAGGGCTTTTCCCAGGGCTATAATATTCCTTTTTTTTTCTTTTTTCATGGAATTCAAGAGTTACTGTAAATTAAAGACCTGCACAATATGACAGTACTGTTGTTTAGGAGTGATTAAGAAATTACTTTAGGCAGATAGAGAGGAAAAGGGGTCCTTGGAAAGTTGTTTCTTTTAAAGCAGCTCCGGAAACGTTTCTGTTTTGCAGGAAAACCCTAGTTCTTAGAGACTGGCCGGCAACCTTTGACATGCAAATGCAGACCATTAGAAACTGGGTCCGCCCAAATATGGCGATTTCCGCCCTCTTCCTCTTGCCCTTGCCCTCATGTGTGCCTGGCAACATGGCTGCCCCCACATGTCCCCACAGGTGTAGGACAACATGGCGCCCTTCATTTGCATATTAAAAGGCTACTGTGAGAGGGCCAGTTTTTTTATGGGCTACCTGAGTGACATGCCTGGTCAAACCAATCTCCTGAGCCCTATGCAAATCAGACACCACCTCCTCCATCCTCTTCATAGAAGCAGTCACCTTTACCTGTACTAGCGATTTCCTCTTTCCACTTTGGAGCCCTCCTGCCTCTGTCTGTGTACAGGGGAGCTTCTTCCTTTCTTCTCCCTTCTGTCTTGCCTATTAAACTCTCCACTCCTTAAAACCACTCCATGTGTGTCCGTGTCATTTTATCCAATTCGTGAGAGACAAAAGCCCTGGTGTTCCTCCACTCACCGGAGCTGTATCACTGTTTGGAAAAGTAGATTAGGATCAGAGAAAGGAATTTCTAAAGTTCTAATTATTTACTGGAAGTATGTATACATAGGAAAGTAAAATTCTTAATGCAGTTCTTTGGGGAAAGTTTAATTTGTCTATGTATTTAGAAAGATTTGAATTAGAGACTATCACGACATTCGTTAGCTAGGAGATTGTTAGGACAGTTTAGGTATGAGATTATGAGGGTGGAGGTTGTAGAACTGGATAAGTTAATGACCCGAAAAAATAATGGAATCAATGGAATTGTGGAAGGAGGGAAAAAGAACAGTGATTAGCAGAAATTTTGAATTTTTTCACTCAACAGGCTTGATGGTATAAAATAGTCAATATAAAATTATAAAGTTAAAAGTGGTAGTGGAATCAAATCGAATATCTTTAATATTACTCAAAGGTCCTTGCAATCATTTAGTGTCCTAGTTTGACAATTAATTTGATGAGTACAGTAATTCTTTCCACCTGCCTTACAGGGATGTGAAAATTAATGCAATAAAATTTCTAAAGACATTTTGAGCTCTCCATGTGAAAGTCACTACCTAATATTGCTGAAGAAGAGACTCACTAGAGCATGAATTACAGTTTTGCCACAGAAAAAGCAAGAGTTTTGCAGAAAAGGCAGGAATAAAAGAATATGTTTTAAAAGGTTTACTTCTCCTAGAATACTTCCTGATGATACGACACATAATTAATTTGAAGGTATCTAACTCATACATATGCTTGAAAATATTTCTCTATTGGGACTTTAACTTTTTGTCTTTTAATAATGCATTTAGACTTTATTTCATTTTAAAATCTTTTCCACACTAGTATACTCTATCAATTTCCTCCTTTGAATCTTCTAGTGATGATTTTCTATCTTGCAAAGAATTGTGATGCTTTCATCTCTCAAAAAACTACTAAGACAGAAATCTCTTAATTATCATCATTAAACTTGTGGGGTCAAAACTGGAGCTCAAAGGAATGAGATGAGGCAATTGAGGATGAGATGGAAAGGCTCAGGATTAGCCTGGGGCTTTTTCTTGTATTCTCTTCTCCTTATCTCTGTAGTATTTCTAACTAAATTTTTTTAGTTAATTGTTTGCATGTTTATTGGATGAAAAATGACATTATAAAAATAAACTTTATTTTGAAGCCAAATATTTAATATCTATTCTAAACTATTATTAGCTGCATGAGCAAATAATTTACTGTTTCTGACCTCACAGGTTGGTGAGAAGTTTCAATGAGATACAGTACATACGGAAATTGGCACATAGCTGTATTTCGATGGCTTTCTATTTTACTTCTCTTCCCTCTACCATCTTGAAAGTCATCATTTTTTGCCTCCTCTGTTTGCTGTGATTACAGTTGTTTGAATACATTTCAGATATTCTATTCTGTTCTGTACTTTGATATTATTTATGAACTCAGATATTTATGACTCCGGTTTTGATAAATCATCACTCATACTCTCTGATTCTATGGTTTTCCTCCAAATCCCCTAGAAACAGGTTTAAGTGTATGCACTCCCAAATCCAGTATGTATGTCTCAAATATATCATTTATTGACTTCTGTTACCAGTTATCTTTGTTCGATTTGCCTTTTCAAATTGTGAAATCTGTGAATTTGTTCAATTGTGACTGTGAAATTCTTACACAGGTTAAGAAGCATATCTAGTACTACTATTGACACTAATAAATGTTTAGCAAATGATGGATACATAAATACACATATACTGAATTATGTACAGAGTGGTCAGTTTTAGCAATAAAAGCCACAGTTTGTTCATTGACTAATGAGAAAGTCAGAATCTGCTTTTGGGAATTTGTATCTTTTTCAACCAAAAGACCCCAATGTTCTGATAATATTTATTGAAATTTTATTAAAATTGTTATATCTAATTTATAAGTGTACTTTAAAATATAGAGTAAAATCTTCAAGTTATTAAAAAGTATCAAGGTTCCTTGAGTTTAGTAAAATGTCAAACCAGCATACATTAATTGTGTAAATCTCTGTATTATCCATATTTAAAATATAATCTTTCATGTCACTAATGGTATTGTGAGTTACACAAAGCTTTTGTAAAAATATATATAACTTAGAGATCTTCCAGCCACCTCTGTCAAAGCTGTGACCTCTGCCTACCATTGGGTATTGCATTTACCCACCTGCTTTAGCCACAACTGGTTTCTACCTAGGGACACTTTGCTTACTGGCCTAAAGCCTGAACTATTTAACCCAGTAAATAAAATATTAGGGAAAAAAAATAAATAAATGCACACCACAGGGGAATGAGATAAGCTTCAAGAAACCTCTGCCATTCCAACCCCATAGGAGACAGTGAACTTATTCACACAACATACATACTGCTCCTAGAACCAGCGTCTGAAAAAGCCATCATACAAAGACTCTATAACTAAAGAACCCTCACAGAGTCTGTACCCTTGAAATCACCAGGAGCTGAATTAGGTTACAATAAACAATAAGCGTTGAAGCCACATCCTTAAGGGGGAAAAAGAAATCAATCAAACAAACAACAACAACAAAAAAACACCTCACAGTCAAATGAAAAACAAATTCAAGAATAATTAGGACAAATAGTCTACCCAAGTGAGAAGCAACCAGAAAAATAATTATAGTAATGACAAAACAGCATTCTATAACACCTCTCAAAAAATCATACTAACTCTCCAGCAAAGGATCCAAACCAAGATGAAATATTTTAATACCAAATCAAGAATTCTAAAGATTAATTATTAAGCTACTCAAGGAGATACAAGAGGAAGGTGAAAACCAACATAAAGAAATAAAAAAAAATTCAGGATAAGAATGACAGATTTTCTGAAGAGATAAATATTTTAAAGAAAAGACAATCCACACTTCTGGAAATGAAAGACACATTTAGGGAATTACAAAATACAATGGAAAATTTTAACGATAGACTACACCAAGTAGAAAAATGAATTTCAGAGCTCGAAGACAAGGCTTTCAAATTAATATAGATGAAAATAAAGAAAAAAGAAATAATAGATGCACAAAGTCTCCAAAAAATATGAGATTATGTAAAATGGCCAAATCAAGAATATCTGGTGTTCTGAGAGAGAAGAGAAAGCAAAAATGTTTTAAAACTTATTTTTCCAATTGAGGACATCTTCCCTGGCCTTGCTAGAGATTTAGATATCCAAATACAAGATCCTCAAAGAAATCCTAGGAGATTTATTACAAAAAGGACATCACAAAGGCATGTAGTTATCAGGCTATCTACAGTCCATTAAAGGAAAGAATTTTAAGAGCAGTGAGACAAAGCATCAGTTCTGCTTAGGGAATTTGTTACTACCAGACCATCCCTGCAATAAATAAAAGGAGTTCTAAATCCTGAAACAAAAGGTTGATGTGCACCAGAATAGAACCTCTTGAAAGCATAAAAACTTACAGGACCTATAAAACAATAAAAAACGAAGAAAATAAAATATCTAGGTAGCATTTAACATAATGACTGGAATAATACCTCACATCTAAATATTAATGTTGAATGTAAATGGCCTAAGTGCTCCACTTAAAAGATATAGATTGGCAGAATGGATTTAAAAATCATAAACTAAGTATTTGCTGCCTCCACTAGACTCACCTAGCATGTAAAGATACATATAAACTCAAAGTAAAGGGGTGGAAAAAGATATTCCATGCAAATGGAAACCAAAAGTGAGCAGGAGAAGCTATTTTTATATCATATAAAACAGACTTTAAAGCAACAACAGTTAAAAAAAAAAGACAATGAAGCTCAATATATAATGATAAAATGATCAATCCAACTAGAAGATATTACAATTCTAAATTTATATGCACCTAACTCTGGAACTCCCAGACTTGTAAAACAATTACTCCTGGACCAAATAAATGAGATACACAGCAATACAATGATAGAAGGAGACTTCAACACTCTACTGACAACACTAGACAGATCATCAAGACAGAAAGTCAACAAAGAAACAATGGAGTTAAACTACACTCTAGAACAAATGGACCTAACATATTTACACTACATTCTACCCAAGAACTGCAGAATGTACATTCTTCTCATCTGCACATGGAGCATTCTCCAAGGTAGACGATATGATAGGCCACAAAATGAGTCTCAGTAAGTTTTCAAAAATCAAAATAATATCAAGTATCTTGTCAGACTATAGAAATACATGGAAATCAAACAATCTGCTCCTGAATGATTTTTGGGTTTGCAATGAAACCAATATTGAAATTTTAAAATTCTTCACAATGAATGATAATAAAGACAAAAGTTATCAAAATGTCTGGGATACGGCAAAAGCAGTGCTAAGGGGAATGTTTATAGTGCTAAAAGCCTACATCAGAAAATCTGTAATATAACATATTGGCAACATAATGGTACACTTCAAGGAACTAGAGAAACAACAAACCAAACCCAAGGCAGCAGAATCAAAGATATAACAAAGATCAGAGAAGAATTAAATGAAATTAAAATTTAAAAAAATAAAAAAGATGGATGAAACAAAAATTTGGTTCTCTGAAAAGAGTAAGCAAAATTGATAGACCATTAGCTAGATTAACCCAGAAAAGAAGAGAGAAAATTTAAATAAGCTCAATTAGAAATGAAATTGGAGACATTACGATTGACACCCCAGAAATACAAAAGATCATTTGAGACAATTATTGAAATAATAGGGAAACTCTAGAGAAAATGGATAAATTCTGGAAACATACAACCCTCCTATATTAAATCAGAAAGAAATAGTAACCCAGAAAAGACCAATAACAAGCAATGAGATTGAATTAGTAGTTAAAAAAAAATTGCCAAGAGAAAAAGGTCCAGGACCAGATGGATTCATAGCTGAATTCTTCCGGACAGTCAAAGAAGAATTGGAACCAACCCTACTGAAACTATTCCAAAAGATTGAGAGAGAAAGAATCCTCCCTAACACATTTTATGGAGTCAGTATCACCCTTATGCCAAAGCCAGAAAAGGACACAACAGCAACAACAACAACAACAACAACAAACTACAGACCAACATCCCTGATGAATGTAGATTCAAAAATCCTCAACAAAATACTAGCTAACCAAATCCAACCTCACATCAAAAAGATAATACACCATAATCAAGTGAGTTTTATCCCAAGATGAAGAGATGTTTTAACATATACAAGTCAATAAGTGTGATACATCACATAAACAGAATTAACAATAAAACCCATAGGATTTATTGCAATAAATGTAGGAAAAACATTCAATAACATCTAGCATCACTTTATGATAAAAATCCCTTTATGACAGTCAAGTAACTATGCATAGAAGAAACATACCTAACCTAATATATTTAAATCCATATATCACAAACCCACAGCCACCATCATACTGAGTGGGGAAAAGCTGAAAGCATTCCCTCTGAGAACTGGAACAAAACAAGGATGCTCATGTTCACCACTTCTATGCAATATCGTACTAAAAGTCTTAACCAGACCAATCAGAAAAAAGAAAGAAATAAAAGGCATCCAAATTGGAAAAAAGGATGTCAAACTATGACTGTTTACCAGGGATATGATTGTATTACCTAGAAAGCTCTTAAGACTCCTCCAAAAGACTACAGATTATTAATCAATGTACACAAATCAGTAGCACTGCTATACACCAACGATGACCAACATTAGAATCAAATCAAGATCTCAATTCCCTTTACAATAGCTGCCAAAAACAAAAACAAAAACAAAACAAAAAAACCTTGCAATATACTTAACCAAGGAAGTAAAAGATCCCTACAAGAACTACAAGACACTACTGAAAGAAATCATAGGTAACAAAAGCAAATGAAAACACATTCCATGCTCATGGATTGGAAGAATCAATGTCATGAAAATGACCATATTGCCCAAAACAGTCTACAGATTCCATGCAATTCTTGTCAAAATACCAACATCTTTGTTCACAGAATCAGAAAACACAATCCTAAAATTCATGTGGAACCAAAAAAGAGCCTTAATAGCTAAAGCAATCAAAGAACAAATCTGGAGGCATCACATTACCTGACTTCCAATTATACTACAAGGCTATGGTTACCAAAATGGCATGGTACTGGTATAAAAGTAGGTGCATAGATCAGTGGAACAGAATAGCCTACCCAGAAACAAAGCCAAACATCAAGTTGATGCACAAGTAATTGTGTTTTTTTCATTGAAAGTAATGGCAAAATAACACAATTACTTATGTATCAACCTATTGCAACTAACTGATCTTTGACAAAGCATGCAAAGACATAAATTGAGGAAAGGAGATCCTATTTAATAAGTGGTGCTGGGAAAACTGGATAGCCCCATGTAGAAGAATGAAATTGGATCTCTACCTCTCACCTTATACAAAAATCAGCTTAAGATGGATCAAAGACTTAAAACTAATACCGAAAATCATAAAATTTATAGAAGATAGACTAAGGAAAACTCTTCTGGACATTGGCCTAGGCAAAGGATTTGTGACTAAGACCCCAAAAGCAAATGCAAGAAAAACAGAAATAAATAAATGGGACCTAATTAAACTAAAAAGCTTCTGCATAGCAAAAGGGATAATCATCAAATGGACAGTCCACAGGAAGGGAGATAGTATTTGCAAATTATGCACCTGACAAAGTACTAATGTCCAGAATTTACAAGGAACTTAAACAAATGAGCAAGAAAAAACAAATAGTCCCTTCAAAAAGTGGGCAAAGGACATGAATAGACATTTCTCAAAAAAAAGACATACTAATGGCCAAGAAACATGAAAAAATGCTCAACATCACTAATCATCAGGGAAATGCAAATTAAAAAAATTAAATGAGATACCAACCAACTCACCCCTGCAAGAATGACCATTATTAAAAAGTCAAAAAACTATAGATGTTGACATGGATATGGTGAAAAGGAAATGCTTATACACTGGTGGTTGGAGCATGAATTAGTACAATCTCTATGGAAAGCATATGGAGATTTCTTAAAGAACTGAAAGTTCACCCATCATTCAATCCAGACTTCCTACCACTGAGTATTTAGCCAAGTGAAAATTAATTATTATATCAAAAAGACACCTGCATGTGCATGTTTATTGCAGCACAGTTTACAATTGCAAAGATATGGAACCAACCTAAGTGCTTATCAACCAATGAGTGGATAAAGAACATGTAATACATGTACACCACGGAATACTACTCAGCCACAGATAAAGAATGAAATAATGCCTTTTGTAGAAACTTGGATAGAGCTGGAGGCCATTATTCTAAGGAAAGTAACTCAGGAACGGAAAATCCAATACAGTGTGTTCTCACTTATAAATGGGAACAAAGCTCTGGGTAAGCAAAGGCATGCAGAGTGGTATAATGGACCCTGGAGACTCAGAAGGGGGAGGGTGGGAAGGGAGTGAGGGATACAGAAACTGCACATTGGGTACAATGTACACTACTTGAGTGACAGGTGCGTGAAAATCTCAGACTTCACCACTATACAATTTATCCATGTAATCAAAACCCAATTGTACCCCAAAAGCTATTGAAATTGTAAAAAACTAAATAAATAAATAAAATAGATACGCAATTTTGTAAATAATAAATAAAATGGATACACAAAAAAATGCCTTATATATTATCAGGAATCAGTGCAATTTGTTGAGGATAAACTCTAGTTCTTATATCCACAGAAATGGGAAGAAAAAAACATAGATGGTTTGCCAACAGTAGGAAGTATTTCTTTTTAATGTATTTAGAAAATGCAATTACAATTATTTAGGGATGTGTGCTGCACTCTGTCAATTACAACCTAGAGCAGGATATGGGACTTATTGTATATTATAATTTTCTGCATCTAAAAATCTAACAATGGACACCATAAGGAAATGTACATTTCAATCTTGAATGTTCCAAGGCTCAGCACCAGATGTACATCTCTAGTTGTATCAATGTCTTCTTTCTCTGAATGCCACTTTTAGCAGTACTAAACTATTACAGTAATACATTTCTAGCTCCAGGAAAATCAATTTTTTTTTTTGTATATTACTTTAGAATAAGGAGGAGCAAAAACTTTGGGAAGAAGTTTCAGAGGGAGTTATACGGATGCCAAAGGCAGAGCAAATCAAGACAGTATACTCAGAAGTAGATGAGAGACCTTGCCCTAAGTCATATAAAGCAATTACAAATATTATAAACATATCTTATACACACACACACACGCACACACACACACTCACATTTAGCTGACAAGCACTAATACAAAATATATTTTGATTTTGTAGAGGCTAAAATCTATGACTCCATTATCTCTTCCACACAAAGTATCTACTGCAATTTTGCATACACTTTACTAAAAATTGTTGCTAATTTCTTTTTATATATTAAAAGACTAAGTTATAACTGTAAACTAAATTGTAAAAGAAAATATCTGAGTAACAACTAGACTTGTTGAAGAAATACATTTTGAAAAAATAAAGAGGAAGGCCAAATATGAAATTTATGATCATTACAGAGAAATTTTCTGATATTGAATATTTTTGAGATAATGGGAATTTGAAAATTTGGTCCTATTGAAGAAATATTATTTCCTTAGGTGTGATAAGAATATTTTTAATTACACTAATTAAAGGTAGTACTTCTTTAGAAATACATATTGAAATTTGATAGATCATAGGATAAAATGACTCAGAATAATATGGAAAAATGGTGGGTGGGGATACAGGTAATACAGCCTTTAACTGATGCAGAAATGGATTCATTATACTGGTCTAACTACTTGTTTGTATGTCTGAAATTCTTCTTGATATAAAGCATTTAGAATATAGAATTACACAAAGAAAACAGAAATATGATGTAACTTTATAAATAAAAATATGATGTAATTATTTCATATATTCATTTTCTTTTTTTATTATACTTTAAGTTCGGGGGTACATGTGCAGAAAGTGCAGGTTTCTTGCATAGGTATACACGTTCCATAGTGGTTTGCTGCACCCATCAACCCATCATCTACATTAGGTATTTCTCCTAATGCTTTCCCTGCCCTAACCCATCACCCCCGACGGGCCTTAGTGTGTGATGGTCCCCTCCCTGTGTCCATGTGTTCTCATTATAAAACTCCCACTTATGAGTGAGAACATGCGGTGTTTGGTTTTCTGTCCCTGTGTTAGTTTGCTGAGAATGATAGTTTCCAGCTTCATCCATGTTCCTGCAAAGGACATGAACTCATCTTTTTATATGGCTGTATTTTTTATGTATTTTATATGGCATAGTACTCCATGATGTATATATGCCACATTTTCTTTATCCAGTCTATCATTGATGGGCATTTGGGCTGGTTCCAAGTCTTTGCTATTGTGAACGGTGCTGCAATAAACATATGTGTGCATGTATCTTTATAGTAGAATGATTTATAATCCTTTAAGTATATATCCAGTAATGGGATTGCTGGGTCAAATGGTATTTCTGGTTCTAGATCCTTGAGGAATCACCACACTGTTTTACACAATGGTTGAACTAATTTATGCTCCCACCAACAGCGTAAAAGTATTCCTATTTCTCCACATCCTCTCCAGCATCTATTGTTTCCTGACTTTTTAGTGATCGCTATTCTAACTGGTGTGAGATGGTATCTCATTGTGGTTTTGATTTGCATTTCTCTAATGACCAGTGATGATGAGCTTTTTTACATATGTTTGTTGGCTGCATAAATGTCTTCTTTTGAGAAGTGTCTGTTCATATCCTTCACCCACGTTTTGATGTGTTTGTTTGTTTGTTTGTTTTGTAAATTTGTTTAAGTTCTTTGTAGATTCTGGGCATTAGCCCTTTGTCAGATGCATAGATTGCAAAAACTTTCTCCCATTCTGTAGGTTGCCTGTTCACTCTGATGATAGTTTCTTTTGCTGTGCAGAAGCTCTTTAGTTTAATTAGATCCCATTTGTCAATTTTGGCTTTTGTTGCCATTGCTTTTGGTGTTTTAGACGTGAAGCCTTTGCCCATACCTATGCACTGAATGGTAATGCCTAGGTTTTCTTCTAGGGTTTTTATGGTTTTAGGTCTTACATTTAAGTCTTTAATCCATCTTGAGTTAATTTTTGTATAAGATGTAAGGAAGGGGTCCAGTTTCAGTTTTCTGCATATGGCTAGCCAGTTTTCCCAACACCACTTATTAAATAGACAATCCTTTCCCCATTTCTTGTTTTTGTCAGGTTTGTCAAAGATCAAATGGTTTTATATGTGTGGAGTTATTTCTGAGGCCTCCGTTCTGTTCCATTGGTCTATATATCTGTTTTGGTACCAGTCCCATGCTATTTTGGTTACTGTATATTGTAATTTTCTTAACCTTTTAAACAGGTGGAATTTTTTTTTATTAACTATCTTGAGATTTTTTAGGTAGATGACCAAATCATCTGCAAATGACAGTTTGGCTCCTGGTTTCCAAAGTAAAGTCATTGAGGGTAGTTGTGGCTCAGAGTATAATCAAGTATATATAGATATTGATATCATCTATCTCTATCTCTGTATCTATCTATCTATCCATCTATCATATAGTTTTTTGACAGTGAGACAATAGACAAAACTCTGCTTCAGAAATAACTCACCGTGAACAAGTTTTCTGAGCAAATAAATACAAAAAAAAAAAAAAGGCCTGAAAGTAATCTCTAGCAAACGATATTTGTCCACATGATTTTCTGAGTTAATCTGAAGTCAAGTGACCACTGGCATTTCCCAGGCATGGAGGTGGATAATGACTAGAAGTAGGGGTGACTACCTTTTTAAGAAAAGACAAATATCAAAACCAATGCTAGCAAAAGAAAGGAAAATAGAAGAAAGGGTTTGTTTAGAGCATTGTGGGCCTGTTTGTGTAAGTGAAGAAGGAATATGTAACTAATGATTAGTTTCATGGAAAAGTCACAGAAAAATGTTTTTGATTCAGATTATGTTTTTTAAAAAGCCTTGCATTTTTAGAAAATTCATTCCATGAACCACATGAAGAAATACAGACTAGAGATTAAGACAATTTTTTAAACACTGGTAGAATAGAGTCCAAAATCGACTACTTTAGACTACTGTAACTACAATATGCTTTTAAGCAAATGTTACATACATGTGATTTTAGCAAATATTTTACCACATATTACAGTTGATTTCTGATTATCCAGACTAATGAAAAAATCAATAAATCGTATGCATTTTTTATTTTATTTTGTTTTCACACATATATATCGTATACATTTTTGACTAGAGATTAGTATTTCAAATTTCATTTTATTTAGGGTAGTATCATGTACATAAACTATAAGGAGATTTTACTTTCTAGATGCTGAGCAACTAACTACAACCTGTGTTTACACATACATATATATGTACACACATACAAATATGCATAGACACATATATGCAAATACATGTACGTATATGTGTTTAGATATTCACATAGACACAGTCATAAACATCCAAAAATATATTTTTGACTAATCAATTCTTACATAGGGAAATAAACAAGTGAAGACATATTTGTCTGTTGAACTTGACATTGAGAAGAAAAAACACATATTAAAAATATTTATTACAGTAATTATGTTAAAAGGATACAAATGAGATCAATTCTTGAAATACTTACATTTATCCAGTTTTATGTCTCTTACTCCATCATGGTGAAATCTTTATAAGCACCCTCTAACATGGGTACCAGAAAAGATCCTGAAACAGGTAAGAATGAAATATTAAATTTATTATTATTATATAACTATTGCTATGGGAATTGTTCTCTTTTTATTTTGCTTAGCAAAGAATGAAGTAGAAATTTTGCTCTGAACATATCAAAACCACTAAAACATAATCAATTTATTATCTTGTAGATATTTTAACATTATGCTAAAACATTACTGCAATGGTTCTGTATAAACGCATCTGGAAAAAAGTATCACTAGATAATTTTGAAAACATTTGGGAGAAAACGCTAATGATACTCATATTGTTAATCAAACTATAAACATGCATCAGAATAAAAACCTTTAGTGCCCTTAACAAAATGTTATGCTTACTAACATGAAAATATATTTTCTTATATACAACAGGGTGATAAAACCAATTTTTAAGTGTGTACTCAAAGAGATAAAGTCTAAATATGAGACAAAATTAGGAAATGAACAGAAAGAAAATAAAATCATCAGAATGCCAATGATACGGCTGAACATTTAGAAGTAATAGTGGTAATGACAATAAATTTGTTTCGTTCTGTTTTAATTGTTAGTTGCATATCCTAGGAGAGACTTTTAAATTAAGCTTAATTTGGCAATGTGCATTTAATAAAATGGCCTAAATTATCATAATATATTAGAAGTCAATGTAGCATTTTAGCAGTTAATCTGGTTTTTATGTAGATTTTATTATAGTTTACCTATAAAGGTTTTCTTCAAATCTACTTCTACCAAGTTATATAACTTCCAAATTTTTAAGAATAAATGAACAGTAACAACATTAACTAGTTCTAAAATTATCAACTTGTGAAGGTGAAACAAATATTAAACTAAAATATGACAACTTCTAGATTTCCTCTCCTTGTGATTTTGATTATTTCTTTTATGGTTTTAAGTAAAGAGTTGTTATGTTAGAAGGAATGTTAAAAGTAACAAGTAACAAGGATGTCTACACCTAGAACAATCTGGGAATACATGATTCTGAGAAATTATTTTCGTTTTTTTATATCGTCTCTCACTTCAGTAAAAAGAATATTAAAGATATGGGCTGGGCGTGGTGGCTCACACCTGTAACCCCAGCACTTTGGGAGGCCAAGGCTGGTGGATCAACGAGGTCAGGAGTTCAAGACCAGCCTGACCAACATAGTGAAACCCCACCTCTACTGAAAATACAAAAAAAAATTAGCTCGGCATGGTGTCAGGTGCCTGTAATCTCAGCTACTCAGGAGGCTGAGACAGGAGAATTGCTTGAGTCTGGAAGGCAGAGGTTGCAGCGAGCCAAGATTGTGCCACTGCACTCCAGCCTGGGTGACAGTGCAAGACCCCATCTGAAAAAAAAAAAAAAAGAATATTAAAGATATATATCAAACTGCACTTTCTTTATGCTGTGTTACAGGTAATATAGGTGCACCATCACTTAGATGAGTGCCCACCAATATTTAATCACTACATTCAGACACTGTATTTCTTTTCTTGAAATCATATTTTAGCTTATATTTCATTATATTCAAATATAATCTCTTTCATATAGCCCTCATGTTTAAAGTGAGTGTTAAAAAAATTAATCTTTTTTTAAAATGAGAAAATCTAGAGATATATACTTTTATTTCTTAAGTTTTTATTTAGATGTATTTTCTAATCATTGTTTTATACTTTTAAAAGGAATATTTTTTGTTCTCATGCAAAATAATTTTTATATGATATATTTAAAATACGAGATTTACATTTTATATTAAAATTCAATTACTATTATAATAAGTTGAAAGTCATATTGTTTATCAAATAGCACATTGGTGTTAAGTATAGAATTTCTAAACTTTAATATTCCAAAAGACCATGTATTTATGAAACTGTGAGCCTAACAAATTGTCATTAATTATCTCCCTAAATGTATAGCTGAATGTACTGTACTTCATTTACTTTTTTAACTGGAAGTAATAGCTTTAAGAATTTGTCATATTTATAATGATGACCAAATAAGCCACAATTTATTATCAATAATAACTAAAGGCTTTTCTTCAAGATTTTTATGAATGGTTGTTCTAAAATGATATTTTTATTTGATAGAGAAAACATAATGATTTTACATTTATAATGAAAGTATAGGAAAGAGTGAATGTAAGATAAAAGGAAACACAGTGAGATAATAAAAACAGCAAGCAAACACTGGTAGTTGAGATAGTAACCCAGATATACCAAAGGACAAGTGCTTATCTTAGTTTAAAGAAATATGTTTTCTTAAATTGCAGAAGTGATTAAAGCAGATATTTGTGGTGTTGACTGAGAATTTTAGAATTTATGTTAAATAGTATAGACATCTACTTCAAAGTCTTGAGTAATATGATGAAAATGGTGCTTGAGGGAGCAACGACTGTAACTACAAAAGTTAATGGCGGAAGTCATGAGAATGGATTCTGGATGGAGATTTCTGAGGCAATCTGCTAATAATTACATGTAAACTACACAGGCTCTTGGGTGAAGGGTGGAGCTTAAATGAAGCTTTTATAAAGTTAGTATAATGTAGTAGTAATTAACAGGGGCAAGCCACATGTAGAAGGTCTTTTCCTCTCTACGTAGAATGAAACTGTCATAGTCTCAGTGTGACGCTCTCTTATAGGAATAATGACTCAATAAATTCTGTTAGTAAGGTAAACTAAAATTTCTAAAATTGAATTTTGTTCAAAAAACACACTAAAATTATGAATAATTTTAGTAATGTGTTGTTTAATTGCCTAACTTCTTGACACATTTAGACTGACATTGTTTTAACCAGGTGACGTGTCAAAAGAAAAATTTATGCAAGGGTTAGAAGACATGATATCTCTGTGATTTGATTTAATTTTCATTTTTGGAAAATATTTATTTAATATCTATGATGTGTATCTATATTTTGTCCAAGAGCTTATAGTAACAGATGGTGAAAGGAAATAGAAAATTAGTATGCACATTCATTTTTGTAAAAGGAAAAAAAATGACATAAATTTAGAAAGTCACAATGAGTGACCCATTTTGAATGTACTCATCTGGGTGCCTTTCTTTTTTTTATTTTAGATGGAGTATCGCTCTGTCACCCAGGCTGGAGTGCAGTGGCGCAATCTCGGCTCACTTCAAGCTGCGCCTCCCGGGTTCACGCCATTCTCCTTCTTTAGCCTCCCGAGTAGCTGGGACTACAGGCACCCACCACCATGCCCTGCTAATTTTTTGGTATTTTTAGTAGAAACGGGGTTTCACAGTGTTAGCCAGGATGGTCTTGATCTCCTGACCTCGTGATCTGCCTGCTTCGGCCTCCCGAAGTGCTGGGATTACAGGCGTGAGTATTTCTTTTTTTATTGTTAGTCTCTGATAATAACAGTTTGTAATTCTTTTATTTTCAATCTCAAAGACATAACTCAAATGAGGTCATCCCTTTTCTAGCTTTTTTAATTTCAGAGAGCTCTGCTTCTAATTGTTCTCTTCTAATAGTAACTGGACTGCATTGATATAAGGTGTGTTGAACAGTTTTACTTTTCATTTTTCTCTGTTCTTTTTGTTTTTACATTTTATTTTAGGTTCTGGGATACATGTGAAGGTTTGTTATATAGGTAAACTTGTTTCATGGGGGTTTCTTGTACAGATTATTTTGTCACCCAGGTATTAAGCCTAGAGCATATGAAAAAAGGTTAAATGTCACTGATCATTAGAGAAATGCAAATCAAAGCCATAATGAGAACCATCTTACACCAGTAAGAATGGCAATTATTAAAAAATCAAAAAATAAGAGATGCTGGCAAGGTAGCAGTGAAAATGGAACACTTATACTCTTTTGGTGGGAGTGTAAATTAGTTCAACCATTGTAGAAAGCAGTGTGGCAATTCCTCAAAGAGCTAAAACAGAAGTACCATTCCACCCAGCAATCCAATTACTGAGTATACACCCAGAGGAATATGAATCATTTTACCATAAAAACACAGGCACGTAAATGTTCATTGCAGCACTATTCACAATAACAAACAAATGGAATCAACCTAAATGCCCATGAACGACAGAATGGACAAAGAAAATATGGTACATATACACCATAGTATACTAAGCAGCCATAAAAAAAGAAAGAGGTCATGTCCTCTGTGAAAACATGGATGGAACTTGACGCTGTTATCCTTAGCAAACTAACACAGGAACAGAAAACCAAATACCGCGTGTTCTCACTTATAAGTGGGAGCTAAATCAGAACTCATGAACACACAAAGGGAACAACAGACACGGGGGTCTACTTGAGGGTGGAAGGTGGGAGGAGGGGGAGAGGAGCAGAAAAAATAACTAGTGGGTACTAGGAAAATATTTATTAAAAAACTAAAGTGAATGTGGCAAAAACAAAAAAACAAAACCAACACATACCTTTAAATAGCAAGCATATGACAGACTGGATCTAAAACTTTTCTAACTCCATTAATCTGGTCTTTCACACCAGCTGTAGTCAACACCAGCTATAGTCAAGGTGGGCTTCTGAGGGAATCCATGTGTAAAAAGGTCATCTCTTCTAGTGGTGAGCAAGAACTATCAACGCTGTATGACTTGCTTTCCATTTACTTGTATCATTAGGATTATTGTCAATCTCTGGTACTTTTTACAAGTATCTTTGTCAGCTATCTTTTTGTACTGTGTAGTTTAGCTACATTAGATAATTTAATACAAATAAATCCAGTCAATCATGTGAATATGAGTGGAAACTCTTATGCATTGACAACTCTCCCTCTTCTCTTGGGGTATCTCTTACATTGTGCGTGATACCTGGCAACATATATGAGGGCAAACTCCATGTCCATTAGTGAAATGTGATGTCCTCTAATTTTTTTTTTTTTTTTTTTTGAGATGGAGTCTTGCTCTGTCACCCAGGCTAGAGTGAAGTGGCACGATCTCAGCTCACCCTCAACCTCTGCCTCCCAGGTTCAAGCAATTCTCCTGCCTCAGCCTCTCAAGTAGCTGGGATTACAGGCATGTGCCACCACGCCCGGCTAATTTTGTATTTTCAGTAGAGGCAGGGTTTCTCCATGTTAGTCAGGCTGGTCTCGAACTCCCAACCCCAGGTGATCTGCCCACCTCAGCCTTCCAAAGTGCTGGGATTACAGGCATGAGCCACCAGCACCCAGCCAATGTCCTCTAATATTTTGGATAAAAAATTTAAATAAATGTGCTACTAATTTCTTTCTGGATCACCTTGCAGACCTATTTTAGGCTGAAATTTTCTGAAAGCAGATTCTGATGGGGAGACTAGCATGTGTCTTAGTTTCAGCTACTATAACAAATATGTCATAGCACAGAGGGCTTAAACAAAAACTGTTTCTCACAGTTCTGAAGGCTGGGAAGTCCAATATCAAAGTGCTGGCAGATTTTCTGTCTGGCAGGGACCCATTTCCTGGTTTCCAGATGACTATCTTCTCTACCTGTCCTCATATGGCAGAAGGAATCAGGGATCTCAGTGGGATCGCTTTTATAAGGGCATCAATCACATCCTCATGTCCTAATTAACTTCCAAAGGCCACAACTCCTAGTACCAATGCATCCTGTGTTAGGATTTCAACATATGAATTGTGGGGTGGGGCACAAACATTCCCTCTATAACTGCATAAAAGAATGTAAGTGTTCTCTTCTTGAAGCAAATATCTGTGGAGAGAAAAAATCAGCATTGGTCAGAATTAGGCTGCAATGTTGTTTCATCCAAAGATTCAGCTCACTGCAAAATGATCTCTGAAACATCTTAGGTCCTTCAGGGTTGTCCTGTGAGCAAAGGACTTGGGCCTTTCTAGGAGGTCCCAGGAAGTGTATGTAACCTTGAGCAGGAGAGTTCTCATCAAGTTCTTTTTATTAATTCCTAAAGAGGCTTCGCATCCTGGGAGTATATGTTAGCAGCTGTATTCTGAAAAGGGATCTACATAACACACCATGGTATCCACTATAGTATCCCATATATGGTACTGAAAATATGGTCATGACCGTAACCACATGATAACAATAAATCATCCGAGAATAGAGTTTCAGATATATATTTAATATTTTAAAGAACCAATGTAAACATGGGGTGGAAACTTCAATAATACATCCAATCAATCAACAATTATTATAAATCTAATGTATGCAAATGCCCTGCTAGAGTATACAAATATCAATAAAATAGAACCATTCAGACCAGTTAAGAAAGGTTGACATGCAAATATTTAGGTATAATAAAGCATTACAGATATTACTATAGAAGCTCATTTCAAGTTCAGGGAGTCAAAGATATAACGGTTCAATTTTACCTAGAAAATGAGGTAGATGGGGAATCTAGCAATGTTTCATAGCAGAAGTAACATTTGAGCTGATCCTTAAAAGAGCAAAAAAGGCTATCTGAGCAGACAATGGGGCAATAATCCCAGACAATGAGAGAAGAATGAATTTGATCGGTCATTATTAACATGATGTGTAAAGCAGAATGCATTAGAAGAGTGTGAGCAACACACAGGCTGGGAGATGCAGTCAGGCACTAGCTCCTGGAGAACCTGCATTCTTCAGCCAGGAATGTAAACTATGCTTAGGAGAAATCAGAAAGTCACTAAAGAATTTTGCACAGAGATAGATATAACAATTTTCAAATTACAGAAAGACTATTCCTGAAACCATGTAAAGACCTAAAGCAGAGACTACTTAAGAGAATATTGCAGTATTAAACAAAGGGATAAAAGGAGCATATCAAAATGAAACAAAGCACTAAAAAACTATGTCAGAAAAGCCAGAAAGAAATTTAAATAAAGAATGTACCAAATTTATGAATTAGCCTAGGAACAAAGGGTATCTTTATATTAGCTTTCCTATTCAAGAACAATGTATGTTTTCCTATTGATTCAAGTCTCAGTGAAATTTTGGAATTTACTTTATATTTCATAATTTACTTTACAATAAGATCATGCCAAGAGGCTATTTCCAAGTCATCTACCTTCTTTTTTTCCCTGGGAATAACCTGTTGGGAAATTGGAAGCCAGTTGCCCAATCACTCTGTTTCCCAAAATAATGCTAAGATAATTATCATTCGGCACTTTCTTAAAAAGTCTTTAGACTATTTCTCAGATCATACTTCTAAAAACAGAACTCTTTAGTCTTCATTTAGTTTCTGAAAGCCTTTGCAAATTTGCTTTTCATAAAATTGGTCTCAAGTTTCATTGCAAGCAACTATGTGTAATAGTATTACTCGGCAACTTAATGAAATTAATTGGTATTGATTTAAACTAATTTTGTTTCTTAACTAAATTAAATCTTCAATAAATCACAACCATAATTCAGCATTTCTTTTCCATAGAACCTGTAATCTATTTTAGCAGCTACTTGTTTACCTGCTTTTTGTGAAAGCTGAGCTGAGATTCATAGCTTTCTTCATAATGCTTATACATTTAACAAATATTATCTTTTATTATTTTCTTTAAATTTGTGTTTAGTATAATCATCAGAACTCCAGACTTTACTTAAATAGTTTTCTATCCTCCTGATCGGTCTCTTTCAGTCTTGGAAGCTGCAGTGTAGGATGGAAGTAGTTCCAATTTCCCTTACAGACTCCCTAGCCCATTATGGAGCCCTGGTTTCTGACCTCCTCAAGATTATGCTCGTAAAGAGATGATATTCTTTTTTCAACAAGTGGAGCAGGCTTTTTACTAGTGCTGTTTGTGATTTGGTGTTAATACTAAGAGCTAACTCTCTGCTATGGAAAATTGATGTTTTTTTCTGGAAATATTCTTGCTAGTATCTTCCAACTACAATTCACCAGACACAAATATATCTCCTCCATATGGACCCTTCAGTCCCTGATAACCTACTTTACAACCTGAGAATCAGTGCTTTTTCCCAGTTTTCTCTTTACCCTCAAGGTGATTCTCTTAAAACTGTTCCCTCATAAGATAGCTCCAGGCCTGTTTTCCACCACATGTTCCTCATGCAATCCCCTTTATCAGACACTTTTGTCCCTAAGTACGTGGAAATATAGCTTTTTCGCAATGCAATACCTCCCTTTATTCTCTGCTTTGTACATCAGGCCAGGTTAGCCACAGCCTCTCATGCAATCTTTAGGCTCCCTAAACTTAATTATCTGAGTAATTGGTCTTCTTGAAAGACCCTCTCCCTTGTTTACAGTTAGTAGAAATACCCTCCCCTTGCCTCCTTTGTGGAGGTAAATGTACAAAATAGTCTAAGTCATTGCAAAGGATTCTTCTGTCTTGACTCTTCATCTTCATTCCTTAAAACAAGCATCTAGGAGATCACTCACATTGCAGATCCTCTTTGATAGTTTCTTAGAAAGTCTGCATAGGTGACCTAACACCTCACAAAAGATATGGGAATACCTCGAACCCACTGTATTTCTTTAGGTTTGGAGTCCCTGCAGAAACTTTGAGAAAATTAGTATCATTGCAAATCTTGTTATACTTTTATTATCATCATTTTACTGAATTTTTTTCTTCTTGAGTGAATTGTCTGTAACTTTATATGGAATTATTATTTTTCTGTAAGGAATTAATCAATTGCATTTTATAATTTTTCCTGACATTACTATTTACTCCCCTCTGGGACTTACAAGTGGCTATATTCACCCTTTATCACTTTTCAAAATTATTATTAATTCTTTCATCCCCCTTAGTAGGATGCACTAATAAAATAATTTACTACCGAATATCTTAGTTTATTCTATAATATAGCTTTATAATTCTCTGAAGGGAAATAGTGAACTTGTAGAAATGGTTAGCTTATGCCGCCTCTGAAAGCTAATGATCTAATTCTGTGCTTAAATGTACCTAGAAATCTAAAATTGAAACACCTATTACAATTAATTCTTGGTAATGTAATTTCCTTATGTCTATATATTTAAAATACATACAGTGGTTAGTTAATAGGAAAAACATTGTATGTACAATGATTAAACTACCAATTTTTCTGTAACTAAATATCACTCAGGTCTTTAGTCTCATTTTTATTCAGAGCTATAGCAATTGTTGCCACTTACTAGTCAAATCAGTCAGTCACATATTTTTAAGTTTTTTTTCTTGGCCTAAAAAGTTCACGACCATCATGTTTACTCTTCCCTTCTTTTTCAGGAATATCTATGCTTGAGTAGATGGTGGTAGGATTTAAAAGTCAGTGGCAGGACTTAAAAAAAGGCTATTTTGGTGTGACAGACATGAAAATGTTGTGCTGAAATCCGTCTTCCAGAAAGGACTTGTTGCCGGGTTGCAAAGAGGGTGGTTAGCTGAGAGCCCCAAGCTGTTAGCTCAGATTTTAAGACTAAGTAACTCTATTTTCAGGGTAGATCCTGCAAAGCAAGACAACAGTATCAAAGAATATGTTCTTTTCTTGCCCATCAGCCAATAACTAAGTAAGTAATACAAGGGTCTACTCATTTCTACACAACATTGGTCTAATTGTATTCGCTCTGGAGCTCCATTTTGGGCTGATAGACTTTGTTAAATCAGCATCAGTATCTAAAAGATTCCCCTTCCCAATCTTGCTCCCTCCATTTTTCTTTCCCTAGTGTTATTCCTCAATAAGTATTTCTGCTCTTAACTAGATTTCAGCATCTGCTTTTCAGAGTACCAAAACCTGACATATCTGGTATATGTAGGGAGGAGTTCAAGTTTTTCTCTCCAAGTATTATTATTCTTATGCCTCAGTCTGCTACTAACATATTCTTGTTCCCTTGGTCTTTTTCCCTGCTTCCGTCTGGCTGAAGATGCCTCTATACTTCCGTTCTGTGGTCATGGTCCTCATGAAGATCTAAATGCCAACTTCTTGATCTGACCTGGAGGCCTCCTCAGTCCATGAGTCCATTCTTTCTTCTTGCTTATTCATGATGGGAACCGTAAGATACATTTGTACATAAATAACTTAGGGGAGGAATGACTTGAGAACTCTTTCTAAATAAGAATTGGCACATCTCCAATAGGGTTTCTTCTACTTTTTACTTTCAATATATTAATAGTGAGTAGTTTGTCTTGGCAAGAGCAGTTGCTATCTATAGCTTAAACAAGAAAATGAAGCAAAGAGTTTCTCAGATCTAAGTCACTCTACCTTGTACTTCTATCGCCTAGTATTTGGGCTTTGAGCAAGAGAGGTTTCTCAGCTATTTGATAGTCATACTCCCTCTGCTTCTCTTCTACCTTCTTTTAAATGAGAAATGCCACCACACATTTTTCCCGTTCTGTGGTTTATAATATAATTCAAGCTCTTTAACCCTTAATGTCCAAATTCAGTTCTCAATTAGAAAGGAAGAATGAAAAAAAAAAACAAAAGAAGAATGAAAAGGCATATTGCTTTTTTTAAAAAGGTGAGCTTATGTCTTCTTTAAAAAAGTGTAATAAATCTGAACTTCATTTTAAATATATCATTTACTTATTTAAGTGCATAAATATATATATATGTTTATTTTTAAAATTAACAAGTAAAAATTATATATGTTAGCCAGATATGGTGGCATGTTTCAACTTGGTCAGAACCATTTGAGAGTGCTAGCCACTTGGGAGGATGAGGAAGGAGGATCAATAAATCTCTTGAACTTACTCCTCCTAACTAAAACTTTGTGTCCTTTGACCATCTCCCTAATCCCCCTAATCCTCTTGTAACCACTGTTTGATGTTCTGTTTCTATGAGTTCAAGATTTTTAGATTTTACATATAAGTGAGATCGTGTGGTATTTGACTTTGTGTGCCTGGATTATGTCACTTAATGTCCTTTGCTTCTATCCATGTTGTTGCAAATGACAAGATTTTATTGTTTTTAAGGCTGAAGAGTATTCCATTGTGAATAAATGCCACGTTTTCTTTATCCATTCATCGGTTGGTGGACATGTATGTTGATTCCATGTTTTGGCTAAAGTAAAAAAAAAATGCTACAGTGAACATAGAAGTGCAGATATCTCTTTAATATAATGATTTCCTTTCCTTAACATATATGCTAAGTAGTAGAATTGCTAGGTATATATCCAGCAATATATTATATGATTTTAATTTTTTGAGGATTCTCCATGCTATTCTTCATGATGACTGTACTAATTGATATTCCCACGAACAGATGCAAGGGTTCTCTTTCCTTTATATCCTCACCCAGTGTTGGTATCTATTGTCTTTTTAGTAATATGCTTTCTTGTGTGGGCGCAGTGTCTCATGCCTGTAATCACAGCACTCTGGGAGATTGAGGCGGGTGGATCACCAGAGTTCAGGAGTTTGAGACCAGCCTGGACAATATGGTGAAACTCCATCTCTACTAAAACTACAAAAAATTAGCCAGGTGTGGTGGTGCGCACCAGTAATCCCAGCTACTCGGGAGGCTGAGGCAGGAGAATTGCTTGAACCCAGGAGGTGGAGGTTGCAGTGAGCCGAGATTGTGCCATTGCACTCTGGGCTGGGTGACAGAGCAAGACTCCATCTCAAAAGAAAGAAAAATAACGATAATAATAACAATATGCTTTCTTAAAGGTGTGAGGTGACATCACCTCACAGTATGTTTTCTTCAATTTTGTCTCATTTTCTGTTTCTTCAAATGGTGATATAATATCTTCTCTTTATCATTTTGTCTTTCCTTGATTGCATCTTTGCTAATCTCTGACATTAGTTCACTTCATACAGAGCTGAACACTATATGCAGTGATGATAACTGGACGCTGTAATAAAATTGTTATTTTTGCAACATCAATACCTACTATTTTGTCAAGCTCCTTTTTAATCTCCTAACTTATGCCAAACACGTTCCTTATCAACTCAGCAGGAAATATTCTATTGTTAAATTCATGATCCTAAAATTACATTCATTAATATATTAATACATTATTTTTAACTTTGATTATTTGTGTATACAATAAACTTTTTAGATATATTTTAAATATTTGGTATATGGAATTACCTATTAATTAAATTTGTTTTATTATAATATCCAAGTTTGTATTATTTAATACCATATATATTTCAAATGTTCCTGTATATATCACTTACTAAATATGATTTACTAAAATTATAACTCAAGTTACAAGATCATGTTTCAAGAATATATTCTAGGCAGAAATTAATCTAATCTCTGTGGATATATTTGAATTCTTTAAGGTTAAGGTAATTTTATTTTATTAATGATATCTCTAATATAGGGTTGAAAGATACTTTACTACTAGAATTTGAATCTGTGCACCAAAAGTAGACTCTTAACTAAGTTTGACAAACTACTAAATGAAAGTAGTACTTATTAAAAAATTGACAAGTTAATCTTTACTAAATAATCAAAAAACAGTTTTAAGGAACAGTATATAAAATTTATGAGGCAACAAATAACCTGTGTCTCCTTGCAATGTCATGCTTGAATACTTCCTAATAAGTTCACTTAAGAATAAACTCATTGAAAAAATGTAAGTATTTACTATTGCTAGGACCTACTCTTAATAAAGTTAGCTGTTAACTTGTGCAAAACTAACACTAATCCAATAATCCCAAGGTTTTTCTTTTATTATCCTATGGAACATTAACCTGTTTCGATTTTACTTCACAATTTTATTGCAGGATTAATGTATATCTTCATCATTATCATATGTATAAAAAGAGATCAATTTCTCATATGTACTTTTTCTGTTTTATCTTTATGTTCTCTTATTAATTAGCTAAAAATTTTATAGTTATCATCCTGTATATGTATAAAAATTATGTTTTTAACATTTTTAAGTGACGACACTAGTTATCAATAAAAATAATTGAACTGGTTCATGTTTATAGAATATTCATTTTGGAAGATTGCTCCATTACACTTAAGAAAAATTTGTTATCTCTATTAATAAAAAAGCAGTGAGATAATATTTTATTATTGCTTTATGCTTTACAATACATTATGTCCAAAAGGAATAACATTTATTTACTTCATAAGATCAATATCTGTGACATTACATATTTAACATTCTGGTATATAGCTTGAGCCTCTCATTTGGAGTTCAAACTCTTTACATAACCCAGATCAGAAAAACAAATGCGTCCTTTCTAAATATGACTACATTTTTACTTGTATAGAAATATTCTAGATTCCTCAAACAAGGCATCCAGGAACAAATTAATGTTGAAAACATACTCCTGAAGAATATTAAATTACTATCTTTCATGGACCCTGAAATTAATGTAAATGCATTAAATATTTCTTATAAGTATCATGTTTAAACTTTATCATCATGAATAGATATTTATCTCTTAAATATGATTATTGGTTCATTAGTAAAGATAAATGGAAGATGGAATTGTGTTTATTAATTTTCAGTGCTCTTTGTGGGTGGTACATAATTTGCAACCCATTTGGAAACATTTCGTTCAGAACTACATAGACCCGAATGCAGTCTAATCTATTGATTTTAACAGAAAGGGCTCTCTGGTATGAATAAATTCCTTTTTCATTATTGTAAACTTAACATTGAAATATGCTTAAATCAAATGATAAAAGATGTTTGTGTATATTTTAATGTCTCACTAAATTAACAAAGTTGATGTACATTTTAAAAAAATGTTTTCCTGAAGGAAGTGCACATTTACCTCTCTCTTTTTTATTCTGGCTATTTCTTGAAGTCAATTCACTTGCACTGGCACCACTGGGTTACCAAAGGGGTACAGAAAAGAGTGGAGGAAGCAGTAGTTTTAGTGTCCTTCAAAAATGGGTACTATGTACTATGTAGCTAGAAGGTAGTTCTATATCATAATTTTTGTGAGCATGACTGTGTGGTTTATATATACTTAAGAGTTTTAGGAGAGAAGAGTTAAGAAAGAAGAAAAGTAAAAAAAAAAAAAAAAAAAGAAGGGACCACATTCTCCCCAAAATCTTCTTCCAGTTATTTTGTGTATAAAAATTCTTAAACTCTGTGTTGTGGCGTTGGGGGAGGGGGGACGGATAGCATTAGGAGATATACCTAATGTAAATGACGAGTTAATGGGTGCAGCACACCAACATGGCACATGTATACATATGTAACAAACCTGCACATTGTGCACATGTACCCTAGAACTTAAAGTATAATAAAAATATATATATGTATATATAAATTCTTAAACTACCACTTCATTGCTTCCTCAACAGATGAAATCATTTGTGAATCATTAGAGGTGTTATCACTCTATTTAAAAATGCCAACAAGACTGGTAGAGATTTTGGACTATAAATAGAAAATAGCCAATTTACTAAAGTTCTTTTTGGAAATTTTTTATAAGAAGATATTTACTGTATTAACAAATTAATTCACTCATATATTTGACCTTTCACTTGCTTATTATAATTTATTTTATTTTCATTATTAATTTGATATGAAAAAGTAAAAATTGAACAATTTAAATTTACACATTAGGCAAATATTGGTAAGAGGATGGGAGTGCATCCCAGAAGCTATTTATTTTAATGCCATTAACAGTAACATGCTATTAAATCTATAACTCATGCCAGAAACTATCATTTTAGTAAGGTGGGTATTGTTAGCTCAATTTCTTAGATAACAAAACTAGAACCAAGAAATTTTAAGTAAGGTGTTCAAATTCATGCAACACCTTGTGTTATAGACACAAATTTTGTGTTACAGACACAAAATTTTTACTGTAGTATTTACAACCATAAAGCCTATGCTCTTCCTACAGTGTATACCTGAAATATTAATATATTTTAAATGTAAATATTTTAGATTAAATGTTATATTACATATTTATATTGAAATATGAAGTCAAAAATATTAAATATTATTTAAATATTTATATATCACTTTTTACATATATACAATTTTAAACTTTTATTTTAGGTTCAGGGATACAAAAGTAGGTTTGTTATATAGGTAAACTCCTGTTATGTGGATTGTTGTACACTTTATTTCGTCAATCAGGTACTAAACCTAGTACCCAATAGTTACTTGAGTTTGCTCCTCTCCCTCCTCTCACCCTCCACACTCAAGTAGGTTCCAATATCTGTTGTCCCTTCTTTGTGTTGATAAGTTCTCATAATTTACTTCCCATTTATAAGTGAGAACATGCAGTATTTGGGTTCTTGTTCCTGTATTACTTTGCTAAGGATAGTGGCCTCCAGCTCCATCCATGTTCCTGCAAAATACATAATCTATTCTTTTTTTGACTGCATAGTATTCCATGCTGTTTATGTACCACACTTTCTTTATCCAGTCTGTCATTGATAGGCATTTAGCTTGATTCCATGTCTTTGCTATTGTCGATAATGCTGCAATGAACATTCATGTGCATGTGTATTTATGGTAGGAAGATTTATATTCTTCTGGGTATATAACCAGTAATGGGATTGCTAAACCAAACGGTAGTTCTGTTTTCAGCTCTTTAAAGGATTGCCACATTGCTTTCCACATGGTTGAACTAATTTATATACCCATCAACACTGTATATTTGTTCCCTTTTCTCTGCAAATTTGCCAGCATCTGATATTTTTTGCCTTTTGGTAAATAGCCATTCTGACTGGCGTGAAATGATATCTCATGGTGGTTTTGACTTGCATCTCTTTAATGATCAGTGATATTGAAATTTTTTTCATATGCTTGTTGGCCACATGTATGTCTTCTTTTGAAAAGTGTCTGCTCATGTTCTTTGCCCACTTTTTAATTGAGTGGTTTGTTTTTATCTTGTAAATTTGTTTAAGTTCCTTTCAGATGGTTGATATTAGACCTCTGTCAGATACATAGTTTGAAAATATTTTCTCCCATTCAACAGGTTACCTGTTTACTCTTTTGACAGTTTCTTTTGCTATGTAAAAGCTCTTTAGTTTAATTATATCCCATATATAAAGGTTTGTTTTCATCGCCAATTGCTTTTGATGTCTTCGTCATGAAATCTTTGCGCATTCTTATGTCAAGAATAGTATTGCTAGATTGTCTTCCAGGGATTTTATAGTTTGGGGTTTAGATTTAAGTCTTTAATCCATGTTGAATTGCTCTTTGTATATGGTATTAGGAAGGAGTCCAGTTTCAGTCTTCTGCATATGGCTAGCCAGTTATCCCAGCACCATTTATTGAGAAGAGATTCCTTTCTCCATTGCTTATATTTGTCAGCTTTGTCGACAATCATGATGGTTGTTGGTGTGCAGCCCTATTTCTGGGCTCTCTTTTCTGTCCCACTGGTCTATGTGTCTGTTTTTGTACTTGTACATGCTGTTTTGGTTGCTGTACCCCTGTAGTATAAGTACATTTATTATGTTTATTGTTATTTATTATTATTCCATATAAGTTATATGTATGTATAAATATATACATAATTTCATAATATGGAAAGAACTATTAGGAAGTAAAATTTAGAAATAGGGGTCATCTGTGTAGGCTATAGTTGAAGCCGTAAGAATGCATGGATTCACTGAGTAAGAAATAATACCTAAACCCAAGTTTGAGTATACTATATGCACCATTGAGGAAGGAGAAATGGAGCCAGCATTAGAGTAGGTTTATAGAAATGAATACATGAAAGTATGAAGTGAATGAGGACAAGAGAGGCATTTTTCTTTTTTTTTTTTTTTTGAGATGGTGTCTTGCTCTGTCACCAGGCTGGAGTGCAGTGGCAAGATCTTGGCTCACTGCAACCTTCGCTTCCTGGGTTCAAGCGATTCTCCTGCCTCAGCATCCTAAGTAGCTGTGATTACAGGCACGTGATGCCACACCCAGCTAATTTTTCTATTTTTAGTATAGATGGGATTTCACCATGTTAGCCAGGATGGTCTCGAACTCTTGACCTCATGATCCACCCACCTCAGCCTCCCAAAGTGCTGGGATTACAGGCATGAACTACTGCCAAGGGGAATTTTTCTAGAGAAAAAAAGTGGTGGTATTGATGATATAGGAGTTAAAAATAAATTATTTAGGCAGATAAAGAGGGTAAGAAAGTCCTTGATAAGGTTTTCCTTGTAATAAAAAGCAGCCCCCAAATCATTTATTTTCTAACAAAAAGCAGCCTGTAAAATCGAGCTACAGACATACATAAGCAAACTGGAAGATTGCATGGGTGAATGTCATCAGCTGTGCCAACAGGAAAAGGCTACCTGGGGGCTGGCATGTTCACCATAGCAGCTCCAGCTTCCTTTTTCTCTGTCAACCATGTGTACAATAAAGGAATAGGCAACATGGTGCTGGCCAGGTAGAGAACCCATCTACATAACAGAAGATTAGGGTCGGGTGGCCAGCTTCTTTGTGTGCTATGTAAAGAGCACACTTGGTCCAACCAATCTTTGGGCCCTATGTAAATCAGATACTGCCTCCTCAAGCCAGTCTATAAAACCCCCGTGCACTCTGCTGCAGACCAGAAGACCCACTCGGGCACCCCTCTCTCTCTGCAGGAGAAAGAACTATTCACTTTCTTTTGCCTATTAAACCTCTGATCTTGTGTTTCTGCATCCTTGATTCCTTTGGTATAAGACGACGAACCTCGGATATATACTCAAGACAACGACACCACTTCAGTAATGAATATTGAATGCTCCAGGTAGGTTGGAAATTTGAAGGCTGACAGATTCCTCCTTTTTATTTTTCCCTTTAGTTTCAAAGTTATAGCTCCATCTAATAGAGATGACTTACAAATTGTCAAAGTATTCACTAAACCCCTATGGATTAATTCCTTGAGATCAGTTCTATGTAGACATAAAAAAAGTCCAGAGTACCACACCAAAATTGATAGGAACACTTTGATGACTTAGTCAATTGCTATATAATCTTTAACTATTAGTGTACTTGTGTAGAGTTAGTCACATATTAGTTACAGGCTAGGTATAAATTAATTTAACTAATATTTATTGAGTGTTTACTATATCATAGATATAAAAAGGGTATATTGGTGAATGACACAAAAAGATTCCTGATCTCATGGAGCTTAAATTTTACTAGTAGAAAATCAACACAAGAATAATTATATAAAGAGCATGCATTAAAATTGAAAATTTAAAAGTGCTATTTTTAAAAATTAGTAAAACAAACAAAAAGGTAATGGGACACAGAGTAACTAGTAAAGTTATATGTTAGGTAGGTTTTGTCTGAAGAGAAGTTGAGGCATGTATGAGAGGATTAGTACTAGATTCCCCAAGAAGCAGATACCCAGAGGGCATTAAATCTTCAAGGACTTTATTGGGGGAAATGCCTGTGAAGGAAAATAAGACAAATCTAGATAAGGCTGGAAGAGCAGTCAAAATGTGTTGAAAGTATAACCCCAACTCAAAGAGAAAAGAAAGGAAGATTGAAGTGAAAACGTGATCTCCTGCAGCCTCTGAAAAGTTGGGCAGGACCATGGAGAGTCCTGGAACCAAAGTCGGCACAGAGGATCACTGTGCCTGCAGGGGAACATTTCAGCATCCTTGACATGTCAATCTGTTGCCTAGGAGCAGCCTATGTGAAGTGCGGGCTTCAGTGCAAACCCAGAGATCAATATCGGAGAACAGCAGCTGAGGCCTATGTCAATTATATTCCCTGTGGTTGGAAAACTGAGAGATGAATTCTCATGACTTCCCCAATAAGCCAGTTATGAGATGGAATGTTCTCAGCAGAGAGGATACATGGCATTTGCTATGGTCTCAATGTTTCATCCTTTCCAAATTCATATTTGGAAATCCTAATCACCAAAGTGATGGTATTAAGAAGTGGAGGCTTTGGGAGGTAATTATGTCACTTGTTAGCCTGTTTTCCATTGCTTTTGTAAAGGAATACAGGAAAATTGGTAATTTATAAGGAAGAAGTTTATTTTGGCTCGTGGTTCTGCAGGCTAAACAAGAAGCATAGTGTTGGCATCTGCTTCTGGTGAGGGCCTCGGGAAGCTTACAGTCATAGTTGAAGGTGAAGGGGGAGCAGGCATGTCACATGGTGTGAGAGGAGGCAAGAGACAGATATCAGGCTCTTTTAAACAACCAGTTGTCATATGAACTCATTACTGCAGGGAGAGCACCAAACCATTCATGAGGGATATGCTTCCATGACCCAAACACCTCCCACTAGGTCTCACCTCCAACACTGGGAATCACATTTCAACCTGAGGTTTTGATGGCACAAATATCCAAATCATAACACATCATAAAGACAGAACGCACATGAATGTGATTACTGCCCTATGGAAGAGGCCTGAGGGAGCTCCTTGCCCTTCTACCATGTGAGGACCCAGAGAGAAGTTGCCATCTGTGAAGCAAAGAGTGGGCCCTCACCTGATGTCAAATCTGCTGGCACCCTTATCTTGCACTTCCCAGCCTCCAAAACTGCAAGAAATAAATTGTTATTGTTTTGGCTCCCCAATTCATGGCATGTTGTTATAGTAGCTATATTAGTCCATTCTCCCACTGCTGTGAAGACTGGGTAATTTATAAAGGAAAGAGGTTTAATTGACTCACAATTCTGCATTGCTGGGGAAGCCTCAGTAAACTTACAATCATGGCAGAAGGCAAAGGAGAAGCAGGCACCTTCTTCAAAGGATGGCAGGATGGAGTGAGTACAAACAGAGAAAATGCCAGATGCTTATAAAACCATCAGGTCTTGTGAGAACTCACTCACTATCATGAGAACAACATTGGGGGAACCTCCCCCATGAGGCAATTGCCTACATCTGGTCCAGCCCTTGACATGTGCGGACTATGGGGATAGCATAATTCAAGGTGAGATTTTGGTGGGGACACAGAGCCAAACCATATCAGCAGGCGATGCTGAATAAGACAGCATTGAAATGGGAAAGAAGATGACATATTAAGAACATAAAGAAGGCTTTCAGGCTACAAGATAACATTGAAAAACATTTAAATCACTTTGGGGTTGGTAGTGACTCTTTAGATGCAACACCAAAGACATGATCCATGAAAGAAATAATTTATAAGCTGAGCTTTATTAAAATCAAAATTTTCTGTTCCGTAAAAGAAACAATCAAGAGAATAAAAAGACAAGCCACAAATTGGAAGAATGTATTTGCAAAAATATATCTGATACAGGACCGTTATCCAAAATATATGTAGAACTCTTAAAACTCAACGAGGAGAAAGCAAACAAGCTGATTTAAAACTGAGCCAAAGACCTTAACAGATACCTCACCAAGGGAGACATACAGATAGTAGATAAATATATGAGAAGATGCTACACATCATATTTCATTAGGGAAATGCAAATTAAAACAACAATGAGATAGTACTATATATCTCATAGAATAACTAAAATCCAGAACACTGACAAAACCAAATGCTGATGAGGATTTGGAGCAATAGAAGTTTTTATACCTTGCTGATGGGAATGTGAAATGATACATCCACCTTGGAAGACAATTTGTTCATTTCTTTTGAGAGTAAACATATTCCTACCATACAAACCACCAATCATGCTCTTCGGTATTTATCCAAAGGAACTTGAAACTTAATGTCCACACAAAACTTGCACATGGATCTTTATAGCAACTTTATTCATAATTTGGAAACATCTTGGAAGCAACCAATATGTTCTTCAGTAGGTGAATAGTTTAATTGGGATTAATCCAGATAGTGAAATATTATTCAGAAACATAAATATTCTTCACAAATGAGCCATTACACCATGAGAAGACATTAGAGAAACTTAAATGCATGTTACTATGTGAAAGAAGCCATTGCGAAAGGGCTAAATGCTGCATTATTCCAGTTACATGATATTCTTGAAAGTGAAAATTATGAAGACAGTAAAATGATGAGTGGTTGTCAGGGTTTAGAGGGGAAGGTGGGAAGAACAGTTATCTTTAGGGCAGTGAAACTACTCTGTGTGATACCATAATGATGGATACACTTCATTATGTATTTGTTTAAACCTATAGAATGTACAGCACTAGGACTGAAGCCTAATGTAAACTAGAGAGTTGAGGTGGTAATAATATATCAATGTAGGTTCATCAATTTTACGAAACGTACCACTCTGGTGGGTGTTGTTGATAATAAGGATATCTATGTATAAGTCAGGGGCAGGGGGCATATGTGAAATCACTGTACTTTCCTATCAATTTTGCTGTGAAACTAAAACTGCTCTTAAAAAAATAGTAAAGTCTTTTTAAAAAGAAGAAAAAGAAGGAGGCTTGCAGGACCAATTAGCAGTAAGGAGGGGAGGATTGTAATAAAGTGTGATACGGTTGGAAAGGTAGACTAACATCAGATCACAAGGACCTTCTACATTATTACAAAAAGCTTTGATTTTTAAAGAAGCAATTGAAGAATTTTAAGCAAAAGAGTGTCATTATTCCATCTATTTTTTGAGATAGTTCTTGCTGCTCTGTAGGAAAAAGATTAGAATTTGAATAAAGTCAAAACCAAGGAGGATGTAGCCTTCAAAGAAAGGCAGGTTGGACTACAATGAAGGTGGAGAAGAAAAGAGTTGTTTTGTTAGAGATGAAGTTTTATCTTAAGATAAAGACTACATAATTTAATATTTGGTTAGGTGTGGGGTTTCAAGAACAGAGAAGAATCAAGAATCATCCTTGGTTTTGGACCTTAGGCTCTATAATTTGATGTGAGCAAGAATGGTGTAGGGGCTTTGGTTGTTGCTACTGTTTTTAATTTTTTCTTTTCTTTTTTTCCGATTATAAACTTTGTTCATTGTAACAAATTTAGAGAGTTAATAAGTGTTAAAAAATTTTAAAATTGCCCATGTTCTATGTAAAGTGGCAAACAGACCCCCATGATTCAATGACCTCCCGCTGGGTCCCTCCCACAACACGCGGGAATTCTGGGCGATACAATTCAAGTTGAAATTTGAGTGGGGGCACAGCCAAACCACATCAACCAGTCTATCATTGAGGGGCATTTAGATTGAGTCCATGTCTTCGCTATTGTGAATAGTACTACAATGAACATATGATGGTAGAATGATTTATATTCCTTTAAGTCTATACCCGATAATGGGATTTCTGGAATGAATTGTGGTTCTGTTTTAAGTTCCCTGAGAAATCACCAAACTGCTTTCCATAGTGGCTAAACTAGGAAAATTACATCACTGCTGGCAGTGTACAAGCATTCTCCCTTCTCCACAGCTTTGCCAACATTTTTTATTTTTTGAATTTTTAATAATAGTCATTCTGACTTGTGTGAGATGGTATCTTTCATGGTTTTGATTTGCATTTATCTAATAATTGGAGATCCTGAGAGTTTTTTCATATGCTTGTTGACCACCTATATTGTCTTCTTTTTGAAAAGTGTCTTTTTATACCCTTTCCCCATTTTTTGATGGGGTGTTTGATTTTTATTGGTTCATTTAAGTTCCTTACACACTCTGGATATTAGACCTTTATCAGATGCATAATTTACAAACATTTTCTTCCACTCTGTGGTTGTCTGTTTATGTTGATGACTGTTTCTTTTGCTGAACAGAAGCTCTTTAGTGTAATTAGGTCCTATTTGTCAATTTTTATTTCAGTTACAATTGCTTTTGGCATCTTTTTCATAAAATCTTTGCCAAGGCCTGTCTCGAATGGTATTTCCTGGGTTTTCTTCAAGGGTTTTTGTAGTTTTATGTTTTAAATTTAAGTCTTTGATCCATCTCAAGTTGATTTTTGTATATGGTATAAGGAAAGGGTCCAGTTAAAATAATTTGCATATGGCTAGCCAGATATGATATCCCAGCACCATTTATTGATCAGGGAGCCTTTTCCCATTGATTGTTTTTGTCAAATTTGTTGAAGGTCAGATGGTTGTAGGTACATAAATTTATTTCTGGGCTCTGTTCTGTTTCTTTGGTCTCTGCGTCTATTTTTTGCCCAGTACCATACTGTTTTGCTTACTGTAGCCTTACAGCATAGTTAGATGTCAGAGTAATGTGATATCTCCAGCTTTGTTCATTTTGCTTAGGCCTACCTTGGCTATTCAGGATCTTTTATTGTTACATTTGAATTTAAAATATATTTTTCTAGTTTTTGAAGAATGTCATTGGTAGTTCATTAGAAATAGCATTGAATTTATGAATTGTTTTGAGCGCTATGGCCATTTTGACAATACTGATTTTTCCTATTCATGAACATGGAATGTTTTTCCATTTGTTTCTATCATCTTTGATTTCTTTCAGCAGTGTTTTTGCAATTCTCATTGCAGAGTTCTTTCACCTCCCTGATTAACTGTCTACCCAGGTATTTTATTTTTTGTGGCTATTGTGAATGGGATTACTTTCCTGATTTAACACTCGGGTTGGATGTTATTGGTGTATAGTAATGCTACAGATTTTTGTAGGTTGGTTTGCATCCAGAAACTTCTGAAATTGCTTATCAGATCCAAGAGGTTTTGGGCAGAAACTATAGGGTTTTTAGGTTCTGTTTTTTAGTTCTGTTTAAGAGATGAATCACATTTATTGATTTGCATATGTTGAACCAATCTTGCATCCCATCAATAAAGCCTACTTGATAGTGATGGATTAACTTTTTGATTTGCTGCTGGATTCAGTTTGCTAGTACTTTGTTGAATACTTTTGCATCTATGTTCATCAAGGATATTGGCCTGAAGTTTTCTTTTTTGTTGCGTCTTTGTCATGTTCAATGATACTGACCTCATAGCATGAATTAGGGCAGAGTCCCTCCCCTTCAACTTTTTGCAATAGTTTCAAAAGGAATGGTAACAGCCCTTCCTTATATACCTGATAGAATCAGGCTGTGAATCCATCTGGCCCTGGGCCTTCTCTGGTTGGTAGGCTTTTTATTACTGATTTAATATTGGAACTCATCATTCGTCTGTTCAGGGTTGGAATTTCTTCCTGGTTCAGTCTTGAGAGGTTGTATGTTTCCAAGAATTTATCCACTTCTTTGAGGTTTTCCAGTTTGTATTCATAGAGTTTTTCATGAAAGTCTCTGTTGAATTTTAGTGTTTCTGTGAAGTCAGTGGTATTGTCCCTTTTGTCTTTTCTGATTTTTTTTATTTTTGGATTTTGTCTCTTTTTTTTCTTTATTAGTCTAGCCAACAGTCTATCTACTTTATTGATTTTTTTTTCAAAAAAACAACTTCTGGATTTATTGATCTTTTGTGTGTTTTTTTCACACCTGAATTTCATTTAATTTAGCTCTGATTTTGGTTATTTCTTTGTTTCTGTCAGCTTTGGGGTTACTTTGCTCTTTTTAAAATTTTCTCCAGGTGCTATGTTACATTGTTAATTTGAGATCTTTGTAACTTGTTGATGTTTTGTGCTACAAATTTTCTCCTTACACTGCTTTAGCTGTATCCCAGAGATTCTGGTATGTTATATCTTTTTTCTCCTTAATATCAAAGAACTTCTTAGTTTCTGCCTTAATTTCATTGTTTACAGAAGTTATTCAGGAGCAGGTTGTTTAATTTCTATGTAATTGTATGGTTTTCAGCAATCTTCATAGTATTAATTTTTATTTTTATTGCTCTGTGTTCTGAGAGTGTGGTTTGTATGATCTGGCGTTATTTAAATGTGCTAATAATTGTTTTATGGCCAAATTGTGGTTGATTTTAGAGTATGTGTCATATGTACATGAGAAGAATGTATATTCTGTTGTTTTTGGGTGTAGACTTCTTTAAATGTCTGTTAGGTCTATTTGGTCAAGCTTAGAGTTCAAGTCCTGAATATCTTTGTTAGTCTTCTGACTAAAAGATCTGTTTAATACTGTCCTTGTGGTGTTGAAGTCTCTTGCTATCATTGTATGGTTACTAAGTCACTTTGTAGGTACCTAAGAACTTGTTTTATGAACCTGGGAGCTCCAACATTAGTAGTATATATATTTAGGACAGTTAAGTATTCTTGTTGAATTGAAATCTTTGCCATTATGTAATGCCTTTCTTTGTTTTTGATTGTTGTTTGTTTAAGGTCTGTTTTGTCTGAAATTAAAATAGTCATGTCTGTTTTTTTGTTTGTTTGTTTTCCATTTGCTTGGTAGATCTTTTTCTGTCCTTTTACTTTGTGCCTATGGGTATCATTGCATGTAAGATGGATGTTTTGAAGACAGTACACTGTTAGATCTTCCTTCTTTATCCAACATGCCACGCTGTGCCTTTTAATTGGGGCATTTAGAGCATTTACATTAAAGGTTAATATTGATATGTACAAATTTGATCATGTCATTTTGTTGTTCACTGGTTATTATGCAGACTTCACTAGGTAACAGCTTTATAGCATCAATGGTCTATGTATGTAGGTCTGTTTTTGTAGTGTCCAGTACTAGTCTTTCCTTTCTGTATTTAGCACTCTCTTAAATACCTCTTTTAAGGCAGGTCTGGTGGTGTATTAGTCCATTTTCATGCTGCTGATAAACACATACCTGAAACTGGGCAATTTACAAAAGAGATTTAATTGGACTTACAGTTCCACGTAGCTGGGAAAGCCTCATGATCATGGCAGAAGGCAAGGAGGAGCAAATCACATCTTACACAGATGGCAGCAGGCAAAAAGAAAATGAGATTGGGCAGGGAAACTCCCCCTTATAATACCGTCAGAGCTCGTGAGACTTATTTGCTATCATGAGAACAGCATGGGAAAGACCCACCCCCATGATTCAATTACCTCCCACTGGGTTCCTCCCAGGACACATGGGAATTGTGGGAGTTACAATTCAAGGTGAGATTTGGGTGGGGACACACCCAAACCATATCAGCTGGTAACAAATTTCCTTCCATTTGCTTGCTGAAAAGGATCTGATTTCTCCTTCACTAATGAAGCTGTTTGGCTGCATATAAAATTATTGGTTGGAGTTTCTTTTCTTCCATAATGCTCAATATGGGCCCCCTATCTTCTGGTTTGTAGCGTTTTTGATGAAATATCCACTGTTAGCTTGATGGGGTTTGTTTTGTAGGTATCCTGCCCCTTCTCTCTAACTGCCTTTAATACCTTTGCTTTCATGTCAACCTTGGAGAATCTGATGATTATCTGTCTTGGCGATGATTCTTATGTAGTATCTTGCAGGGGTTCTCTGCATTTTCCGAATATGAATGTTGGCAACTCTAGTGAGATTGGGGAAGGTTTCGTGGGCAATATACTCAAATATGTTTACCACATTGCTTGTTTTCTCATCCTCTCTTTCAGGGATGACAGTGAGTCATAGATTTGGTCATTTTACATAATCTTATATTTCTCAGTGGTTTGTTTCATTATTTCTTATTCTTTTTTCCTTTATTTTTGTCTTACTGAATTAGTTTGCAGAACCAGTCTTCAAGCTCTCAGATTCTTTCCTCAACTTGGTGTATTCAGCTGTTAATACTTGCAATCATATTATGAAATTATTGTAGTGTGCTTTTCAGGTCTATTAGATAAGTTTGGTTCTTTCATAAAGTGGTCATCGAGTCTGTCAGCTCCTATGTAGTTTTATTGTAATCCTTGGATTCACTGAATTGGGCTTCAACTTTCTCCTGAATCTTGATGATCTTTTTTTTCCTATCCATATTCTGAATTTTATGTCTGTTATTTCAGCCATCTCAACCTGGTTAAGAACCACGGTGTAGGAACCAGTGTGATCATTTGGAGGCAAGAAGACACTCTGGCTCTGAGAATTGTCAGAGTTCTTACACTGGTTCTCATCTGTGTGGGCTGATGTTCCTTTAACTGTGGTATATTTTGAATACAGTCAGTTGATTTCATTGCTGGATGCTTTCCGAGGACCAAGGCTTCGCGCTGGATTTTTATTTTTAGCTGAATTCTTGTCATTGGTTACACAGGGGCATATATTAGCAAAGCATTTGCGATGTCGAAGTTTGGGTTGTAATTCTGTCAATGACAATTAAATGTAATGGGTAGTTGGCAGCCTCTTGCTCAACCATGTGGCTCCTATATATTTTCTTGCATTTGCAGACTTGCTTCTTCTCAGTGCCCTGATGATGTGGGCTCCTCGACCACTTGAGTGCTGGCTGCAGATCTTGGCTTGGCACTCCTGGGCTGTACACTGCAGCCCCAGGAAGAACTCAGGATTTATCTTCCCTCCCCAGCCTGAGGGCAGCATGTGCAGGGACCTTGGCATGGCAGTGGCAGAAGGCCTTTCACTTGTCACTTGGGGCTGCACCTCAGGGAAACACAGAGCTGGAGTGAGACAGCTGTGCTGTGGTCCCAAGCCAGGGTCCCTCCCTGGTGATGAGCTGAGGGGTAAGGGGCTCATGGGGAAGACAGACTGGACTCTTCTCCTTAAGTTACCTGTGACATGCTGGAGGTGTGAGTACAGCATTCAGGTTTTTTTTGTTGCTTCCTCAGTCTAAACGAAGCAAAGGCAGTACCACTGCAAAGGTAGTGGCAGAAGGGCTTTCAGTTGCTTCTGAGAGCTCTACCCTAGAGCAATGCAGAGCCACTGCCAATAGGAATGTTCAGCCAGGGGATGTGGTGGTTGTGCTGTGGGCCCAAGCCAGGGGCCCTACTTAGTGAAGGACAGGGGGTTGGAGGCTCACAAGGAAGAGAGACTAGGCTCTTCTTTTATGGTGAGTGTGGCATGCTGGAGGCATGAGTAAAGCCCTTAGGCTCTTTGTTCCTTCTCCAGTCTGAAAGCAGCAAGGGCAGAACTGCTGCAGTGACATTGATAGAGGCACTGTCAGTAGTGTCTGAAACCTCCACCCCCAGGGAAACACAGAGCCACTACCAGTGGGAATGCTCAGTCAGGAGTGGGGCATCTGCTCTGTGAACCCAAGGGCCCTGCCTGTTGAGGAGTAGGGGCTGGGGGCTCACAGGAAAGATAGACTGGGCTCCTCTGTGTATGGTGGCTGTGGGTGTGCTGAAGGTTCCAGTGTCATGACCAGGGCCTTTGTTTTTTCCTCTCCCCAAGGGCAGTAAAGGCAGGTACCACTGTACCTGCAATGGGAAAGGGGCTGTGAGCTGTCTCTAGGATTTCCTCCCCAAAGAAACAGAAGCTGCTACTGACTGAAGAGTTCAGGCAGGGGCAGGGTAGTTATGCTGGGGGTCCAGATTTAGAGGCCTTGACCAGTGAGGAGTAAAAATTGCAGAGACACATGTGGAAAACAGTTTGGCCACTTTTCCATAAGGCAGCTGTTCTGTGCTGGGGTCCCACATTAGTCCTTAATCACTGTGTTCCCTCCCAAGCCTGAGGGTAGTAAAGATTGGAGCTGTGGACCAATAAATATGGAGGGCCTGTCTGTTACCACTGGGAGCTCTATCCCAGCAAGTGCAGAGCTGCTACTGGCTGGAGATCCCAGGTGGGGCTGAGGTGGCTGGGGTTACAGGTTGGGAGGCCCTGCCCAGTGAGGAGTAGTGGTGGCAGGGAACCTTGTGGAAAACAGTCTGGCCATTTTTCCATAAGACAGCTGCTCTGTGCTGTGGGCCCACACTAGTCCTTAATAATTTCACTCACTCTCAAGCCTGAGGGCTGCAGGTGCAGGGACTGCAAGGCAGCCAAATTGAAAGGTCTCCCCACTCCCTCTTGCAGCTCCATCCCAGGGAAATGCAGGGCTGCTCAGGTTGGGCTGGGGTGTCCATGCCATGGTCCTAGGCCAGTGGGCATTGTTCAGTGAAGTGCAGTGGAGGTGAGGCCTGCAGTCTGTCTACTCCTTAGTCTCATGGATTCAGCCCCTATTCTGGGGACATGTGAGGGGGCCTGGCCTTTACTGTTGCTGGAGCTGCAACCACTGTTGTCAGGATGCCCAGTGGTCCAAGGCCCCTGGAACTCCACATGTGCCTGAGTGGAGGCTTTGCTCAGAATCCACATAGCTCTCTCTGTCTGGAGGTCCCAGCGGGGAGGGGTCATGGGGGATCTCTTGAGCCCAAGGTTGGAAAGGTTCATGGCAGAAGTGTGGGTCTCTGGGGGCTCTCACACACTCACCATTTCCCTATGAAGGGGAGACTACTGTGGCTCCATGCTGATGTCAGATGGGTGGCTGTCCCATCTCTCTCTTCTTTGTTGTCTGTTGGTTGCATTGCTTCTCTGCTAAATGTAAAAGTGTCTACCTGGATGTTCAGTTAATGAGCTACCGTTTACTCATCGCTCTCTCCTCTCCATGAGAGCAATGCACACTAGCTGCTTCTAGTCAGCCATCTTGGCCCCACTCCCCCAAAATTTCCACTTTATGTAGATTAAAAGTGTTTTACCAGAAACTATAAATTTTAAATCGTTATTCATTCCTGGTTACACATTTTTTATTCTCTATCCCTCTATTTAAACTATTTATTAAATTTATAGTCTGTTTTTTCAGGAATTAAATTAGCTATCTAATTTTTCATTAGGGTTCTCATGATTTATTATATTTTAGTCTTCAAACTTCATTCTTCTTTTTGTTTTAGTTCTTTAGATTTAGGTATTTCTCTTGTAAACTGCACACAGCTAGATTTTTAAAATCTGATATAACAATCTACCTTTAAGCTCTCATTTTTTGTATTGTTGTTTGGGGTTTTTTTGGGGGATTTGTGAGGCTAACTAATGCATTTGCATTTATTATTTCAGACTTAATTGGCAATTGTTATTTTACTATTCTCCTCCTTTCTGCCTCCTCCTCCTTCCTCTTCATCTTTCATTTGACATTTCTTTTTAAACACTTTCTGCTTATGTCATAATGTCAGGATAAATTTAAAAGTCATTGAAATGAGCAAAAATTATCACTGGGTGTCCTGTCTAGCAGACTTTCCCAGATTATTGACCCCTTTCTTTCATCACCTTTATGCTTTTGTATAACTCTGTAAGTTAATGTTAACTATTAGAAATGAAAATTACTTCATAGAAATGCAAATAGGTTTTGGGGTACAATTTATTATTGCCCTGTGTATATTGGCCAGTTTTCTGTCAATTAGTAAATACTTTTGAGCATTTTTAATTTTCTTTGCTTGTGTGTTAAATTCTCCTTTGAACTAGTTTTTAATACCTTATTGAGTACATACTTAGTTAATAAATACCTTAAATAAAATCTTTGATGTATTCGTTTTATAATTTTATGGCAGTAATGAATTTACTTTCTTTAAAAGTTTTTAATAGTTTAAGAGTGCAAATGCTGTAAGACAAGAATTTGTAAAATATATATATTATATATATAAAAGCAGAAGAAAAAGAAATAATGGGAAAGTTAGCATATTTCTCTGATTAGAATTCCCATAGACAGTTCATAGCAATTGGAGAAGGAAAATATTTAAATGGGAAATGACTAGAGCCTAAACAATCTCTACCAACTTATAAAATAATAATGATGTGTTGAGTTCAAAATAAAATGCTGGATATAGACCTCATAGTGGGGTTTCTGGATACCGCTTATATAAATGTGTTCACTTTGCAATGTGCACTGAGCTAAAAACGTGAAGATTTGTGCACTTTTCTCTATCTATATCATCATTCAATAAAACATATGTTACAGCACATGGTGTTATTAAACAGATCAAAAATAGTGAACAACAGGAACATTCAAGCTAGGGGTAGGTGAATGGAGTAGAAAGGTTTTTAAGTCTTGTGTTTTCAGGAAAAAAGTTAGAAATATTTCCGAACTTTAAGCCTTATTACATAAAATATGCATTATAAAAGCCCAAGAGAAGTTTTTAAAGAATAGCATATAAGTGTGTAATTTTAAAACCAGTAGGGAGAAAATTACTGGAAAATAAACTACAATAAATCCAAAGGAAGATATATAACAAGAAATAAGACATAACCAATTATGAGACATAATATTACTTGGTAGAAATGAATCCAAATGTAACACAGTAAATATAAACAGGCATAGCTCAGAAGATATGCTTTTAAAAAAGGGACATAGAAACGTTGTCTAAGCATACCAAAGCACCTTCATTTTTATTTGAATTATGCAAGTTGTAAAAATAATAAATAAAAGTTCACCCTTGAACAACATGAGGTTAGCAGCACCGACCCCTGTGCAACTGAAAATCTACATATAATTTTTGAATTACCAAAAACCTAACAATAGCCTATGGTATAGATGCCTCACTGATAACATAAACTGTCAATTAACACATACATTATAATATGTGTGTGTGTGTATATATATTTGAGATGGAGTCTTACTCTGTCACCCAGACTGGAGTGCAGTGGGGCCATCTTGGCTTGCTGCAACCTCTGCCTCCTGGGTTCAAGAGATTTTTCTGCCTCAGCCTCCCAGGTAGCTGGGATTACAGGTGCCTATCACAATGGCTGGCTAATTTTTGTATTTTTAGTAAAGACTGGGTGTCACCGTGTTGGCTAGGCTGGTCTTGAACTTGTGACCTCAAGTGATCTTCCTGCCTCAGCCTCCCAAGGTGCAGGTATTACAGGTGTGAGCCACCATGCCCAGCCCACATATATTATATTTTATTTGTATTATACACTGTGTTCTTACAATAAAGTAAGCTATATGAAACATAATGTTATTAAGAATATCATAAAGTTCTTTCACCTCCTTGGTTAGCTATATTTCTAAGCATTTAGTTTATTGGTGGAGTCTTCAGGATTTTCTAAGTATACAATCATATCATCAGTGAAGAGTAATAGTTTGACTTCTTTTCCTAATGGAATGCCTGTTATTTATTAATCTTACCTCATTGTTCTACCTAATACTTCCAGTAAAATGTTGACTAGGACTGGTGAGAGTGGACATCCTTGTCTTGCTCCAGTTCTCAAGTAGAATGGCTCCAGATTTTGTCCATTCAATATGATGTTGGCTGTGGGTTTTGTTATAAATAGCTTTTATTATTTTGAGGTATGTTCTTTCAATGCCTAGTCTGTTGACGGCTTTTTATCATGAAGGAACATTAAATTTTATCAAAAGACTTTTCCGCATCTACAAAGATGATTTTTTTTCTTTTTCTTTTTTTGCTTTTAATGCTCTGATTTGTGGCAAATGGCATTTATTTTGTATGTTGAACCAGCCTTTCACCCCAGGAATAAAGCCTACTTGATTGTGTTGTGTTAACTTTTTGATGTGCAGCTGGATTCAGTCTGCTAGTATTGTTGAGTATTTTTTTTTGTCTATGTTCATTAGTGATACAGGCCTGATGTTTCCTTTTTTCATTGTGTCTCTGCCAAATTTTGGTATTAGAGTGATGCTGGCCTTATAGAATTAGTTAGGAAAGGAGCCCCTCCTCCTCAATAGTTTGGAATAGTTTCAGTAGGATGGGTACCATTTCTTGTTTTTTTGTCTGGTAGAATTCAACTGTGAATCCATTTAGTTTGAGGCTACAAAGCACTGCTAAAAGAAATCAGAGATGACACAAGTAAATTTGAAAACATTTCATGCTCATGGATTGGAAGAATCAATATTGTTAAAATGACCAGACTTCCATAAATAATTTACAGATGAAATGCTGTTCATGTAAAAATACCAATGCCATTTTTCACAGAATTAGAAAAAAAACTTTTCTAAAATTCATATGGAACAAAAAAAACAAAGATATCTAATACCCAAAGCAATCCTAACCAAAAAGGATAAAGCCAGAGTCATCACACTATCCAACTTCAAACTTTATTATAAGGCCATAGTAATAAAAACAGCCTGGTACTGGTACAAAAACAGACACATAGACCAATGGAAAAGAATAGAAACCTCAGAAATAAAGCCACACACTTACAACCATCTGATCTTTGACAAGGCTAAGAAAACAAGTGACGAGGAAAGAACTCCCTATTCAATGAGTGGTGCTGAAATAACTGGCTAGCCATATGCAGAAGAATGAAACTACATCCTTACCTTTCACCATATACAAAATTAATTTAAAATAGGTAAAGATTTAAATATGAGACCTCAAACTAAAAAAATTCTAGAAGAAAAGCTAAGAAACAGCATTCTCAACATTGCCCTTGGCAAATGATTTTTTATTAAGTCCCCAAAAGCAATTTGAACAAAAACAAAACTTGACAAGTGGGACCTAATTAAACTAAGGAGCTTCTGTAAAGCAAAATAAACTAACAATAGAATAAACAGAAAACCAAAAGAATGGGAGAAAATATTTACAAACTATGCATACAACAAAATCTAATATACAGAATCTTTACATAACTTAAGCAACTTGACAAACAAAAAATGAATAACCACTTTAAAAAAATGGGCAAAGGAAATGAGCAGACACTTCTCAAATGAAGACATACAAGTGGCCAGCAAACATATGAAAACATGCTCAACATCATTAATTATTAGAGAAATGCAAATCAAAACAACAATGAGATACCATCTCACACCATTCAGAATGGCTATTATTAAAAAGTCAAAAAACAACAGATTCTGGTGAGGCTACAGAGAAAAGGGAATGGCTACATTCCCACTGTCGGTGGAAAACTAAATTAGTTTAGCCACTGTGGTAAGCAGTTTCAACATTTCTCAAAAAACTTAAACTACTATTTGACCCAGAAATCCCATTACTGGGTATATACCCAAAAGAAAATAGATTATTATACGAAAAGACACATGGACTCATCTGTCCATCACAGCACTATTCACAATAGCAAAGAAATGGAATCAATCCATGTGCCCATCAACAGTGGACTGAATAAAGAAAATGTGGTACATGTACAGCATGGAATACTACACAGCCATAAAAAAGAATGAGATCATGGCCCTTACAGCAACATGGATGGAACTAGAGGCCACAATTCTAAGTGAACAAATTTAGAACCAGAAAACAAACTACCACATGGTCTCACTTATAAGTTGTTGCTAATGCATGCAGGGCTTAATACCTTGTGATGGGTTGATAAGTGCAGCAAACCACCATGGCACATCTTTATGTATGTAACAAATCTGTACATCCTGCACATGTATACCAGAACTTATATTAAATTTTTTAAAAACCTGCACACGTACCCTCAAACCTAAAATAAAAGTTAAAAAAAAATAAGTTGTTGCTAAACATTGAGCACACATGGGCATAAACATGAGAAGAATAGACACTGTTGACCATTGATTGGCGCAGGGAGAAAGGAAGTGGTGCATGGGTTGAAAAAGTACCTGTTAGGTACTATACTTACTACTTGGATGCAATATACATATACCAAACCTGCATATGTACCCCCTCTATTGAACATAACAATTGAAATTAAGTTAAAATTTAAAACAAAATAGGTGATGGAGAAGTATAAAAGTATACACTCAAATTTATTTATTCAAATACAATTTACTAATTTTAGAAAAAGAAAATCATAGGGAAGAGAAATTATATTTACTCTTCGTTAAATGGAAGCTGATCATCATAAAGGTCTTCATCCTCCTTTTCTTCATGTTAAATTGGATTAAGAGATCAAAGAAGAGGAGAGGCCGGTCTTGCTGTTGCAAGGCTGGCAGAGGTGAAAGAAAATCCATATATAAGCGGACCTGCACGGTTCAAGCCTGTGTTTTTCTAGGGTCAATAGTACTTATTGAAGCCACTTGTTTTCTTCTCGTAAGAAGGTGCACCAGGAGGGAAATGATTATCATATTTTATGTTTCATGTTTCCGCCTTCCCCTGAACTATCTTAGGTTTCCTTTGCTATAGCATACATGACATTTTCCACAAGTTACGTATTTTATCTTTGTGATGATAATTCTAACCAGTTTCTTTTTAAATAATCTCTACGTCTTAATATATTTGGAAAAAATGTGTATTTTTAATCTGGTATTCATAGACCTTCTTTGCTTTAATTATACCACTTTTCTGCTTTGAAGATTTTAAAGTAATATTCTAGTCTTCTGAAATCACTAAAATTATCTAGCTTCATTTCAAGGTCATTGATATTACAAAATTATGAGACAAATCTAGTTCTGAACTTTTAAACCTGCATTATTGTAATTAAAAAGTTGCATTCTAGGTCTGCCTCCTGCTGTTTCTATTTGAGCAATTTAAATTCTCAGAACCTTTATTTTCTCTTCTGCAAAGTGGACCTACTAATAATACCAAGCATAGCAATAATATTCCACAATTCCTGACACAGAGTAGATATGAGAAAACTGTTGGTTAAATACAAATATCACAATAATTATGACAATAATTATAGTAATTCACACTTATATAGGCAGTTCAATATTCTGAGCACTGTTCTGTGAAATAATTTGTTTTTAAAAACCGTATTTGGTAGAGAAGCAGCAGCAAAATGTCATAACTTCAAGCACTTGGGACTTGACGTTATACTTTCTGGGTTTGAATGTTTACTACTTGATAGATTTATAAGCTTGGAAAGTTACTTAACTTCTCTATGCCTCAGTCTCCTTATATGTAAAACAATGCCAAGAGAGTTGATAAAAAGATTAATGCAAAGCACTTAGCATAATATCTGCAATTTAATGTGTTGCAATAAGTGTTTCTTAAAATGCATACACGTTAGGATCTCCATTTTACAAATAAGAAAACTAAGCTACAGAGAAGCTAATGTACACAGTAGCTCATGGTCATTAAGACACATATTATGTGAACATATTGAATGATTCAACATTTTTAAAGGCATTCCATCTATACTCAAGCAAAACAAATAGGAAGTCTAACTTTTAAATTTTTTTTACAATTTACAAAATGCACATAACCATCTTAACTAGTAACTTATAAAAACCTGATAGTAGGATTAGTGAATCATGGGAACACTGTAAAAATGCATTTCTGTCTGTAAGCAAAATAACCCTGTGCCATTTTAATAAGTAGAAAAAACAGCACCTAGGTTAAAAAAAGTATTACTTTTAAATATTTATACATGTAGTCAAAAGAGGTACTTTGAAACTTTTAAACATTTGTAACCACTCCCTGTATATCTGTATGTGCTTCAACTCGTATCATATTATGACTCACTGAAAGGTAATTGAAAATAAAGATTTCCTAGTGAGTGTGAATACAGGATTTAGAAAAAATAAAAACTTGAATTAACCCCTATGTGAATATGTATAACAGAAGAACGACACACCCCTTTCTATCGTTTGCAGGAGAAATGGATTTAGATCATCAAGCAGATGATTTATGAAGGGAGTGAAGGAGAGAAAAAAATAAGGAAGTTCACTTTTAATTTTGGTCTCCAAATGAGTTACTTTATTTTGTCAATTATAGATACAGGTTTATGAACAAATTAAAGACAAATGCTTCAGAAAGCCATTGAAATATTCTTAGAATATTAGACTAAATTTTATTTAGCTGTGATTTTTACACAGACTCTGTTAGAGAAAAAAATAAATAACTCTGACAACAGAATAATATTTTGATTCTCTTCAGATGGAAAGCCCATTCCATACCTCTTTTCAGTTTTCTTAAAGCTCTTGATTCAACAGAGTAAACAAGGTTTAAGCACAAACCTAAAGGACAGCTTAATCTTACAATCATTTCCCCTTATGCTTCAGGCTTACATTTTAGCTTTATTCATTACAGCCCTAAAGCTTCTGCTTTCTAAATGTATAGGTTAGAGAAAGTACCTTGGAGCTCACCTGCTCAAGATTAATAATATCACTCCAAGAAGATTAGAGCTATCACTCTTCCTGACCTGATCCAAATGGTACAAACGGGATTTTAAGGATGATGTCTGTTTAGAGATCCAATGGAGTGATGAGGTACAAGGGATAGCTACCCTGAGGAATCAGGAAGATAGACTGCCAGGGTTGTACCAATGATACACCATTAGCTTTAGCTATTATCCAAAGAAAAGATTATGGCTATAAATAAATTCATCCAGGCCTTTAATACAATGGACAGGCACACCAATGGATGGACAGGCCAGGAACATAACCATTAATTTTTTTTAAAAAGAGCCTTAAGATAAGTTCTTATTTCAATAGCAGAATTGCAGGTGATACCGGATTGAATACATACATACACACACACACACACACACACACACACACACACACACACACACACACAGTTTGGCCAATATGATTTAATTTGAAACCTTGGAAATATCATTTTAGTAGTTTAAAAAAAATCATTTCTTAGGAATTATCTGTGCTTGTCCTGCTTTTAGACTATCATGGTTCTGACCATGAAGGCTAGAGTTTTCTAATTAAAATTCCTTTGTGACAGACTCAAAGAAACATTAAATAATGCAAGAATATGTAAATCTTTTCATCTTGGAGAATGATAACCACTGAAATTATGTACACAAAACACATAAGTATATATACTGTACACATTTTTATTTTTTGTGATACTGTGCATAGTGCTTTTTATATATTATGTAATTAAATAATAATATTGGTAATAAATTAAATATAATGAACTAATACACATGCCACATATTTTTGATGCACTTAATGTGCATTAATTTATTTGATTCTCACAATCACATGGTTGTTATATACCCATTTTAAAGATAAGGAAATTGAGTTAGCAGAAAGATAAGTGAATTGCTTATTCCTCCACTTTTAAACAATTTAACTTATAATCATTAAAAATATATTTAAATCTTTCTTATCATTCTGGCTCTTCATCATTTCTTCAGGAACATCTTCCTGATCCTTAAAAAAGTATATTTTCTCTCACCATGCCTTCTCTTTTGCAGAAAGTATAGTGGTAATCTTCTTCACCCTACATTTTATAAAAGACTTAATATACTATTAAAAATCATCTTCATATATATTACAGATTTTAATTATATTGATTATCAGTTTGTCTTCTCTCTGTCCCCACTAAAGAGTAAGCTCATAATACTGATATGCAACCACCTAGAATAATATCTGAAATGTGTATGCAAATGATATACACTTACATAAATTAATGAATGGAATAATTATATATAGAATTACTACTTTTGCAAATACTAAAGAAGAATTGCTTATGAAGTTAAAGGAGAGCTACCATTCAATGAAACTGTCTGCTTTTTAGATTTTCTGAATGATTAGATAATCATACCATTCATAAAAAATTATGGCACAAAAAGGAAAAGTCACTGTTGGGAAAGGAGAGAGCTGATTAGAACACTTTTTGATATATTGACTTTAAGGTATCTAGGAGATGTTTTATAGAGTGATTTTCAACAGGTTTTTTAGAAAGGAACAGTTGGAGCTCAAGGCATGATTTGGATTTTGAGAAGAAGATTTGTGCATCAATGACATATGGAGAAGGTTGGGGAGTGTATGTAAACACCGACACAGAGGAGTGAAAGCTGTAGTAGATGAAAACTGCTGACAGAATTCTGCAGACTCCCACTACATCAAGGCTAAGCAAAGAAGGAGTGGACAGAAGTTGAATGCTAGGGTATTGCGTTTTAATGATATGTTCCAGATTTCTTTGCTTTAATTGTGCTTATTTATTGAATTTTAATGTCTAATTGTCATCCATTACAATACCTACAAATGTCAAAGGTATTTTTTTAAATTTCGACATGTATTGACACACACACACACAAAGAGACGTAGGTGGATTGTGAAGAGGAATGTGAACAGTTTTATTGACTAATTAAGAACTCTGAATCTTGTCATTCTGTCCTGTGGTTTTAACATTTTTATTATGTCAGTTTTGATAATATTTAAATCTCCCTTATCGAATACTTATGAATAAAATTATTATAGAAATATGAAGATGGGATGTATGAAAGTTGTTTTGAACTTTAAAACTATTGCAATAAATAAAAATTATTAGCTAGGAGTATTTTAAGGCATTTTCTACTTATGACCTTACCTTCTGTAGAATTAAATAGAAAGTACACAGTAACAAAATGACACTCTGAAACCAGCTACAGATTCTTTTCTTTTTCTATTATTAGTACTTTCTAAAACTAGATCTAATTATCCAGGCCAAGGAGCTAAGTGATTATAATATCAGATAATATTGGAAAATTGTACTATCCATAAAAATTATAAAGACAGTAATTTATTTCCTATTCACATTTCCTGCTACTCATAGCAAATGGTATTTTCTGGATTTTTTACATATCTCTCTTCTTTTGTAATTCAGTTGATATTTTGTTCCTAAGATGTATGTATGTATGTATGTATATATGTATGTGTATATGTATGTGCATTTTCCCAAAATATAGTCAGGAAAAAATAATTATACATTAGCAAGGTATACAATAGTAGCAGAAAATGAAGGAAATAAATGAAGAAATAAA